>NC_000023.11:77311026-77614057 GCF_000001405.40 Homo sapiens | reverse complement strand
ATTTGCAGAATGAAAGTCCTAAGGGACTGGCTTTTAAAGAATATTGAGGAAATCTAAAATCCTCTTAATTTTTCTTAGTTTTCTTTTTTTCAGTGTAATTCTATGGTTTGCCTTTTATTGTCAGGTATCAGAAGTTTATAATAACATGTAAGCCTCTGCAATTCAGTAAACACTTAAGGTTTTATAAGCATGTAGATACTTAATTTTTTAATAACTAAATATTAGTCTGGCTTTAAACTTAAAATCCACACACTGTCTTATTTTGACAACTGTGCAAAAAATAGAACACAGGAAAAGATAGCCCATGGAATGTGAGAAAATATTGCAAAACATATATCTGATAAGGGATTCACATGCAGAATATAGTTGTCCCTTGGTATATGTGGGGGATTGGTTCTAGGACCTGCCTGTGTATACCAAAATTTGCTCATACACAAATCCCGCAGAACCTGCATATATGAAAAGTCAAACATAGGTTTCACATTCTGTGAATACTGTATTTTCAATCAACATTTGGTTGAAACAAAGTCTGTATAAGTGGACCCGTGTGGTTTATACCTTTGGTGCGCAAGGGTCAACTGTATGTAAAGAACTCCTACAACTCAACAACAAAGAAACAGTCTGTTTCAAAAAGAAGCAAAGGATTTGAATAGACATTTCTCTAAAGAAGATATACAAATGGCCAATAAGCACATAAAAAAATGCTCAACATATCTACTCATTAGAGGAATGCAAATCAAACGTACAGTGAGATACCATTTCACACCCATTGTGGTGGCCATTATAAAAAAAAAAAAGGAAAATAAGTGCTTATGAGGATGTGGAGAAAGTGGAACCCTGTACATTGCTAGTAGGAATGTCAGATGATGTGGCTACTATGGAAAAACATTGTAGTAACTCAGAAAGTTAGACATAGAATTACCATTTGATCTAATAGTTCCACTTATAGGTATACCCAGAAGAATTGAAAGCAGGAACTCAAGCAGATACTGGGACACTTATGTTTATAGTTGCATCATTCATAATGGCAAAAAAAGGTGGAAGCAACCCAAATGTCCATTGATGGATGAATGCATAAACAAAATGTGGTATGGACATACTTCAGTGGAATATTAGCCTTATAAAGGGGGGAAATTCCGACATTTACTACCACATAGATGAAGCTTGAAGACATTAATGCTAAGTGAAATATATCAGACACAAAAAGGCAAATACTGTATACTTCTGCTTAAAGGTACCTAGAGTAGCCAAACTCTACGAGTAGAAAGTAGAATGGTGATTACCAGGTTCTGGGGGACGAAGGGAATGGGAAGTTACTGTTAATGGGTACTAAGTTCTGTTTGGAATGATGAAAAAGTTCTAGAAATAGAGAGTGATGATGTTTGTACAACATTGTGATTATACTTAATGCCACTCAATTGTGTACTTAAAAGGTAGTTAAAACAGTAAATTTTTTATTTTATTTTATTTTTATTTTACTTTAAGTTCTGGGATACATGTGCAGAACGTGCAGGTTTGTTACGTAAGTATACATGTGCCATGGTGGTGTGCTGTACCTATCAAGCCATCATCTAGTTTTCAAGCCCCACATGGATTAGGTATTTGTCCTAATGCTCTTCCTCCCCTTGCCCCTCACCCCCCAACAGGCCCCAGTATGTGATGTGCCCCTCCCTGTGTCCATGTGTTCTCATTTAAAACAGTAAATTTTTAAAATGTATATTTTACCAGAATTTAAAAAGTACCCCCAAATGGAGCACAGTAATATGCTTTTGTCTCTAAAAATGCATGGACCCAAGTGCCACTCTTTAGAGATTGATTCAAAAGGTCTGGAGTAGGGCCGATGCATCTACAGTTTTATGAGCCCTACAGGTGATTTTGATGGACCATCAGCTTAAGAACCATTGCTCCAAATTTTTTTCTTTGGTAAGGGGTGAGCTGAGACCTGAGATGAGTGAACTAGACAAGGGGAACATGGAGAAATGACACTGAAATGTTAACTTTGATGGTTTTCTCTAAGTGGTGGAAATATTAATTCTTTTGTATTTTACTTGTTATATACATTTCTGCAAAATTACAAAATCCAAGAAATATACATATATGTAAAACTTCCATAATCAGAAAAATACTTTAAAGTTTCATTTTGTTTTTAATTGACACATGGTAATTGTACATATTAATGGGCACAGAGTGATATTTTGATACATGTATACATTGTGTAGTGATAAAATTAGGGTAATTTAGCATAACTATCACTTCAAACACTTGTCATTTCTTTGTGGTGAGAACATTCAAAATTCTCTTCTAGCTGTTTTTTAAAATTATATTTCTTTTAATTAAAAATATTTATTTAAACATTTTTTATATAGAGAGATGGGGTCTTGCTATGTTGCCCAGGCTCGTCTTGAACTTCTGGGCTCAAGTGATACCCCATCACAGCCTCCCAAAGTGCTGGGATTACAGGTGTGAGCCACCATGCTTGCATGAAATAGCCTCATCTGGCTATTTCAATAAGTTATTAAGTTAAATTTAGTGTTTAAAAATATTATGACTAACATTGGAATAGTGTACTTCAAGCTGGGAAAAGAATGTATAATAGTAATTTCCAAATGTGGTTGTACTGTCAGAATCACCATTAAATGCAGAACACTACTAAATTTACAAAGATAAAATGATACTAAGTGTTTCTGAGGCTATAGAGAAATGAGCCCTCTTGATGGTAACATAAATTGGACAGTAATTTGGAAAGGGACGTCAAAATTAATTTCAATTGTATGCTTTTTTCCAAAGGAAATGGTCAGAAATGTATGCAGAGATTTATATTAAAAGATGTTAATCTCAGGGTTTGTTTCAAAACTTAGTTTTCTGGCTACAGAAATAGCAATGTGTGTTCATTGTGAAATATATATGAAATATTGAAAGGCACTAATACAATAAAAACTACCTATAATCTTATAAACTAGAAGTTGGAACTGCTAGTTATTTAATATTTAATATCTTGCTTTCCAGTTTTTAAAATGTATGTGTGACACTTAAATGTCATAAACACACACTACATAAACACACAATACATATACATTGTGTTTATATACTATATATATATATTTATTTATTTATTATTTTTTTAATGGCTGGAATTATATTATCCAGCTTGTGACCTAAAGTGAACTGTTACTTGTTGTGGCATTATTTATAATAATGAAAAATTGAAAATTAACCCAAATCCTCAACTTTTGGGGATAGTTTATATTATGGTATATCACCATAATCTAATACCATGCAGGAAGATACATTAAATATTATAACATAGAATATTGTGTGTTAATATTTAGGAATATATAGAATATATTATGTAATAAAGATGAAATAGTACCCATTTCTGTGAAATAAAAAGGATATGTATGAAAATGCATAGCAATGTGATCAAAAAGATAATGCCACAAAATATTTTTTAGTGTACACTCTAATATTTTCAAATTAGTAGAATTGTGTTTATAATGTGTATTAAATTACCTCTTCAAATTGGCTCTATCCCCTTCTCTCTGTTTTGATATGACATTTATCAGCTCTTCTGACTCCATCAACCACGTCTCAAGATCTCTTCCACATTCCTGATCATTTTAACTCTGCTGCATTAAGTTAGTATATTCTGACATATCTTCCAGCTAAGTAGTTTTTGTCTTTGGATGTGTGTCTTATGCTATTAAGAGGAATTTAATTGAAATGTAAAACTCAATGGCTTTCTCCTGAGGTCAGGAACAAAACAAGGATGTCACTTTTGCTTCTTATATTTAACATTTTCTAGAGGTTCTGGCCAGGACAATTATACCAGAAAACTAAAAGTATGCCACAGTGTCATGGAAGGGGTAAAACTATTTCAGTTTGCAGGTGACATGATATTGTATAGAGAAAAAATTTATTGTTTTAAGTTTTGTGGGTACATAGTAGGTATATATATTTATGGGGTACATGAGATATTTTAATGCAGCCATGCAATGCATAATCACATCAGGGTAAATGAGGTATCCATCTCAAGCATTCATCCTTAAATGACAAACAAGTCATTTATATTATTTTATTTATTTTAAAGTGTACAGCAAATTATTGTTGCCTGTAGTCACCCTGTTCTATAAAATATTAGCTCTTATTCATTCTACCTAACTATATTTTTGTACCTAATGTCCATCTCTCCTTTCCCCCTGCCCTACTACCCTTCGCAGCCTCTATTAACTGCTGTTCTACATTCTATCTCTGTGAGTTCAGTTGTTTTAAATTTTAGCTCCTGGACGGGTATGGTGGCTCATGCCTGTAATCCCAGCACTTTGGGAGGCCAGGGCAGGTGGATGGCTTAAGGGCAGGAGTTCAAGACCAGCCTAGCCAACATGGTGAAACCCTGTCTATAAAAAAAAATACAAAAGTCGAGGTGGCATGTGCCTGTAATCCTGGCTACTCAGGAGGCTGAAGCAGGAGAATCGCTTGAATCTGGGAGGCAGAGGCTGCAGCAAGCTTTGGTCATGCCACTGCATTCCAGCCTTTGTGACAGAGCTGCCTCAAAACAAAAAACAAAAAACTTAGCTCCCCAAAATAAGTGAGAATATGTAAAATTTGTCTTTCGTGCTGTTTCATGTTGTTTGAAATGACAGGATCTCATTCTCTTTTATGGCTGCATAGTACTCCATTGTGTACATGTACCATATTTTCTTTATTCATTCATCTGTTGATAAACTTTGGGTTGCTTCCAAATCTTGGCTGTTATAAACAGTGCTGCAACAAACATAGGAGTGCCAATCTCTTCAATATACTGATTTTCTTTCTTCTGAGTATATATCCAGCTGTGGGATTGCAGGATCATATGGTAGCTCTATTTTTGCTTTTTTGAGGAACCTCCAAACTTTTCTCCATAGTGGTTGTACTAATTTACATTCCCAACAGCAGTGTATGTGGGTTCCCTTTTCTCCACCTCCTCGCCAGCGTTTGTCTGTCTTTTGGATAAAAGCCACTTTAAAGGGTGAGATGATATCTTATTGTAGTTTTGATTAGCATTTCTCAGATGACCAATGATGTTGAGTACCTTTTCTTATACCTATTTTCCATTTGCATGTCTTCTTTTGAGAAATGTCTACTCAGATCTTTTGCCAATTTTTTAATTAGGTTGTTAGAATTTTTTTCCATTTGACTTGTTTCAGCTCCTTATATATTGTGGTCATTAATCCCTTGTCAGATGCGTAGTTTGCAGGTATTTTCTCCCATCCTGTGGGTTGTCTCTTCACTTTGTTGGATTGTATTCTTTCCTATGCAGAAGCTTTTTAACTTGATATGATCCCATCTGTCCATTTTTTTGTGTTGGTTGCTTCTGCTTTTGAGGTATTACTCAAATCTTTGCCCAGTCCAATGTCCTGTAGAGTTTCTCCAGTGGTTTCTCTTAGTAATTCCATAGTTTAAGGTATTAGATTTAAGTTTTTAATCCATTTGAATATGATTTTTATATATGGCAATAGATAGGTGTCCAGATTCATTCTTCTGCGTATGGATATCCAGTTTTCCCAGCACCACTTACTGAAGAGACTATCCTTTCCCCAGTGCATGTTCATGGCACCTGTGTAGAGTATGCGTTCACTGTAGGTGTGTGAACTTGTTTCTGGGTTAATTATTCTGTTTCATTGGCCTATGTGTCTTTTTTTTTTTTTTTTTTGAGACGGGGTCTCGCTCTGTTGTCCAGGCTGGAGTGCAGTGGTGCAATCTCGGCTCACTGCAAGCTCTGCCTCCTGGGTTCACGCCATTCTTCTGCCTCAGCCTCCCAAGTAGCTGGGACTACAGGCACCCACCACTGTGCTGGACTAATTTTTCGTATTTTTAGTAGAGGCGGGGTTTCACTGTGGTCTCGATCTCCTGACCTCATGATCCGCCTGCCTCGGCCTCCCAAAGTGCTGGGATTACAGGTGTGAGCCACTGTGCCCGGCCGGCCTATGTGTCTTTTTTATGCTAGTACGATGCTGTTTTGATTACAGTAGTTCTATAGTATACTTTGAAGTTATGTAATGTGATTCCTCCAGTTTTGTTCATTTAGCTCAGGATAGCTTTCACTATTCTGGGTCTTTCGTGGTTCCTTATAAATTTCAGGATAGTTTTTTCAATTTCTGTGAAGAATATCATTGGTATTTATTTCATAGGGATTGCTTTCAATATGAAGATTGCTTTAGGTGGTGTGGACATTTTAACAATATTGATTCTTTTGATCCATGAACATGGAATGTCTTTACATTTTTTGGTGTCCTCTTCCATTTCTTGCATCAATGTTTTATATTTTTCATTGTAGAGTTCTTTTACTTCTTTTTTTTTTTTTTTTTTTTTTGAGACAGAGTCTCTGTCACCCAGGCTGGGGTGCAGTGGTGCGATCTTGGCTCTCTGCAACCTCCACCTCCTGGTTTCAGTGATTCTCATGCCTCAGCCTCCCAAATAGCTGGGATTACACGTGTGCACCACCATGCTCCGCTAATTTTTGTATTTTTAGTAGAGGCAGGGTTTTGTCATGTTGGCCAGCCTGCTCTTGAATTCCTGGCCTCAAGTGATCCACCCGCATTGATCTCCCAAAGTGCTGGGATTACAGGCATGAGCCACCGTGCCCTGCCTCGCTTCTTAAATTCCTGAATATTTTGTTTTATTTGTAGCTATTGTAAATAAGATTACTTTCTTGATTTCTTCAAATTGTTCACTGTTGGCATATAGAAATGCCAATGATTTTTGTATATTGATTTTGTTACTTGCCACTTTACTGAAATTGCTGATCAGTTCGAATAGTTTTTTGGTGGAGTCTTTAGTTTTTTTTCTTTCCCAAATATAAGGTCATGTCATCTGCAAACAAAGATAATTTGACTTCTTCCTTTCCCATTTGTATGCGCTTTATTTCTTTATCTTCTTTGATTACTCTTACTAGGACTTCCAGTATGATGTTGAATAACAGTAATGAAAGTGGGCATCCTTGTTGTGTTCAAGATCTTAGAGCAAAGACTTTCAGTTTTTTCCCATTCAGTATGATACTAGCTGTCGGTATGTCGTATATAGCTTTAATATGTTGAAGTATGTTCCTCTGATACCCAGTTTTTTAGGGCTTTTTATTATGAAGGGATGTTGAATATTATCACATGTGCTTCCAGCATGAATTGAAATGATTATATGGTTTTTATCCTTTATTTTGTTCATAACGATGTATCACATTGATTGATTTCCATATATGTGTGTGTGTATATTTATATGTGTGTATGTATGTATTTTTGTGTGTGTGTGGGTTTTTTTTTTTTTTTTTGTAGAGATGAGGTCTCTATGTTGCCCAGGCTTGTCTTGAACTCCTGGGCTCAAGGGATCCTCCTTCTTCGGCCTCCCGAAGTGCTGGGATTACAGGTGTGAGCCATCACACTCAGCTGATTTCCATAAACTGAGCCATCGTTGCATCCCTAGGATAAATCCCACTTGGTCATGATGAATGACCTTTTTAATGTGTTGTTCAATTTGTTTTGCTAGTATTTTGTTGAGGTTTTTTGTATGAATGATCATCAGGAATATTGGCCTGTAGTTTTCTTTTTTTGATGTGTCCTTGTCTGGTTTTGGTATCATTGTAATACTGGTCTCAGAAAGAATTTGGAAGTATTCCTTCTCTATTTTGCAGAATAGTTTGAGGAGGATTGGAATTAGTACTTCTTGGAATGTTTGGTAAAATTCAGCAGTGAAGGTATTAGGTACCTGGCTTTTCATTTTTTAATTTTTCTTTGGGGGATGGGGTTGGGGCTTTACATGCCATAATATGTTTATTTTATTTTATTTTACATTTTCATTTTAGGTTCAGGGGTACATGTGCACATAAATTGGGGTAAATTTACCCATACATGTACCCATGAACCTAAAATGAAAATTCTTTAGGTAAATTGGGGTCTCTAGGTTTTCTTTGCTTTGGAGACTTTTTATTATTACTTTGATCTCATTACTTGTTATTGGTCTGTTCAGGTTTTGGATTTCTTCCTGGTTCAATCTTAGTAGATTGCATGTGTCTAGGAATTTATCCATTTCTTCTAGGTTTTCCAATTTATTGGCATATAGTTGGTCATAGTAGCCTCTAATGGTCATTTAAATTTCTGTGGTATCAGTTTTAATGTCTCCTTTTCCATTTCTGATTTCATTTATTTGGGTATTCTCTCTTTTTTTTCATAAGTAGTCTGACTAAAAGTTTGTTGAGTTTATCTTTTCAAAAAACCAAGTGTTTGTTTCATTGATCTTTTCTACTTTTCTACTTTTAAACTTTTTGATGTGTTGTTGAATTAGGTTAGTATTTTATTGAGGGTTTTAATATCTATGTTCATCAGTGATATTGGCCTATGGTTTTCTTTTCTTTCAGCATCTTTGTCTGCCTTTGGTATCAGGGTGATGCTTACCTCACAAAAAGAGTTTGGAAGTATTTCCTGTAATTCTGTTTTTTGGAAGAGTTTAAGAATTGGTATTCATGGTTTTTTGAATGTTTGGTAGAATTCAGTTTTGAAGCTATCTGGTTCTGGGTGATTTTTGTTGGGAGGTTTTTTTTTATTACTACTTATTTCTTTTTCTTAATTCTATTTTTAATTTAATTATTTTGTTTTGTTTTATTTGAGACAGAGTATTGCTCCATCACCCAGGCTGGAGTGCAGTGGTGCGATCTCAGCTCACTGCAACCTCTGCCTCCCAGGTTCAAGCAGTTCTCCTGCCTCAGCCTCCCAAGTAGCTGGGATTACAGGCGCCCACCACCATGCTTGGCTAATTTTTTGTATTTTTAGTAGAGACAGGGTTTCGCCATGTTGGCCAGGCTGTTCTCGAACTCCTGACCTCAGGTGATCCACCTGCCTTGGCCTCCCAAAGTTCTGGGATTACAGACGTGAGCCATCTTAATTTTATTCGTATAAATTTATGGGGTACATGTGTAATTTTGTTACATGGATATATTATAGTGGTGAAGTCAGGGCTTTTAGTGTATACACAGAATAATGTACATTCTACCCATTAAGTAGTTTCTCATTCACTCTTCTCGTTTCCCCCGACCCTTCCAAGTCTCCATTGTCTGTCATTCCACACTCTACATCCATGTGTTCACATTATTTAGCCCCACTTATAAGGGAGAACATGACACTATTTATCTTTCTGTGTCTCAATTGTTTCACTTAAGATAATGGCCTCCAGTTCCATCCATGTTACTGCAGAAGACATGCTTTTGTTCTTTTTTGTGGCCAAATAGTATTCCACTGTGTATATATACCACGTGTTCTTTGTTCATCTTTTGATAGACACTTAGGTTGATTTCATAGCTTTGCTATTGTGAATAGTGCTACAATAAACATGTAAGTGCAAGTATCTTTTTTTTTATGTTTTTGATATAATGATTTCTTTCTCTTTTGGTAGATACCTAGTAGTGGGATTGCTGGATCAAATGTTAGTTCTATTTTTAGTTCTTTGAGTAATCTCTGTACTGTTTTTCATGGAGTTTGTGCTAATTTACATTCCCACCAATAGTGTAAACATATTCTCTTTCCTCCGCATCTTTGCCAACATTTATTTTTTGACTTTTTAATAATAGCCATTCTAACTGGGGAAGATATGTCATTGTGGTTTTGATTTGCATTTTTCTGACGTTTAGTGATGTTGAGAATTTTTTCATATGCTTGTTGGCCATTTGTTATATCTTCTTTTGAAAAATGTCTATTTATGTCTTTTGCCCACTTTTTAATGGAATTATTTGTTTTGTTTTGTGTTGTTGTTTGAGTTCCTTGTAAATTCTAGATATCAGTCCCCTGTTGGATGTCTAGTTTGGAAATATTTTCTCCCATTCTGCAGATTGTTTGTTCACTCAGTTAATTATTTCTTTTGCTGCTTTTTATTTAAGTCCCATTTGTCTGTTTTTGTTTTAGTTGCTTTGCTTTTGAGGTCGTAGTGATGAATTATTTGCCTAGGCCAATGTCCAGAATGATTTTCTCCAGGTTTACTTTCTCTAGGTTACTTCTCTAGGTTTACTTCTAGTATTTTTATTGTTTCAGCTCTTACATTTAAGTCTTTAATCTATCTTGAGTTGATTTTTGCATATGGTTAGAGATAATGGTCCAGTTTCATTCTTCTGCATATGGGAATCCAGTTTTCTTAGAACCATTTATTGAAAAGAGTGTCCTTTCCCCAGTATATGTTTTTATTGACTTTGTCAAAGGTCAGTTGACTGTCAGTATGTGTCTCTATTTCTGTGTTCTGTATTCTGTTCCATTGATCTTTGTGTCTATTTTTATACCAGTACCATGCTGTTTTGGTTACTGTAGCCTTGTAGGGTAATATGAAGTCAAGTAATGTGATACCTTCAGCTTTGTTCAAGAATTAATATTATTGGCCAGGCACGGTAGCTCACATCTGTAATCCTAGTACTTTGGGAGGCCGAGGCAGGCGGATCACTTGAGGCCAGGAGTTCAAGACCAACCTGGCCAACATGGCAAAACCCTGTCCCTACTAAAAATACAAAAAAAAAAAAAAATTAGCCGAGCATGGTGGCAGGCACCTGTAGTCTCAGCTACTCGGGAGGCTGAGGCAGGAGAATGGCTTGAACCCGGGAGGCGGAGATTGCAGTGAGCCGAGATTGCGCCACTGTACTCCAGCCTAGGCAACAAGAGCGAAACTCCATCTAGGAAAAAAAAAAAGAATTATATTATTAAAATGACCATACTACCCAAAGCAATCTACAGATTCAAACCTAACTCTATCAAAATACCAATGTCATTTTTTATAGAATTAGAAAAAACAATCCTAAAAGTCATATGGAACCAAATAAGAGCCCAAGTAGCCTTGGTCTCTTTATTTGTAATTGGTCTGTTGAGGCTATTTCTTTTTTATTCAGTGTTGATATATTGTATGTTTGTAGGAATTTATTTCCTGTAGATTATTCAATTTCTTGGTATATAATTTTTCATACTAGTTCTTTATGATCCTTCTTTATTTCTGAGGCATTGGTTGTAATGTCTTCATGTCTATTTTATTTATTTGAGTCCTCTCTCTTTTTTCTTAATAGGCTAAGGGTTTGTTGGCTTGGCTTATTTTTTTCAAAAAAACAACTTTTCCCCCTATATCTTATCTATTATTTGATTTACTAATGCTTTGATCCTTATTTCCTTCCTTCTGCAAGCTTTGGGTTTAGCTTATTCTTTTTCTAGCTCCTAGAGGTATAAAGATAGGTTCCTTATTTGAGATCTTTTTTTGACATAGGCATTTATCATTAAAACATTCCTCTTCTTACTAAAGTATTTTCTTTAACCACATTCAAATGAAATTAGAAACCAATAACTGAAGGAAAGTTTAAAAATTTACAAATACATGTAAATTAAACAACATATATCTAAATAACCAATGGACCAAAGAAGAAATCACAAGGGAAATTAAAAAATGCTTAGAGGTTAATGAAAACAAAAACACAGGGTACTAGAATATGGGATATAACTTAAGTAATACTTAGAGAGAAATGTATGGTGGTAAATACCTGTATTAAAAAAGAAGAAAGATCTCAAATTTATAATTCAACCTTCTACTTTGCAAATTAAACCCAAAACAAGCAGAAGGAAGGAAATAATAAAGAAATGTGAGGAACAGAAAAACAGTAGGGAAAATCATTGAAACCAAAGGTAGGTTCTTTGAAAAGATTAACATAATCGACAAACCTTCCTTCACTTACAAAGTAATGAAAAAAAAAGGCACAGCTAAAATAAGTGCCGACTACAGTGGGTCATGCCTATTAATCCCAGCCTTTCGGGAGGCCAAGGCAGAACAATCCTTTAAAGCTAGGAGTTTAAGAACAGCCTGGTCAACAAAGCGAGACCCTGTCTCTACAAAAAATAAAAAAAAGAATTAGCCAAACCTGGTGGCATGTGCCTGTAGTACCAGCTTTTGGGAGGCTGAGGCAGGCAGATGGCTTGAGCCCGCAGGAGTTCGAGGTTGCAGTAAGCTATGATTGCATCACTGCACTCCAGCCTGGGTGACAGTGTAAGACCCTGTATCAAAAAAACAAAAACAAGAACAGAAAGAAAAATGACCTAAAGTAAGGAATGAAAGAGTATCACTACTAACCTTACAGAAATAAAAAGAATTATAAGTGAATATTGTGAACAGCTGTATGCCGAGAAATTATATACCTCATTTTCATAGCAGTGATTTCTGTTACACAATGGAAATAACCTCTATCAGGCAAAATAATACTCAGCAGATTTTTATGCATTATTAATGTTTCATATCACTACTAAATTTTCTCTCACTCGTGGAGGCAAAATTTGCTAATTATTTAAACAACTTACATAGTTTAAAACCGTGGATAGGAAAATATGTTATTGCTTAAATGCTGTTTTTTCCTTTTAATCAGTTTTGTTCTTTTGCATATTACCTTCTTGATAATTTTATTATATTAATGAAACGTGCATTCATTTTCTTTATGTTTTATAGGAAAATGATAATTCTGTTGAAATTATTCTGGATAGAGCAGAGCTAATATTTACATTTTATACATCAAAAACATAATTTTTGGAAGGTCTTTTTTTTTTTTTTTTAAGAGACAAGGTTTTGCTCTTTCATCCAGGCGGGAGTGCTGTGGTGCAATCATAGTTCATTGTAACCTCAAACTCCTGGGCTCAAGTGATTCTCCCACTTCAGCCTCCCAAGTATCTAGGGTATCTAGGGCTATAGGTGTGTGCCATCATACCTGGCTAATGTTTTTGTTTTTCTTGGTGGAGACAGAGTCTCGCTGTGTTGTCCAGGCCTGTCTTGAACTCCTGGCCTCAAGCGGTCCTCCTGCCTCGGCCTCCCAAAGTGCTGTGATTACAGGTGTGAGCTACTGTCACTTGCCTAGAAGTAATTTTTTTGAGTGAGCATAGTTGGCGAGAGTCAGTAAAGGACTATCTGCATGGAGCAAAGTTTATTTATAACAGGAGTTTGTAATCTAGGGTCCATGGATAGAATTTAGGGGATTATATGTACCTGGATAAGAAAAAAATTATATATTGATTTCCCTTAACCTCTAGCTAAAGCAGCAGCATTTTTCCCAGTGATGAATAGAGGCAACAATCTATAGTAGTGTTAGTGATAACCATGACTTTGTTACCAATAGAAATCAGAAATATTTTTACATGTTGTTCCTGATACCTCAAAATCATTTATGTTTATCAATACTTCAGAATTTTAGGTATTTATTAAACCTGTGCATATTTTGTTACTTAATGCATTAATTTTAAAAAGCACATATTTCTGTAGTACAAATTCTTTAATATTTTGATAATTTCTATATGATGGGTTTCTTTTGTAATCCTATTTGTTTTATGTGTTTCAAAACGATATTCCAAGAGAATTTATAAGCTTCTCTACACTGCCAAAAGTGTTTATGTCACAAGTAAGATTAAAACTCCTAATCTAGAAACTTGGTTGATATAGACAATTTTTGTGTCTTTAACCATATTTCTTTTGATCAGGTGTGGGCAATAATAGTGAAGGTGGAAGAGGAAAGGCAGGTGCAAAGCTTTTCCAAGATTTTCAGATGTTAAGTAGAATATGGACTCATCCTTGGTGTTTGCAGCTAGACTACATTAGCAAAGAAAATAAGGTAAGTCAGGTAACTTAGTTTAAAAGCATCTATTGGAAGCAGAATAAACTTAGACAAAAAATTGACCTACAGACTGTATATTCAAATTTTCTATTGCTTTGTTCTATTCTATGTCTTATTTCTAATTTCTATATGTCTTGCATGTATTATGATTATAGGAGTGTTAAATGTTATTTTATTGAGCCCATTTTAAAAAACTTTTTATTTTGAAATAATTTTATACTTATAGAAAAGTTGCAAAAATAGTTCTGAGAATTCCCCTATACCTTTGACCCAGTTTCTTCTAATATCAGCATGTTGCATTAGTATAGTAAAGTTATCAAAACTAAGAAATTAACTTTGGTACAATACTATTAACTAAATGGCAGACTTTATTTGGATTTCTTCAATGTTTTTACTTATGTCTTTTTTGTTTTCCATGATCCAATCTAGGACCTCCCATTGCATTTAGTAAGCATATCTGTCCTGTCTTCTTTGTCTACTAAAATCTGTAATAGTTCCTCAGTCCTTCCTCAGCTCGTGCCAATTAACTTATTCTTAAATGAACATCAATATAATTTCCAGTGTAAGTTGAGATATTCTATTAAAATAGTGGTCATTTTTTTTTCTCTAGGGTTATTTTGATGAAGACAGTATGGATGAATTTATAGCCTCAGATTCTGATGAAACCTCCATGAGTTTAAGCTCCGATGATTATACAAAGTAAATCGAATACTTTTTCGTGCCATCCTGTATTGACAAAGTTAAAACCCCTACTTGCTGATTGACCTCTTATAATTGACGTTTACATCTTTCCTATGCTTTTCTAACAATCTGAATGTGTTTTTTTGTTTGTTTGTTTGTTTGTTTTTAGAAAGAAGAAAAAAGGGAAAAAGGGGAAAAAAGATAGTAGCTCAAGTGGAAGTGGCAGTGACAATGATGTTGAAGTGATTAAGGTCTGGAATTCAAGATCTCGGGGAGGTGGTGAAGGAAATGTGGATGAAACAGGAAACAATCCTTCTGTTTCTTTAAAACTGGAAGAAAGTGAGTCTAATGAATGTTGCCTTTATCATGGAACAGTAATTTGGAAAATGTCATGTCGTTAGTCCTTTTTTCAGTCACTTACCTGACTAATTGACTCAAAGGAATCTTTCCTCAATTGATGAGTCTAATCAAGTACTCATAATTACAGTAAATATCTGATGAATCTTTAATTATAAGCAAGCTACTCTGTGCTCTCTGGTATTTGGGGGAAAGGTAAAAAGAAAAACTAATGTTTATTTACTTGTATATACCTAAACTCTATTATTTTCACTACATGTGTTAGCTAACTGAATTCTTGAGCAGGCTTGCAATGTAGTTGATAGTTTTAAAAATGAGTAGGAGAACTGGTATTCAGACCTAAAAATGTCTAATCTCAAAGCCACCATGATATTTTCACTTAACTGTATGGGAATAAATGGAAACATTTCAGATAATCAAGTGTGATTGTAGTTAATTTTTAGTCAGTAATATACAGTAAAACTAATTTTAATCATTTAGTGTTTTTCCTTTGTGATTCTTCATAATCTGCAATTATCTACTTTAGGTTTCCTGTGTATTATGTACAGTTTCTATCACCTCTTTTGTTTTCTTTCTGTCTCTCTTGTGCATGAAAGTGAAGTCTTAGATTGAACTCTGCAGTGGTTTAAGTTGTCTTTACCTATATGTAAGTTGAAGGATTAGTGTTGAGACACTGTATCCTACTAGTGCAGCCTGTATGCCTAGGAGCTTAAAAACTGGGACCAAATGTCTGCCTATTTGAAATAGCAGATTATGAAGAGAGAACAAGGTAGTGGCTCTAAATATTTGGCATTTGGGAGTTGTGGAGCAAAGCAGTTAACTGTCTATAAGGAGAAGAGAGTTGTGGGGGCCACCTAGGTTAGTGATCCTGTGATCAGATAAACTTGGCTGGTCTCAGGCCTACAGCTGAAATAACTTGGTGATTAATTATTTTAATTTTATTTTTATAATTTCAACTTTTATATTCGGGGGTACATATGCTAGTTGATTAACATGGGTATATTGCATGATGCTCAGCTTTGGGGTATGATTGATCCCATCCCCAGGTACTGAACATAGTACTCAGTAGTTAGTTTTTCAGTCTTTGCCCCCTTTCTCTCTCCCCACTCTAGTAGTCCTCCGTGTCTGTCGCTCTCCTCTTTATATCCATGTGTACCCAGTGTTTAGCTCTTACTTATATGTAAGAACACGCCGTATTTGGTTTTCTGTTTCTGTGTTAATTCACTTAGTATATAATGGCCTCCAGCTGTATCCCTGTTGCTGCAAAGGACATGATTTTGTTCTTTATTGTGGCTGTGTATATTCTATGGTTTATATGTACCACATTTTCTCTATCCAATCCACTGTTGATGGGCACCTGGGTTGATTCCATGTTTTTGCTGTTGTGAATAGTGCTGTAATAAATATATGAGTGCATGTGTCTTTCTGGCAGATTTATTTTCCTTTTGTTTTATACTTGTAATGAGATTGCTGGGTCAAATTGCAGTTCTGCTTTAAGTTCTTTGAGAAATCTCTAAACTGCCTTCCATAGGCGGTGAACTAATTTACAATCCCACCAACATAAATGTTCCCTTTTCTTTGCCCCTTCTCCAGCATCTGCTGTTTTTTGACTTTTTAATAATAGCCATTCTGACTGGTGTGAGATTGTGTCTCATTGTGGTTTGGATTTGCATTTCTCCTGTGGTTAATGATGATGAGCATTTTTCATGTTTGTTGGCTGCTTGTATGTTCTCTTTTGAGAAGTATCTGTTCTTGTCTTTTGCCCACTTTTTAATGGAGTTACTTGTTTTTTTGCTGTTGAATTAAGTTCCTTATAGATTCTGGATATTCATTGTTGGATACATAGTTTGTGAGTATTTTCTCTCATTCTGTAAGTTGTCTGTTTACTCTGTTGATAGTTTTTTTTTTGTTATTTTGTGTTTTTGTTTTTTTGTTTGTTTGTTTGTTTTTTGTTTTTGCTGTGCAGAAGCTCTTTAGTTTAATTAGGTCCCAGTTGTCAATTTTTGTTTCTGTTGCAATTGTTTTTGAGGAATTAGTCATAAATTCTTTCTGACTCGGTGATTTCTTTATAAACATTTCTCTCTTCAGTACCTCCATGGAATAGACAGATGGCAGTCTAACAGTAGACTCTGACTTCTCTTAAGAAATCAGGGGAATAGTAAAAATTAAACTACAAAATTTCTCTTCTCATTCTTCTCTTCTGTTACCCCATAAAACAGTTTACTATCAATGTTCATCTTCTGGATAGATATAAAGAATATTTTTATCAGAATAATAAATTATTATAGTGTAATTTAAGGCAATGAGAAGTTCCTGTATCTCCTTCCCTGCTGCTGCTGCCCCAATCTGCCTTTTCCACATAAATTCCTCAGTCTCTCATCTCATAATTAAAAATATATAAAGTTTACATGTTCCTGGAAATTATTTTCTTAAAATACTCTTGTTGAATTTTTTCTCATAACTTATGGCTAACAGGAGCAGAAGAGTAGACCAGTCAGTGTGCATCATCCTGTGCTATAAATGGGTTACGTAAGAGTATACTGAGATTTTTTTTTTAAAGTGTACTGAGATATTGATCCTTTGTCACTTGGGAATACAATTAGAATCTGAGGCAGCTGGTTTGCCTCCGTAAATGAGTAGTCTCTTCTCTTTTTCCTGGTATGCTATATAAGCATTAACGTTTTTTACATATGCCATAATGTGAATGGGTTGGAAAGCACTGGGGGCAGAATGTAGGAGGCTACATGTTGTGAGCCCAAAAACACACAGGGAAGGCCATCAGTTCCAAAAGACAAATTTTGACCACTTGTCTAGGATTTTTGTTTCATTTTAGTTGTGTGCAGTCAAATATAAGTCATTTGTATATGGATATATTTTATATATTTTTGTAGCTTATATACGTGTATAGTATATTAGAAGCATTCTCCAGAACTAATAGATAATAAAAATTTATTTTTTTCTTTGCATCTAAATTAACTCCATATAAAATGGAGTATATCATAATGTATGGACATACGTAGCTGGTATTGTATAACTTTAAAAAAAATGACTTTCTTACAGTAAATATAAGAAAATCTGAATAGGAAGTATTAAGGGGCTAGTCTGCCTCCTTAGCGCAGTAGGCAGCACATCGGTCTCATAATCTGAAGGAAGTATTAAAGGGTTAACAATGTTGTACCTGGAATTTGAAATGGATATTAAATAATTAATTACCTATAATTGAGCTACAATATGATTTTTGCCACATATTTTATTTTCACGTCAAAGAGTTACTGTTTGCTTTAATCCTTTTGTAGTAGCTGTCTCGTTTTTCTGAGAAGCAGCATCTTGAATGAGTCATTTAAGTTTAGCTTACATCATCCCCATTTCTGTGTTTTAAATGTTTTTTATTAGAAGGAGAGTTCATGATCACGAAATGACTATGTAAATTACTTCAAAGTGTTAGATTTATTATTACTTAAGTATTTTTAGAGTAAGCTTCATTGGTAAGCATTTGCATTTTAAAACGTATGTAATTGTATGGATATAAAGTTTTGTGACAGAATCCTTGTATATGATGTAGAGCCGTAATATTAGTACTAATATACCATATTTATTCACTCAACAGATATTTATAAAGTGCTTACTATATGCCCAGACATAAGGAGGGAACTGATAAGCCTAAATGGTAAATTGAAGAAGGTATGCTATGGAAATCCTAGGGAGATGCTAGTCTTGAGACTAGCAGCTTTGATTTTCATTTATCCAGGGACAGGATTTGAGACTTCGAGCCCTCTATAAGTTGGAGAGTTCTGTGACCCCTTCTCAAAGCTGAATCCCTTTAAAGTTTACAATCCCATCGACAATCCAGGGAGTTGACAAGGAAGCTTATCTATTTCAGCCAGGGCTCTTGGTTGGGAAAAATAGTTACATTGAATTTACGGTCATGGCCTTCACCTCACATACTTTATGGTTTGAATTTATATTACTCATATAGTCTAAAAGATCCGAAACTGAAATATTAACTTCACAAGTAATTCTGAGTTGGTGATTCCCTGGAGACCTGGTAGAAGCAAATGTAGAATCACTCTGGAGATATATGACCTTAACCAAGGCTACCCAGAAATTTCACAGATTGTAGCTACACCTGAGAAAATAACCTTAGGAAAAGCTAGGAACAGAAAGTATTAGTAGTCAACCTGAGGAAAGTTAGCATACAAAATAAATGGCATGATTAGATTCTCAAGAACTTCTGATAATAGAAGTATTTGATAAAGACTATAAGTATGTCTAAAATGATATTTTTAAAATTCCTAATCATAACTTTATGCCAGAAAATTTAAAACTTAAAATACACAATATTTAAGAAAAATATACTCAGCAATGAGCATTCGTTGCAGTTATTTCATATTAGCCAAAAACAAGAAACAATCTAGATGTCTATGAGGAGAACTAATAAATGATAGTGTATTCATGCAGTGGAATACTACATGGTAGTTAGAATGATTGAACGGGAGCTCCATGTCAAGCATGAGTAAATCTCGCTTTGAGTGAAAAAGTAATTTGTAGGATTTTACAAACAGTATAGCCATTTGTACAGTTTAGTGATACACATGCAGTAAAAAACATAAAACACTGCAAAAAATGGTAAATATATAATTTAGGGGTTTAGTTACCTATTGGAAAGGAAGGAAGGAAAGAGAATGGGATCATGTAGGATCATATATTAGGCTTCAGCTTCATCCGAAGTTTTAACAGTGTTAAAATTTGATGAAGATGGAATGTGGAAGCACATTTGTTTCTTATATCTTATATACTTTTCTGAGCATTTAAATTTTTGTAACAAAAATATATTTTAAAATACTTTGCATTAAAAAGCAATTGAGAAAGTGTATAAACATGCTAAACCTGCATATTTCTTATTTTGAATCAAACTATGTTTAAATCTTTTAATAAATTATTTTATGCTACTTTCTCCTTCCACCTTTCATAGTCAAAGTTTGTGGGGAAAATATATAAGAACGAAATCATTTAATATGATATGCTGATTCTGGGGTCAATTCTTGTTGGCGGTTTCCAGATCCTAGTAGCACAGTGAAATGTTTTCTACCCCCAAGGTCTTTTCTCTCGTGGTAACTGAGCCTTTCCATCTCTGTTGATTCCTGTCTCATGGAGTATGTTTGGGGGCATTTTACTCTCTTAGGGCCTGGTGGGAAGGGGATGGTTTCTCTTCTCTTTGGGTCTCTGTCTTTCTGAGCTCCACTCCTACCCCGAGGGTTTGTCTCTTACACTTGCACTCTCTCAGAGTCAATCTCTTGCTTGTTCTCTTATTTGGCATCTCCTTCCTTTCTCTTTTTCTATCTAGAGCTCACTCTTCTGGGATAGTCTCTGTCCTTCTGTGCTGTATGTGCGTGTGCCTGCCTTTCTCTTTTTTCCCTCCCCTCTCCCAAGTCCCCATCAGTTTCTTTCTTACTCTCCCCATGGGTAGGTCTTTTTCTGTCTCTCTTGCTCTCTTTCCATTTCTTTTCTAATTTACCTACTTATGTTCCATTTGTCTTATTTAGGTAAAGCTACTTCTTCTTCTAATCCAAGCAGCCCAGCTCCAGACTGGTACAAAGATTTTGTTACAGATGCTGATGCTGAGGTTTTAGAGCATTCTGGGAAAATGGTACTTCTCTTTGAAATTCTTCGAATGGCAGAGGAAATTGGGGATAAAGTGTAAGTGCTTTACCATATTTATTATATAAATTAACCTTTTGATTATGTTTTTATTGCTTAAACAATGTATTTGAACAAATCTGTTGCTTTTCCTTCCTTCCTAAAGATGTGATTTATTTGGTCATTGTAGTGCTAGGCCAATACAAGCAACTATCTTTTTTGTAAGCCACTAGTTCTGATTGCATATTCAGGTTATTTCTTCAGTGTAAATTTCTGCTTCTACCTATTGCAACTTGAACTTATTTCCTTGGGTAGAGCTCTTAGTTGAAATTTGTGTTTCTCCATCTTCAAAATCATTTTTCGGTTTATGTAGTGTGACTTCTACCGTGTTGCTTTACTGAGATTTCCCCCTGTAAAGTCACTAGTGACCTTCTAATCCTCAAATCTAGTGGACATCTCTCAGGCTTTATTTTATTTTACCTGCTTGATTATTCTTTCTTCTTCTTCTTCTTTTTTTTTTTTTTTTCATTATGAGACAGGGTCTTGCTCTGTTGCCCAGGCTGGAGTGCAGTGGCACAATCACAGCTTACTGCAGTCTTGACCTCCCAGGCTCAGGTGATCCTCCCACCTCAGCCTCTCCAGTAGCTGGGACTACAGGCGCACACCACCATGCCCAGCTAGTGTTTTTATTTTTAGCAGAGATAGGGTTTCACCGTGTTGCCCAGGCTGATCTCGAACTCTTGAGCTCAAGCAATTTGTGCGCCTCAGCCTCCCAAAGTGCTGGGATTACAGGTGTGAGCCACCACACCTGGCCTGATTATTCTTTCTTTATCATTTATTCTTTGTTTTTTGTTCCACTTCTAACATTTTTGCCACCATTCCTTTCTTTGCATCTTCACCCCCCTTCAAATTACTTTTCCAAAAACATTATTTTTTTTTTTTTGAGACGGAGTTTTGCTGTTGTTGCCCAGGCGGGAGTGCAATGGTGCGATCTCGGCTCATCGCAACCTCCGCCTCCCAGGTTCAAGTGATTCTCCTGCCTGAGCCTCCTGAGTAGCTGGGATTCCAGGCACGCACCACCACGCCCAGCTAATTTTGTATTTTTAGTAGAGATGGGGTTTCTCCATGTTGGTCAGGCTGGTCTCGAACTCCTGACCTCAGGTAATCTGCCTGCCTCAGCCTCCCAAAGTGCTGGGATTACAGGCGTGAGACACCACGCCCGGCCTCCAAAAACATATTTTTAAAGTTTTGAACAAGACTTACTGTCTAGGCTGCTAGGTCCCAACATCTGATTATAAACGATTTTTAAAAGTATCTGAGATGCTTTTTTTTTTTTTTTTTTGAGACGGAGTTTTGCTCTTGTCACCCAGGCTGGAGTGCAGTGGCGCAATCTCAGCTCACTAAAATCACCTCCACTTCCTGGGTTCAAGTGATTCTCCAGCCTTGCCTCCTGAGTAGCTGGGATTACAGGCACACACCACCACGCCCAGCTAATTTTGTTTTTTTAATAGAGACGGGGTTTCACCACGTTGGCCTAGCTGGTCTTGAACTCCTGACCTCAGGTGATCCACCCGCCTCAGCCTCCCAAAATGCTGGGATTACAGGTGTGAGCCACCGCGCCTAGCTTGAGATGCTTTTAATAAAAATTTTAAATAAGGCTAAAATAAAATAATCTTTTATGTTTAAAAAAATCTCAAAATATGGTCTGAAACAAAAGAGTTCTTCATGTTGTCTGCAACTGGAAAAGGTTAATAGAGAGAACCATTAGTATAGACATTTAATCCTAACAACTTTTTTCCTTTTCTACTGTAAGACTTCTCTGAGTTCAGTGGTTCCCAGAACCAGCCTTAATTGCTAACTGACTAAAATCAACCTCTTTCCAGTATAGTAACCCAGATTGCAGATTAATTCCAATTTAATAATTAGTATTTCTAAGACTTTAATTTTTTCACTTACGGGAACTTTCAAGAACTTAATTTGTAGCACAGAAAGAATTGATTCAATTATGTTTTTGATTTTGGGAAAGATAAACTACTGAGGGGTCAAAGCATAGGCCTTGGTCATTTGAGCTGAGCACCAGGAGTCAATTCATTTTCTTACCAACATTCTAGAAGTAGTTAACTGGGAGATAGTAGACTCCAACAGTGTGGAGCTCAGGAAGTCATACAATAAAAAACACTTAAGTGGTTAACTCCAACAGCCGTTTCATAGCTTCAATTGTTTTCAGTTCTACTAAATCTGAAGATATGTAGCAGGGAATGTTGAAGGATCTTCAGGAGTCATAAGTACCTTCTTCTCCTATAGTATAGCTTTTAGAATAAAAATAAAACTTAAAGCATACTTGCCACAGGTATATTGTTTCTTATATACTGATCTACTTTGTTTGCATATATAAAGGGCAATAGAAGACCTCTTATATTCTCTTTCTAGATTTTATTTCTTTTCTAGTGTGTAAGTATGTTATAAATTCTGTCCAGTGGGTTAGACCAGAATAGTCATTTTAGAACTATTTCTCAGAGCCCCTGCAAATTGGTGACCGAAAGGAGAGGGTAAGGGAACAGTAACATTTTTCCTCCTTCTCCCGTAATGCCTAAAACAGCTTGCTTTTATAATTTATTTTATTTGAACTCTACACAAAACTTGATGTGACCAAATAGTTTTCATGGCTAAAAAGGAGTTAGAAAATTACTAGGGCAGAGAATGAGGAATTTGCAGACATACTTGAAATGTAATGACAAAGTGTTATAGAATGCATGTAATTTTAAATTACTGAAATACTTGTAATAGGGAAACTTTTTACATTCTCTAAAACAGTGTCTTTTATAGAGCAGAAGTTTTAAATTTTGATGAAGTCTAATTTATCAACTTTTAAAACAATGATACTTTGTGTCATGTGTAAATAATTTTTTACCTAACCCATGTTATGAAGATTTTCTTCTGTGTTCTTCTAAACATTCTGTTCTTACAGTTTTTACAGTTAGATTTATGCTCCATTTTAAGTTATTTTTTGCATAAGGTATGCAGTTTAGGTTGAAGTTCACTTTTTTTCATGTGGATGTTCAGTTTTGCTAAGACCATTGTTTTTGTCATGTGGATGTTCAGTTTCGCTAAGACCATTGTGTAGGTTTTTTTTTTTTTTTTTTTGAGACAGAGTCTCGCTCTGTCACCCAAGCTGGAGTGCAGTGGTGCGATCTCCACTCACTGCAAGCTCCGCCTCCTGGGTTCACGCCATTCTCCTACCTCAGCCTCCCGAGTAGCTGGGACTACGGGCGCCCACCACAGTGCCCAGCTTATTTTTTTTGTATTTTTAGTAGAGACGGAATTTCACCGTGTTAGCCAGGATGGTCTCGATCTCCTGACCTCGTGATCCACCCGTCTCGGTCTCCCAAAATGCTGGGATTACAGGCGTGAGCCACTGCGCCCGGCTACCAAGACCATTGGTTAAAAGACTATCCTTTTACCATTGAAATGCCTGGGCCCTACAATTAATTATCCTATGTGGCTCTCTATCTGGACTCTATTCTGTTCTATTGATCTGTGCCTGTCCCTTTACTACACTGTCTTGGTTACTGTAACTTTGTAAGTAATGAAATCATGAAGAGTCAGCCCTCCAACTTTGTTTTTCTTTTTCAGAATTGTCTTCCCTCCTCTGAGGTGGCATTCTCATATACATTTTACAATCACCTTGTAATTTCTACAAAAAAATCCTGCTGGGATTTTTGTTACAATTGTGTTAAATTTGTAGATCGATTTAGGAAGAAGTGATATCTTTACTAGGAATCTTCTAATCCATAAACACTAATCTGTTTTTTTAGCCTTGTTTTCAGCCAGTCCCTCATATCTCTGGACTTGATTGAAGATTTTCTTGAATTAGCTAGTAGGGAGAAGACAGAAGATAAAGATAAACCCCTTATTTATAAAGGTGAGCTACAAATATTTCTGTGTCGTAATTTTAAAAATACTGATTTAAACATACCATACAAACATTTTAGCAACAAAAGAAACAAAACTACCCAGTCTCACAACTCTATCATATCAAAATTTTTTTGCAATGTCTATTTGTCCTTATCCATATATATGTATAGTCTTTTTCAAAATAAAATTGTATTGTTTATATTTGAGGTTTACAACATGGTGTTATGGGATACATATAGATAGTAAAATGGCTACTGTAGTGAAGCAGATGAACATATCTATCATCTCACATAGTTTTTTTTGGTGACAAGAGCAGCTAATATCAACTTAAGAAAAATTCCTAATACAGCAGTCTTTGTTGTTGAAATTGTTGGATAAATTAAAACTTTTTGGTTTCTAAAGCAGTTTTATTGAGAGATAATTCACATCCTGTACAATTCACCCATTTAAAGTGTAGAACTCAATGGTTTTAATATATTCACAGAGATGTACAAACATCACTAGAGTCAGTTTTTGAACATTTTAATCACTACCAAATAAAACTCTGTACCCTTTAACTATTACTCCCCTATCCAGCCCAAAACTCCCTCACATAAGCAACCACTAATCTCCTTTATGTTTCTAATAGATTCATATATTCTGGACCAGTCACATAAATGGAAACATGTAATATGTGGTCTTGATAGATATTAGGGTTGTTCTCACCTTTCAGCTGTTGTGAATAGTGCTGTTGTGTACATTTGTTACACAGGTTTTCATTTATTTAAACAAACGGCAATACCAAACTGTTTTCTACACTGCCTGTACTATTTCAGTCCTACCAGCAATGTACAAGCATTTCAGTTTCTCCACATTCTTGTCAACACTTGTTATTTTTCATTTTTGTTTTTGTTATAACCATCCTAATGGTTGTGAAGTGGTATCTTATGATTTTAATTTTCATTTCTCTAATGACTAATAATGTTGAACATCTTTTAATGTACTTGTTGACTATTTCTTTATCTTCTTTGGAAAAAATGTTTATTCAGGTCCTTTGCCCATTTTTGAATTGGATTGCTTATCTTTTTGTTGTTGAAATGTGTTTTAAAAAATATATTCTACATACTAGGCCCCTATCATATATATGATTTGCAAATATTTTCTCTCATTCTGTGGGTTATCTTTTGCTTTCATTAAAAAAAAAATAGTTCCGGTGATCTGTATCACTTTCTTTTATTTATTTATTTTTAATTTTTCGTAGAGATGAGGTCTCCCTCTATTTGCCCAGACTGGTCTTGAACTCCTGGGCTGAAGCAGTCCTCCCTCGTTGGCCTCCCAAAGTGCTGGGATTAAGGTGTGAGCCACCATACCTGGCCATCTGTTGCTTTCTTGAGTGTGTCCTCTGATGCGCAAAAATATTTTATTTTGTTGACATCCAATTTATTTTTTCTTTTGTTGCTTGTGCTTTTACTGTCATAGCTGAGAAACCATTTCGAAATAAAAAGTCGTGAAGCTTTAACCCCTGTGTTTGCTTAAAAGAGTTTTATAGTTTTAGTCCTTGCACTTAGGTCTTTGATCCATTTTGAGTTAATTTTTATGCATGATATGAGGTAAAGGCTCAACTTCAGTCTTTTGCTGTGGTTATCCATTTGTCCCAGGACTGTTTGTTGAAAAGAATATTCTTTCTTTATTGAATAGTTTTTGTCACTCTTATTAAAAAGGAATTGATGATGGAGACACATGTTTGTTTCCTGACCCTCAATTCTATTCCATTGATCTATATGTCAGTCGCTGTGCTAATACTGCACTATTTCATTACCATTGCTTTGAAAGTGATGTTGAAATTGGAAAGTGTGGCTATTCCAGATCTCTTGGAATTCAACATCAACCTTAGAATCTCCTATAAATTTCTACAAAGAAGTCAGCTTAGATGCTAATAGGGATTGTGTTGAATGTATAGTTAATTTTAGGAAGTACTGCCATCTTAATATTATGTCTTATCCATGAACATGGGGTGTTTTGCTGTTTATTTAGGTCTCTTATTTATTTCACCAATATTTTATAGTTTGCAGAGTATACATTTTACACTTTTGTTAAATGTATTTGTACATATTTTATTTCTGAGGCTGAGTGAAATTTGTTCTTAGTGAATTCTTTAGGATTTTTTATATACAAGATCATGTCATCTGCAAGTACAGATAATTTCCTTTCTAATCTGAATGGCTTTTATTTGTTTGCTTATCCAGTTGCCCTGGTTAAGACCTCAAGTACAATGTTGAGTGAAAGTGGCAAGAGCTGGCATCCTTGTCTTGTCTCTAATCATAGTGTGAAGGAATCCAGTTTTTCAACATTTTGTATGATGTTAGTTTTGTGGATACTATTTATCAAGTTGAGGAAATTATCTTCTCTTTCTAGTTTGTTAAATGTGTTTGTCATGAAAGAGTGTGACATACTATCTTGATTTCTCTGCAGCTATTGAGATGATCATGTCATGTTTTTTTTTTCCCCATTCTATTAACATAGTGTATTACTTTGATTTTCACATGTTAAACCAACCTTGCATACCTGGGATAAATCCCACTTGTCATGGTGTATAATTCTTTTTATATGGTGCTGGATTTAGTTTGCTAGTGTTTTTTGTTGTTGGCAATGGAATGTTTTAATTGGCTTTTTTTGTCCTGATTATGAAAGTATTATTATATCTTGCATATATAATATTGGCTGTATAATATTCTGTCATATGGCTGTACATAACTTATTTAATCATTTGATTGCTTTCTCTAATTTTTCAACTTTTTTTTTTTTTAGAGACAGGGTCTTGCTCTGTCACCCAAGCTGAAGTGCAGTCGAGCAATCTTGGCTCACTACAGCCTCTGCCTCCTGGGTTCAAGCGATTCTTGTGCCTCAGCCTCCTGAGTAGCTGGGATTACAGGTGTGTGCCACCATGCCTGGCTAATTTTTGTATTTTTTGTAGAGATGGGGTTTTGACATGTTGGCTGGGTCTTGAACTCCTGGCCTCAAGTGATCCACCCGCCTTGGCCTCTTAAAGCACTGGGATTACAGGCGTGAGCTACCACACCTGGCCTAATTTTTCAACATTTTAAATTTTTGTACATAAGTTTATATCTGCGTTTTAAACTTTTTTGCTTAAGATAGATTCCTAAGAGGAGAAATCATTTACCAACAGGTATGATCTTTTTTAGGACTTTTGAAACATTGTCAACTTATTTTCCAGAACAGTTGGATTAGTACTCCTAGTAGGAATCCTTGAATGATCACTACACCATTGCCATAATAACTAAAACCTTTCTTAATAGATGAATAATGATATCTTGTATTTGTTTTAATTTGCATTTATTTTATAACCAGTAACATAGATTGTCTCTGCTAATCTCTTTTTGCTTTTACTGCTGACTGATGGCTATGTTTCTGTCTGCCTGCAATGCTCTCTCCACCCGCACTATCTTCTTCACCTGATTAATTCCTATCCATTCTTCATCTTTCATGTCCAGTGACACTCCTCAGTACTGACTTCCCTCCTCCTGACTCCAATGTCTGATTTTTTCCTTTTAATTTTTGTGGGTGCATGGTAGGTGTTATGTATTCATGGGTTACATGAGATATTTTGATACATGCATGCAATAGATAATAATTACATCAGGGTAAATGGGATATCTATCACCTCAAACATTTATCCTTTGTGATACAAAAAATCCATTTATACTCTTAGTTATTTAAAAATATACAATTTTTAATTATTTTTGACGGTAGTCACCCTGTTGTGCTAGCAATTACTAGTTTTTATTCATTCCAACTATATATTTGTACCTGCTAACCATCAGTACTTCCACCCCAACCACCCACTACCCTTCCCAGCCTGTGGTAACCATCCTTCTACTCTGTATCTCCATGAGTTCAATTATTTTTATTTTTAGATCCCACAAATAAATGACAACATGCAAAGTTTGTCTTTCTCTGCCTAGCTTATTTCACTTAATGACCTCCAGTTCCATCCATGTTGTTGTAAATGACAGGATCTTTCTCTTTTATGGCTGAATACTATTCCATTGTATATAAGTATCACATTTTCATTATCCATTCATCTGTTGATGGACACTTAGGTTGTCTCCAAGTCTTGGCTATTGTGAACAGTGCTACAATAGACAGTGCAGATATGTCTTCGATATACCGATTTCCATTATTTTGGGTATATACCTAGGAGTGGGATTGCTGGATCCTTTTTTTTTTTTTTTTTTTTTTTTTTTTTTTTTTTTTTTTGGTGGGGGGAGACAAGGTCTTGCTCTGTCACCCAGGCTGGAGTGCAGTGGTGTGATCTTGGCTCACTGCAACTTCCACCTCCTGAGTTCAAGGGATTCTCCCACCTCCGCCTCCCCAGTAGCTGGGACTACAGGCATACACTACCACGCCCAGCTAATTTTTGTATTTTTTTGGTAGAGACAGGGTTTCACCATGTTGGCCAGGCTGGTCTCAAACTCTTGACCTCAGGTTATCTGCCTGCCTTGGCCTCCCAAAGTGCTGGGATTATATAAGTGAGCCACTGCGTCTGGCTGGGATTGCCGGATTCTATGGTAGCTCTATTTTTAATTTTTTGAGGAACCTCTGAACTGTTCTCCATAGTGGTTTTACTAATTTGTGTTCCCACCAGCAGTGTACAAGAGTTCCCTTTTCTCCAAATCCTCTCTAGTATTTGTTACTCCCTGACTTTGGATAAAAGCCAAGTTAACTGGGGTGGGAAGATATCTCATAGTTTGATTTGCATTTTTCTGATAATGAATGATGTTGAGCACCTTTTCCTATACCTGTTTGCCATTGGTATGTCTTCTTTTGAGAAATGATTATTATTTTGTCCATTTTAAAATCAGATTATTAAATTTTTTTTCCTGTAGAGTTGTTTGAGTTCTTTATATATTCCGGTTATTAATCGCTTGTCAGATGGGTAGTTTTCATATATTTTCTCCCATCCTGTGGGTTGTCTCTTCACTTTGTTGACTGTGTCCTTTGTTGCGCAGAAGCTTTTTAACTTGATGAAATCACATTTGTCTGTTTTTGCTTTTGTTGCCTCTGCTTGTTGGGTATTACTCAAAAAATCTTTGCCTAGTCCAATGTCCTGGAGAGTTTCCCCAATGTTTTCTTGTAGTAGATTTGCAGTTTGAGGTCTAAGATTTAAATCTTTAATCCATTTTGACTTGATTTTTATATATGGCGAGAGATAGGGGTCTAGTTTTTTTCTCCTGAATATGTATATCCAGTTTTCCCCAGCACCATTTGCTGAAGAGACTGTCTTTTCCCCAGGGTATATTCATGGCAACTTTGTCAAAAATGAGTTCACTGCAGATTTATACATTTATCTCAGGGTTCTCTATTGTGTTGATCTATGTGTTTTTATGCCAGTACCATAGTGTTTTGGTTACTATAGTTCTGTAGTATAAAGTCAGGTAATGTGATTCTTACACTTTTGTTCTTTTGGCTTAGTATAGCTTTGGCTATTTTGGGTCTTTTGTGGTTCCATATAAATTTTTAGGGTTGTTTTTTGTATTTCTGTGAAGAATGTCACTGGTATTCTATACAGATTGTAATGAATCTGTAGATTGCTTTGGGTAGTATGGACATTTTAATAATATCGATTATTCCAATCCCTGAACCTGGAATATCATTCTATGATTTTGTGTCTTCAGTTTCTTTCAGCATCTTTTTATAGTTTTCATTGTAGAGATCTTTCACTTCTTTGGTTAATTCCTAAGTATTTTATTTATAGCTATTGTACATGGGATTACTTTCTTGATGTCTTAAAAAATTTTCTTTTAATTTGTAAGTTTCTTTATTTCTCTTTCAGGTTGTTTGCTGTTGGTATATAGAAATGCTACTGATTTGTGTATGTTGGGTTTATATCCTGCCACTTCACAGAATTTCTTTATCATTTCTAATAGTTTTCTGGTGGAGTTTTCAGATTTTTCCAAGTTAAGATCAGATCATCTGCAAACAAGGATAATTTGATTTTTTTCTTTCCAATTTTGATGCCCCTTATTTCTTGTTCTTGTCTAATTACTCTAGCTAGGACTTCCACTACTATGTTGAATAAGTGATAGAAGTGGGCATCCTTGTCATGTTCTTGATCTTAGAGGAAAGCCTTTTAGTTTTTCTTTCTTTAGTATGATACTAGCTATGGGTCTGTCATAGATGGCTTTTATTATTTTTGAGGTATGTTCCTTATGTACTTAGTTTTTTTAGTGTTTTTTCATAAAGGGATGTTGAATTTTGTCAAATGCTTTCTTACCATGAATTGAAATGATCATATGGTTTTGTTTTTTGTTTTTTTTTTGAGACGGTCTCACTCTGTTGCCCAGACTGGAATGCAATGGCGTGATCTTGGCTCACCGCAGTCTCTGCCTTGCAGGTTCAAGTGATTCTCCTGCTTCAGCCTCCTGAGTAGCTGGGATTACAGGCGTGTGCCACCGCGCCTAACTAATTTTTGCATTTTTAGTAGAGACGAGGTTTCACCATGTTGGCCAGACAGGTCTTGAACTCCTGACCTCGAGCGGTCCACCTGCCTCGGCCTTCCAGAGAGCTGGGATTACAGACGTGAGCCACCACACCCCGGCGATCATATGGGTTTTGTCTTTCATGCTGTTGATATGATGTATCACATCAATTTGTATATGTTGAACTATTCTTGCATCCCTGGAGATAAGCCCCAGTTGGTCATGATGGATGATCATTTTATTATTGAATTCCGTTTGCTACTGTTTTGTTGAGGATTTTTACATTAGTATTCACCAGTGATATTGGCTTATAGTTTAATTTTTTTATGTGTGTTTATCTGGTTTTGTTATCAGGGTAATACTGGCCTTGTAAAATGAGTTTGGAAGTATTCTGTTCTCTACTTTTCAGAATATTTTGAGTAGGATTTGTCTTATTTCTTATTTAAATGTTTGATAGAATTCAGCAGTGAAGCTATTGGGTCCTGGGATTTTCCTTGCTGGGTGACTTTTTATTATGGCTTCAATCTCATTACTTTTTATTGGTCTGTTCAGATTTTGGACTTCTTCACGGTTCAATCTTGGTAGGTTGTGTGTGTCTAGAAATTTATCCATTTCTTCTAAAGTTTTCCAATTTATCGGCATATAGTTGCTGATAATAGCAACTAATGATTCTTTGAATTTCTGCTGTAACAGTTGTAATATCTTTATTTTCATCTCTGATTTTATTTTTTTGGGTCTTCTCTCTTTTTTGCTTAGTCTGTCTCAAAGTTTGTCAGTTTTGTTTATTTTCTTCAAAAAACCTGTTTTTTGTTTCATTGATCTTTTGTATTGTTTTCTTTATTTCAAGTTTATTTATTTCTGCTCTGATCTTTATTTCTCTTCTACTAATTCTGGGCTTGGTTTGTTCTTGCTTTTCTAATTCTTCTCTTCTCTTCTTTTTTGTTTTTTTTTTCTTTTTTTTTGAGACAAGGTCTCGTTTTGTTGCCTAGGCTGGAATACAGTGGCGCAATCTCGGCTCACTGCAACCTCTGCCTCTCAGGTTCAAATGATTCTTCCGCCTCAGCCTCCTGAGTAGCTGAGATTACAGGCGCCCGCCACCATGCCCAGCTAATTTTTGTATTTTTAGTAGAGACAGGGTTTCACTGTGTTGGCCAGGCTGGTCTCAAACTCCTGACCTCAGGTGATCCACCCGCCTCAGCCTCCCAAAGTGCTGTCATTACAGGCATGAGCCACCGCGACCAGCCTCTGATTCTTTAAGATGCCTTGTTACATTATTTGCAGTTTTTCTACTTTTTTGATATAGGCATTTATAGCTATAAGCTTTCCTCTTAGTACTGCTTTCCCTGTGTCTTATGTTTTTTGGTATGTTGTGTTTCCATTATCATTTTTTAAAGAAAATTTTTGATTTCCTTCTTAATTCCTTCATTGGCCCACCGGTCATTCAGGAATGTGTTGTTTAAATTCTATGTATTTGTATAGTTTCCAAAATACCTTGTTATTAATTTCTCCTTTTATTCCACTGTGGTGAGAGAAGATACTTGATATTATTTCAGGTTGTTTTTGATGTTTTAAGACTTGTTTTGTGACCTAACATATGGATGATCCACATGCTGAGGAAAAAAATGTGTATTCTGTAGCTGTTGGATGAAATATTCTGTAAATATGTATTAGGTCCATTTGGTCTATAGTGTAGATAAAGTGTGATGTTTCTTAGTTGATTTTCTGTGTGTAGTGTTGAAGTCTCCAGCTATTATTTTATTGGGGTCTATCTCTCTCTTTGGCTGTAACAATATTTGCTTTGTATATGTGGGTGCTCCCAGGGTTGAGTGCATATATATTTTAAATTGTTATATCCTCTTGTAGAATTGAACTGTATCATTATATAGTGTCCTTCTTTGTCTCTTCTTACAGTTTTTATCTTGAAATCTATTTTGTCCTATATAAGTATAGCTGTTCCTGCTCTTTTTGGTTTCCATTGGCATGGAATATCCTTTTTTATCCCTTTATTTTCAGCCTATGTGTATTTTTACAGGTGAAGTGTGTTCTTGTAGGCAACAGATCATTGGGTATTTTTTAAAATCCATTGAGCCCCTCTGTCTTTTGATTGGAGAGTTTAGTCCATTTACATTGAATGTTATTATTGATTAGTAGGGACCTACTCCTGCCATTTTGTTATTTGTTTTCTAGTTGTTTTTTGGGCTCGTCTTCTTTCCTTCCTTCTTATCTTCCTTTTAATGAAGGTGATTTTCTCTAGTGGTATGGTTTAGTTTCTTCCTTTTTGTTTGTTTGTTTATCCATTATATGTTTTTTGGTTTGTGGCTCCCATGAGGCTTGGAAATTCTATCTTAAAACCCATTATTGTAAGCTGATAACAACTTTACACTGTTTTTATAAACAAAGAAAGAAACAGGCAAAAAGAAAACTAATAAAAATTCTACACCTTAACTTTGTCCACTTTTTAGCTTTTTGTTGTTTCTGTTTATATCTTATTGTACTATGTCTTGATATGTTGTTGTAGTTATTTTTGTTGCTTCAACATTTAGTCTTTCTACTTATAATAAGAGTAATTTATACACCACAGTTACGCTGTTATAATATTCTGTATTTTTCTATGTACTTACTGTTTTTAGTGAGTTTTGTACCTTTAGAGGATTTCTTACTGCTCATTCATGTCCTTTTCTTTCTGATTAATTACTTCCTTTAGCCTTTCTTGTAGGACAGGTTTGGTGTGGATAAAATCCCTCAGCTTTTGTTTGTCTGGAAAGTTTTTATTTTTCTTTTATGTTTAGAGGTTATTTTTTCCATTTATATAATTCTAGGGTGAAAGTTTTTTCCTTGAGCACTTTAAATATTTCATGCTACTCTTCTCCTGGCCTGAAAGATTTCCACTGAAAAGTCTGCTGCCAGACATATTGGAGATCCATTGTATGTTACTTGTTTCTTTTCTCTTGCTGCTTTTAGGATCCTTTCTTTATCCTTGACATTTGGGAGTTATTAAGTGCCTTGAAGTAGTCTTTTTTGGGTTAGATCTGCTTGATATTCTATAACCTTCTACTTGAATATTAGTATCTTTCTTTAGATTTGGGTTTCTCTGTTATTATCCCTTTGAATAAACTTTCTACGCCAGTCTTTCTCTCTACCTCCTGTTTAAGACCGATATCTCTTAGATTTGCTTTTTTTGTAGCTATTTTCTATGCCTTGTAGGCCTGCTTTATTCTTTTTTATTCTTTTCTCTTTTGTCTCCTGTGACTGTGTATTTTCAAGTAGCTTATCTTCAGGCTCACTAATTCTTTCTTTTGCTTTATCAATTTTGCTATTAAGAGACTCTTATGCATTCTTTAGTATGTCAGTTGCATTTTTTGACTCCAGAATGTCTGCTTTGTTCATTTTAATTATTCCAGCCTCTTCATTAAATTTATCTGATTGGAGTCTGAATTCCTCCTGTGTTATCTTGAATTTCATTGTTTCCTCAAATCAGCTATTTTGTGTTCTCTCTCTGAAAGGTCACATATCTCTGTCTTTCCCGGATTTTCCCGATTCCCTGTTTAGTTCATTTGATGAGGTCATATTTCTCTAAATGGTCTTGATGCTTATGGATTTTCGTTGGTGTCTTGGCATTGAAGAGTTAGGTATTTATTGTAGTCTTTGCAGTCTGGGCTTGTTTGTACCTGTCATTTTTGGGAAGGCTTTCCAGGTATTTGAAGGGACTTGGGTGTTGTGATCTAACTTTTTAGTCACTGAAGCTGTGTCCACATTAGGGGTCACCCTAAGGCCAGTAACGCTGTAGTTCTTGCAGCCTTGTAGAGGTACCATTTTGGTGGTCTTGTATAAGATCCAAAAGAATTGTCTGCATTACCAGATGGAGAATCTTGTTCTCTTCCTTTACTTTCTCCCAAACAAATGGAGTCTCTCTGTGCTGAGTTGCCTGGAGCTGGGGGTGGGGGGTGGGTGACACAAGCACCCCTGTGACTACCACTGCGGGTATAGCACTTGGTCAGATCTTAAGCCAGCAGAGCAATGGGTCTTGCCCAAGGCCCACTGTAACCACTACCTGGTTACTGCCTATGTTTGCTCAAGGCCCAAGGGCTGTACATTCAGCAAGTGGTGAAGCCTGCCAGTACTGGGTCTTTCCCTTCATGTTGGCAAATTCTCTTAGTCCCTGGGCGGGTATAGAGATGCTTTCTGGAGCCAGGGCCTGGAGCCAGAAATGTTAGAAATATACCTAGTGCTTTATTCTACTATGGCTAAACTGGCACAGAAATAACAAAACAAAGTCCTTCCTACTCTTCTCTTTCTTTTCCTCAGGCAGAGGAGCCTCTCTTCGTGGCCACCACCAGGACAGGCCCGCAGAGAGTACTGCCAGTGTACCGCCAGTGTTCACTTAAGGCCTAAGGGCTATTTAGTCAGCTTTTGGTGAATGCTGCCAGGCCAGAGACTCACCCTTCAGGGCAGTGGGCTCCACTCTGCCCCAGGCTCAGTCCACAAATTCCATTCAAGAGCTAAGGCCTGGAATTGGGGACCCAAGAGCCCGTTTGTTGCTTTTGTCCGCTGTGGCCAACCTGGTAGCTACACTGCTAGATAAAGTCCCCTTTACTCTTCCCTCTCCTTTTCTCAAACAGGAAGAGCCTCTCTTTGTAGCCACCACAACTTCTAATAAGCTGGGTCTCACCATAACCTAACACATTTCTGTCTAATCCATGCCCCACAATGTGTACTACCTGGTTATTGCTGCTGATGATTCAGGGCCCAAGGGCTCTTTGGTCAGCAGGTGATGAATCCTGCCATGACTGGGTCCCTCGATTCAAGGCAATGGGTTGCCTTCTGGCCCAGGGAGCTAGGGCCTGGAATGGGGGCTTCACGATTCTGCCCAGGGCCCTGTCCTACTGTGACTGAGCTGGTATCCAAGTTGCAAAACAAAGTGCTTTTTCTCTTCCCTTTTCTCTCCTCAAGTAGAAAGCAGAGGTCTCTTTTGGAGCTCTAAGCTGCGCTACCTGGAATTGGAGGAGTGAGGAGTGGTGGCATAAGCACTCTCTTAGCCGCCCCAGTGGTATCTGACTAAGTCAAGTGCCCCCATTTTACTGGCTCCAAGCCCTTTACAGCACTAGGACTTGCCCAGAAGTTGCAGTCCTTGTGGCCTAGATAGCCTTTCAGTTTTATTTAGGGCCCCAGTGCACTTTAGCCCACTGTGGCGTGACTTACTAAAACTCAACTTCTGATCACTGTGATGGATGATTCCCCTCTGGTTTGGGCAGGTTTATATGCTCCCTTCATGTGTGTAGGCTGAGTTCCAATTCAAAGTCCTATGATCACTGCACTCTCCTTCCCGCAAGTGCACTGATTCTCTCCCTATGACACGTGGCCACTTCTGGGGGTTGAGGTAGCAGTGGCATTGGCGATTCAAGATTGTCTTTCCCCTTCTGTGCCTCTTTCAGTGATATGAAGTTAAGATCAGGTACTATAATTGCTCACCTGATTTTTGTTTCTTATGATGGTGCTTTTTTGTGTAGATAGTCATAACATTTGCTGTTTATGCTGGGAGGTTGATCAGTAGCAGCTTCTATTCAGCCATCTTATTCCACCTCCTTCCCCAGTACTGCCCTGATTGAATGAGTTGGTATTTGTTCCTGTTTCTGTTTTTTGGAATTGTTTGTAAAGCATTGAGCTTAATTATTTAAATGTTTGTTAGAATTCAGCATTGAAGCCATCTTGGCCTGGGCTCTTCTTATAGGTAGTTTTTTTTCTTTTTAGTATTATGGTAAATATATATATAACATAAAATTTACTATTTTGACAGTAAAAAGGCAACCTACCATATGGGAAAAATATTTGCAAATCATACATCTGATAAGGGGTTAATATCAAAAATACATAAAGGATTCCTACAACACAACAACAAAAATAATATGATTTAAATATGGGCAAAAGAGTTGATAGACATTTCTCTAAAAATGATATACAAATGGCCAAGAAGCACATGAAAAGATGTCTAGCATCACTAATCCTTAGGGAAATGCAAATGAAAACTGTAATGAGATACCACCACACACCCATTAGGATGGGCTACTATGAAAAAACAATAATGAGAGTTGGTGAGGATATGGAGACATTGGAACTCTTGTGTACTGTTGGTTAGAATGTAAAATGGTATAGCTGCTGTGGAAAACAGTGTGGTGTTCCTCAAAAAATTAAAAATAGTATTACCATGAGATCCAGAAGTACTACTTCTGGGTATATACCCACAAGAATTGAGTTCAGGGTGTCAGAGAAGTATTTGTATTTGTACGCCCACATTATAGCAGCATTATTCATGACCAAATCATGGAAGCAAGTCAAATGTCCATCAACAGATAACTGGATAAACAAAATGTGGTATATACATACAGTGGAACATAATTTAGCCTTAATAAGGAAGGAAACTTTGACACATGGTGGAACATGTATGAATCTTGAAGACAATATGCCAAGTGATCTAAGCCAGTCTAAAAAGGACAAATATTACATGATTCCTATTATGAGGTTCCTAGAGTAGTGAAATTTGTAGAGACATAAAATAGAATGGTGTTTGCCAGGGCCTGTGGGTAAGGGGAAATGGGGAGTGTGAGAGAACAGATAACTCCACGGGGCTTCCCAGAGTGCTCCATGTTGTATGGGGATTATGTCTGTCTCATAAATATATGTATCATTGGAGACAGGTTCATTACTACCCATTTTTGTATACTCTTTGTCTAGCACCAAGCTAGACATGTAGTAGGTCCATAGTAAATACTTGTTGAACTGGTAAGGGAATAAATTACCCTTATCTGTAACTTCCCTAGTTTTTTTATACAGAGAATGATGCTCTAGTTAGGCATTTTCCTAGGTATATACTTGCACTTTTTATCTTTCTCATTTCCCCGCTTTCTTTGTTTCTAGAGTGAGTTTTTGGCATATCTTTAACATATATATGTGTAGTATATATGTGTATTTTTACATTTGACTGTAGTTAAATATAAGCTTAAATATATTTTTTTTCTATTATCACTATACATTTTATTAGATTCTATGTTCTGGCAGTTTTTCATTATTGAAAAGCCTATGTTACAAAAACATACCAATTTACTACCATCAATAAATGGAAAATGCTTATCTTAATATGTATTGTAACTACATTTTCTTCATCTTTAATGGGTAAAAACAGTTGTCATTGTTTTCATTAATAATTTTTTGACCACTAGTAGGGTTGTACTTCTTTTATATGCTTGCTAGTTTATTTCTGATTTTGTAAATTATCTTTAGCAAATGTTTACTAATCAGATTGGTCTGCCTTTGAGTTACTGCTATTACCACTACCACTACCATTACCATTACCACTGTGTATTGAGCACTGAGCAAGATTTAAGGGGTACTACAGGAAATCATGGTGTAGAAGAGGAACAGACACATATATTATGTGCCATAATAGAGGCAGGTGTAATTTGTCATGGGATCTTGAGTGATAATATTAAGAACTCAGTAAGCTTTTAATTACCATGTGACAGGCACCATTCTAAGTAGTTTTTAAAATATTATCTCATTGAATCCTCATAACAACCCTATGCAATAGGTACTCTGATTATCTTCATTTTACAGATAAAGAAACTGAGGCACAAGGAGTTTAATTACTTGCCATAAGTGAAAATGTTAGTAAATGGTGAAACTGAGATTAAACTCAGGGAGTGTCACTCCAAAGTCTGTGTTCTTAACTACTAACCTATAATGACTCTATCAGTTTTTAAGTGTTGGATTCATCGAGGTGGTATTAGAGATATTCATTTGCATTATAATAAAAGGTGAGTATGTTGAAATGCTTTTTAAAATAGTCATATCATTTTCCATTCATTTATGATTATTTATTTTAATAATTATCCTGTTCAAGTGAACAATTAATGCAAATGTGACTCCAGCCTCTTACCTTTTTATGCAAGTATCCATCTCAAATTCTTTTTTTCTTGGATGTGTATGCCTTTTTTTCTAATTGAAAAAAAAATCATAAATAAAATGACTTTCATAAGCATTAATGAATTTTTAACAAGGAAATTCTGGGTTTTCTATATCAGTGAAGATATAGGTAAGAAACATGGAAAAGCATCTTTTTTTTAACTAATGTACTAAATTTAAAGAGCTTGCTGGAAAGACATAAGTAAATCTCAGTTTTGTTAACTGTTTTATTTTAAGGCTCTGGGGCATGATAGAATTTTGCTTGGATTGGAAATAGTAGCATTGTGTTTACAGTTAAATAATTAGAATAGAAATTATGTATGATAAAATATAAAAGTGTCATAAGCCCTTAATCTCTTGGTATTTTAGTATCAATGCAAGTCTTGGGTAAAATTTCACCTCACTTCTTCCTGGTGTAGATTAAAGGAAAAAAAAAACTTAAACTCACTGTCTAAAATTGACATGTCATATCATTAACTCATAAAGTCGTACTCCTTTACACACACACACACACATACACACACACCACATTTGAAATGGAAACGTACACTGAAATTTGCAGCTACCCCATAGAATAATTTTTGGCACATAGTAGGCATTCAGTAAAGATTTGTTCAGTGAATGAATAAAGGCATTCTTTATCTCTCATTTTTATTTGATCATTATCAAGTTGTTGATAAGGAGAAAAACGTGGCCATTTACAGATATAACTTAAAACATGCCTCATGAGCGAAATGTAAGTTTAATCATATTCTTTTGACAGTTTTAAGGATTCTAATCAAGGAAACCCTTTTAAGAAATTCTCATGTAGATGAAATAGGCTTTAAAAATACCTGTGCTCATCACTATCTATTTGAATGAAATCTGTGGTTAATTTATTTATAATGTAATGACTCCTTGATTAAGAAAAGTATATAATGTATTTTGCTATACAAATAGAATATATATAACCCACTTTTAAATGATGAGCAAGGTGGAAAATCTGTTCTTACCAGTAAGCAGAGCGATATATCAAATTCCTTTTGTGTTCTTTTGTTAAATTTTCAGGTGAGGGGAAGTGGCTTCGAAACATTGACTATTACCGTTTAGATGGTTCCACTACTGCACAGTCAAGGAAGAAGTGGGCTGAAGAATTTAATGATGAAACTAATGTGAGGTAGGAAAAATTTTCTGTATATGTAGAAACATTAAAATAATTAATTTTAAAATTTACATAAAGTTCACTATTTTTATTGTGTATTTGAATGTTTTTAGCAAATGCAAGGTACAGTCAGGTTGCAAAACAGTGTCATCACTCCCTAACCACTGAATTCACTTATGGAATCATATAATTTGTAGCCTTTTGAGTCTCACTTCTTTCACTTAGTGAGATTTATTTGAGAATCATTTACATTGTTGCATATACCAATAATTTTTAAAAATTGTTGTATAGTCTTCCATTATAGGGCTATATCACAGTTTGTTCAGCTACTTCCACTTGAGGGACATTTGAGTTGTTTCCAGGTTTTGGAATTAAAATCAAAGCTGCTCTAAGCTTTCATGTTCAAGTTTTTGTGTGAACATAAGTATTTACTTAAATGAAACAAAAGCCTAGGATTGTGATTGCTGGGTCATATAGTAAGTGTACATTTATCTTTGTAAGAAACTATCAAGCAGTTTTCCAAAGTGACTGTACAATTTTTCATTCCCACCCGCAGTTGTATGAGAGTTCCAGTTTCCTTACATTCTTGTCTGTACATGGTATTGTCATTTTTTAAAAAAATTATTTTACTCATTCTAATGTATGTGTAGTGGCATCTCTTGTGATTTTAATTTGCTATTCCCTAATGATAAATTATGTTGAGCATCTTTTCATGTGCTTATTGACCATTTTAATATCATTAACTGTAGATACAAGGCAATTTGTGTGTGTATTGATATTGTTTTAAGCTGTTAGTAATTGACAAAATCAAGCTACATTTGGAAAGAAAAAGTTTTATATATAGTCATATGTTGCTTAACAACCAGTATACATTCTGAGAAATGCATCATTAGGCAATTTTGTCACTATGCAAATATCATAGAGTGTACTGTACATCAGTAGGCTTTCTGTGATATAGCTTATTGCTCCTAGGCTGCAAAACTGTACAGCATGTTACTGTACTGAATACTGTAGGCAATTGGAACACAATGGTATTTGTGTATGTAACATATCTAAACAGAAAAGATACAGTAAAAATATGTATTATACTCTTATGAGATTGCCTTTGTACATGCTGTCTGTTATTGACCAACACATTATGTGGCACATGACTATACATACATCTAAACATATGCACATACGCATACGTATACACATACACAAACATAAGAAAGCATGGCATTTAAGAAAAGGATAAAGGAGATGGGGTTAGTTTAGTAGAAAGATGGCTGAAGTATGCCTTAATAAATATTTTAAACTATGGAGAATATTATACTGTGTGTTTAAAACATGTTTTAATTTTAGCAGCATCATGAACTAGACCTAGGCTTAAGGCTAGAGAAATTTCAGTTACATTTTAGGAAGATTATTAATTATTGAAAACCCGTAGCCTAAGAGAGCTTACAAAGGGATGATTTGAGTATAGTTAAATTATAAATGTATATGATTGATTATATAATTGTTTAAAGAATAAATACATTTTTATATTCTGTGTTTTTCATGTTTAAACAAATTATTATTTGTACATGAGTGTGAAGAAGTAATTTTATTGAGTAACTCAAATTTCTCAAACATAATCTAAACCTTTGGCTTGCTAGGTTTCCCAAATTTTAAAATACGACAGAGGCATATAATCTGTCACGTGACATTTATACTTGATGACTAGTAGGGAAAAACATTGAAATGTAGATGTTGAGCTGTCAGCTTGGCTTACTCACTAGTGAATTACCCCTAAACATATGCCAAAAAGCATGTCATTCAAATTCATGCTTCAGGCATATACTGGTTGAGTATTTCTTATCCAAAATGCTTGGGGGTGCTAGGGACCCGAAGAATTTCAGATATGGGATTTTTTTCAGATTTTTGAATATTTGTATTATATTCTTACCTGTTGAGCATACCAAATCTGAAAATCTAAATCCAAAATGCCCCAATGAGCATTTTCTTCGAGTGTTACGTTGGCACTCAAAAAGTTTTGGAGTTTGGTGAATTTAGGATTTCAGACTTACAGATTTGGGCTGTTCAACCTGTACATGTATATTATGGATTTGGGGAGTTGCTCTTGAGTAGCTGAACCCATACACATGAAATCCACAGATGTTATGCTGTCTCTCAAAATGCACAAACAAACAGAAAATGAAACAAAAAACAAAATGAAAAGAGCAAGGAAAAAATCCACAAATGTTTTAGATTATATCTCTGTAAATTCTAATTTTTCATGACTCAGTAATTTTCAGTAAATAGGATATAAATATAATCCTTGTTTATGCCAAAGCAATCTGAAAGACACATTAAAATAAACTTTAAGATAATGACCATTTGTAACGTTGTTGTTTTGTGTGACCTGGAAGTAGTTTTCAGCAGTCTCAGAGTGCCTCGTTAGCTTGATACTATTTTTGGTTTGTTTCTCTTTTAATTTAGAAATGATTATAGATTCACCTGAACTTGCAAGTACAGAGAGGTCCTGTGAACCCTTTACCTAATTTTCCCCAATGGTTAAATCTTATATTTCAATATCAAAACTAAGAAGTTGACAGTGTTTCAATGTTTGCATATATCTTTTTTTCCACATATACACAATCAAGATACAGAAATATTCCATCACCACAAAGCTCGCTCTCTCTCACTACCCTTTTATAGTCACACCCATTTTTACTGCCAACCTTGTCACTAACCTTAACCCCTGACAATGACTAATTTATGCTCCATCTCTATTATTTTATCATATTAAGACTGTCATATAAATGGTATCATTCTCTATATGTGACCTCTTGAGATTGGCTTTTTTCAGTCAGCATAATGCCCTTGAGTTCCATCCAAGTTGTCACATGTATCAATAGTTTGTTCCTTTTTATTACAGAGTAGTATTCTATGGGATGGATGTACCACAGATGTTTAATCATTCACTTATTGCAGGACATTTTCATTTTGTCCAGGTTTGGCTATTATAACTAAAGCTGCTGTGAACACTGTGTTCCAGCTTTTTGTGTGGACCTAAGTTTTCATTTCTCTAGGATAAATGCCCAGGTATGCTGTGGCTAGGTCATATGGTAAGTACTTTTTTAGGAAACTGCCAAACTCTTAATTAGAATGGCTGTACCATTTTATAGTCCTACCAAGCAGTGTGTGAGAAATCAAGTTTCTCTACATCCTCACCAGCATTTGCTATTATCACTGTTTTTTATTTTAGGAGTTCTGATAGGTATGTAGTGGTATCTTATTGTGGTCTTAATTTGCAGTTCCCTGACAACCAGTTATATTGAACATCTTATGTGTTTATTTGCCATCAAATATTGTATATCCTCTTGGGTGAAAATCTCTTTATGTCTTTTTGTCCATTTTCTTATTGGATTGCTTGTTTTTTTATTGTAGGGTTTTGAGAGTTCTTTATATAATCTAGATATGTGTCCTTTGTCAGATATATGGTTTGCAAATACTTCCTGCCAGTTTATGGCTTGTCTTTTCATCCCCTTCACAGGGTCTTTCAGAGAACAAAGATTTTAATTTTGATGAAATCTAGTTTGTCAATGTTTGTTTCTTTGTTTTGATCATGGTTCTGATGTCAAGTCTAAGAACTCTTCCTCAAAGCCCTAGGTCTTGAAGACTTTGTCCTGTGTTGTATTTTACAAGTTTTATAATTTTACCTTTTATGTTTAAGTCCATGTTGTATTGAGTTAATTTTTGTATAAGGTGTGAAGTTTAAAGGTTCATATTTTTGGCTGTGGATGTTCAATTGCTGCAGCATCATTTGTTGAAAAAAACTATCTGTGGCAGTGCACAGTGGCTCATACTTGTAATCCTAGTGGTTTGGGAGGCTGAGCCCAGGAATTCAAGACCAGCCTGAGCATCACAGCGAGACCCTGTCTCTAAAAAAAAAAAAATACCCAGGCATGGTGATGCACACCAGTACTCCCAGCTACTCTGGAGGCTGATGTGGGAGGATCACTTGAGATCAGGAGGTCGAGGCTGCAGTGAGCCATGATTGTACCACTTCACTCCAGCCTGGGTAACAGAGGAAGACACTGTCTCAAAAAAAAAAAAGAACGAAGAAAAAACCATACTTCCTTTACTGAATTGGTTTTGCACCTTTGTGAAAAATCAGTTGGCTATACTTGTTTTGGGCTGTTTTTCAGTTTGCTATTCTATTCCTTTATTCCATATGTCTTTCTCTGCATCATTACTACATAGTCTTGATTACTGTAGCTGTGTACTAAGCCTTAATATCACATTGAATGATTCTTCCCACTTTGTTCTACCTTTCACAGATTGTTTTAGCTATTTTTATATGAATTTTAGAATAATCTTGTCTAGACCTACAAAAGTTTTGCAATAATTTTAATAGGTATTGTATTAAACCTATTACTAATTTGTAGAGAATTGATATCATTTTTCAACTGTAATACTTTTAGCAGCAGAGAATTGATAACTTTATTGTTTTCTGATCAGTGAACACAGTGTATGTCTCCATTAGTTGATCTTTGATTTCTTCCATCAGTGTTTTGTAGTTTTCAGTATACAGGTCCTGTAGATCTTTTGTTAGATTTACACCCAGGTATTTCTCTTTTTGAGTTATTGTAAATGTTACTGTATTTTTAATTTTTGTTTCCATGTGTTCATTGCTCAAATATAGAAATGCAATTGATTTTTGTGTTGATCTTTTGTCTGTAATCTTGCTGACTTCATTTGTTCTAGGAGTTTGTTTTATAGATTTCTGGGGATTTTCTAAGTAGATCATTGTACTATCCACAAGGAGGGATAGTTTTATTTCTTCTTTTATGATCTGTATGCTGTTTGTTTCCTTTTCTTGTCTTGCTGCAAGAAAAGTCTCCAACTATAATTGTGAATTTGTCTGTTTCTCCTTTAAGTTATGTCAGGTTTTGCTTCCGATATTTTCAGCTCTGTTTATTATGCATGTTTAGTATTGCTATGTCCCTCCCTATACCTCATACTAGTTAAAACTTAAGAGTAATATAGTTAGTAGCAATGGTGAGAGTGGACATCCTTACCTTCTTCCTGATCTTAGGAGAAAAGCATTCTGTCTTCATTAACTATGATGTTAGCTGTAAGGTTGTTTTTTTGGGTGGGGGGGTTGTTTTTGTTTGTTTTTGTTTTGAGACAAGGTTTCTGTCTATCACCATGACTGGAGTTCTGTGGTGTGATCATACCTCACTGCAGCCTCGAACTCCTAGGCTCAAGGGATCCTCCTGCCTCAGCCTCTTTGAGTAGGAATGCACAGCCATGTTGTACTTTTTTTGTAATTACTCTTCATCAAGTTGAGGTGGTTCCCCTCTATTCTTAATTTTCTGAGTTTTTATGACGAATAGGTGTTTACATTTGACAAATGCTTTTTCTGCCTCAGTTTGTATCATCTGTTATTTCTTCTTAATCTGTTAATATGGTGTGCTATGTAGATTGGTTTTTGAATACTGAACCAACTTTTCATGCCTGGAATAAAACTCCACTTGATCGTAAGGATAATTCTTTTTATATAGTACTTGGTTCTGTTTGCTAATACTTTGTTGAGAGATATTTATGAGAGTTACTCTTATATATTCAGTTGTTTTCGTGTTGTCATTGTCTGGTTTTGGTATCAGGTTAATATCGACCTCATAAAATAAGTCAATAATTGTTTTCTATTTTCTGACAAAAATTATGGGGATTTGTGTTAATCTTAAATGTTTGGTAAAATTTGCCAGTGAAACCAGTTCTGGCCTTGAAGATTTCTTTTTTTGGGAGTTTAAAAATCACTAATTAAATTTCCTCAGTAGTTTTAGGATTATTCAAATGATCTATTTTATATTGAATGTGTTGTTGTAGTTTGTGCTTTTGTAAGAATTGGTTCATTTCATCGTAATTTCAAATATATGTGTAGAATTGTTCATAGCATTTTCTTAATATCCTTTTCATGTCTTTAGGGTCTATAGTGATAGCTTCTGTTTCACTTCTGATACTGGTAATTTGTGTGTTTTCTTTTTACTAGTCTTGCTAGAGGTTTGTCAGTTTCATTAATTGTTACAAATAACTAGTGTTTTATTCCCTTGATTTTCTTTTTCTTTTTTTTTTTTTCCTATTTTAATTTCATCTTGCTTTTGGTTTGTTTTGCTCTTGTTCTACTTTCTGGAGGTAGAAGCTTAGATTACTAATTTGATTTGAGACTTTTTTTCTTTTCTCATGTAAGCATTTAGTGTTATAAATTTCGCTTTCAGCACTGCTTTAGTTATACAAACTTTGATGTGTTATATTTTCATTTAGTTCAGTATATTTTTATTTCAGAATTCATCTTTGGCTCAGCTAGAAGCATGTTGTTTAATTTCCATGCGTTTGGAGGTTCCCATTATTTTTCTGTTGTGGATTTCTAGTTCAATTATGTTCAGGAAATATAATCTGTATGATTTCAATTCTTTTAAGTTTGTTATGCTTTGTTTTATGTCTCAAGTAGACTGGCCCTTGAAGAGAATATGTACTCTGCTGTTGTTGGGTGGAGTGTTCTATAAATACTGATTAGATTTTGTTTTTCGATGAGGTTCTTGTATTCTTCTTTACTTTTGCTGATTTTTTTTTTTTGGCTATGTGGTTATCAGTTTTTGAGAGGAAGGTTGAAATCTCCAACTATAATTGTGGATTTTTCTGTTTCTCCTTCAGTTCTGTCAGGTTTTGCTTCTGATATTTTCAGCTCTGTTGTTTATTATGCACATTTAGTATTGCTGTGCCCCTGTCTATCCCTCATAATCTTCTTTGCTCTGAAATCTGTTTTATCTGATACTAATATAACCACTCTTGTTTTATTTTGATTGGTGTTTGCACGGTATATAGTTTTTCATCCTTTTACTTCAACTCACCTATGTTGTTGTATTTGAAGTGAGTTTCTTGTAGACAGCATGTGATTGGGTCATGTTTTTTGTTTTATTTTTTATCCACTTAATTTTTCTTTTAAATGGTGTATATAGACCGTTTATATTTAATGTAAGGCTTCAGTCTACCATTTTATTTTTTTGTTCAGTTGGTTCTCTTTCATTTTATTTTCTTTTGTTTATGATTTCTTTTTCCTCCCTTCCTGTGGGTTAGTTTTATATTTTTGAAATTCTATTTTGATTCATCTGTAGTTTTTTTTAGTGTTTCTCTTTGTATAGCTTTGATAGTGGTTGCTGTAGGTATTACATCATACCTATACACACACTTATTACAGTCTACTGGTGTCATTTTGCCAGTTTAATTGATGTGCAGAAACCTTACCTCTTTATATCCTTTTGATTCCCTTTTTATAATATGACTGTCTCAAGTGTTTAACCATATCAGTCAGTGTAATCATTCTTTCTTCAACCATAGAATATAATTTAGAAAACACAACAGAATGAAATTGTTGTATTGACTTATATTTATTATTTGCTGTTACTTCTCCCTAATGTTTCAGTATTCCTTTTTATATCATTTGCTTTGTATTTAGAGAACTTATTGTAGCCATTCCTTTTTTTTTAAGCAGGGTCTTGCTCTGTCACCCAGGCTGGCATACAGTGGTGCAATTTCAGCTCACTGCAGCCTTGACCTCCTAGGCTTAAGCCATCCTCCCACCTCAGCGTCCCAAGTAGCTGGGACTACAGGTGGGCACCACCACACCTGGCTAATTTCTGTATTTTTTGTAGAGATGGGGTTGTACCATATTGCCCAGGCTGGTCTTGAACTCCTGAGCTCAAGTGATCCACCTGCTTTGGCCTCCCAATGTGCTGGGATTACAGGCGTGAGCCACCATGCCTGGCCTAGCCATTCTTTAACAGCAAGTCCGCTGGCAACAAATGATTTCCCCTTCATTCTTGAATGGTATTTCAGCTGGATATAGAATTCTGGGTTGGCAATTCTTTCCTTTCAGTACTTGAAAAATATGTGTCACTACCTTCTCGTCTCCCTGGTTTCTTATGAGAAACCTGCTGTTTGAATTGTTTTTCCCCCCTTAGATAAGGTGTCGTTTCTCTCTTCTTTCAAGATTATTTTTCTACGTTTTTGGAAGATGACTGATATATTTTGTCACGTATTTGTTTGGGTTTATCCTGTTTGTGGTTCATTCAGCTACTTAAGCTGCAGGTTTATGTTTCTTAATACATTTTGGTAATTTTCAGTCATTATTTCTTTGAATTTCAGCCCCTCCTTCCTTCTCCTCTTCTTTTAGGACTCTAATGACAAAAATATTAAATCTTTTGTTATAGTCCCATGGGTACATGAGTCTCTTTTCCATTCCATTTTTCTCTGTTGTTCAGATTAGGCCATTTCTGTTGTTTAGTCTTCAAAATCACCAAATCTTCTGTTCTCTGCTTTCTACTGAACACATTCTGAGTTTTTAATTTCTGTTATATTTTTCAGTTCTAATTTTTTTTTTTTTTGAGACAGGGTCTCACTCTCGCCCAAGCTGGAGTGCAGTAGCAAGATTTCAGCTCACTGCACACTCCACCTTCCAGGTTCAAGCAATTCTCATGCCTCAGCCACCCAAGTAGCTGGGATTGCAGGCATGCACCACCACACCCAGCTAACTTTTGTAATTTTAGTACAGACGGGGTTTCACCATGTTGGCCAGACTGGTTTGGAACTCCTGACCTCAAGTAATCTGCGTGCCTTTGCCTCCCAACTTGCTGGGATTACAGGCCTGAGCTGCTGTGCCCAGCCTAAAATTTTCAGTTGATTCTTTTTTTATGTCTTCTTGTTTCTTTGCTGAGACTGTTTGTTTCATTTGTCTCAAGTATGTTAATAATTGCTTATGAGGCATTTTTATAATGACTACTTTAAAAATCCTTGTCAGACAATTCTAACATCTATGTCATCTCAGTGTTGGTGTCTGTTGATTGTCTTTTCTCGTTGAACTTGAGATTTTTCTGGTTCTTATTATGAGAAAGTTCTATTTAAACTGGGCATGTTGGTTACTATATCATGAGATGCTGGATTTTATTTAAATCTTTTGGTATAGTAGGCATCTTCTGACAAATGTTTTGGCAGGGCATGAGACGCCCTACCACATTGTTGCCAGTTGATAGTGGGAGTTCAGTCTCCTCACTAGGCCTCTACTGGTATTACCTTGGCTGGGTGGGGGGACAGAGGCTCAAGATTACCTGTTTACTTCTTTCCAGATGGCCTCCACTGACATCACAGGGGGTGACTCATTAGTTATTATTGGATGGTGGTATAATTCCAGTAGGAAGGGAAGGGGTTTTCTTGTAACTGCTGGGTGTGGGTGGATGTATTGTTTCCCTACATGGTCTTCATTGACACTGTTGGGTCACAGGGAGGACCTTGTGAAATCAGACTTGTCTGACCCCACCCTGGTAGTGCCTTGTTATAACTTGGTTACGGTAGAAAGGTGAGGATTCAGCTGCATTTTTTGCTGTACTGTTTGGTTGGAATTGAGTGGTTATCCTAACATTTTCTGTCTTGCTGTGCTGCCCCTTTCCTGGTCCTTTGGCTGGAGGGTAGGCTTTTCTTGGAGATTTTTTTGACAGCACCTTCTGGAGTTCTTCAGCAACCAATCTAGGATACATGAGGCAGAAAGAAAGTCTGTAACAGCTGGGCTCGGTGGCTCACACCTGTAATCCCAGCATTTTGGGAAGTGAGGCAGGAGGATCACTTGAGCCCAGGAGTTGAAGACCAGTCTGGGCAACATAGTGAGACCCTATCTCCACAAAAATTTTAAAAATTAGCTGGGTGCATTAGTGCATTTCTGGAGTCCCAGCTACTTGGGAGGCTGAGGTGGGAGGAGTGCTTGAGCCCAGCAAGTCAAGGCTGCAGTGAGCTGTGATCATGCCATTGCACTCCAGTGTGGGTGACAATTCAAGACCCTGTCGCAAAAAAAACAAGCTTTTAAAAATAAAAAGGTAGCCCATGAAACTCAGTACCACATTATCCTTTATATCCTGAGGGCCCTACCCATCTGCCTCATCCTTCTGACTTTTCAGAGCTGCCTTCTGTTCCTTGTATATATACAAGATTGGTAATTTGGGCTTCATTAAAATTAAGGACTTCTGTTCACCAAAGGTGTGATAGTTAATTTTATGTGTCATTTTGACTGCACTAAGAGATGCCCATGCAGCTGATAAAACACTTCTGGATATGTCTGTGAGGGTGCTCCTGAAAGGGTATTTGAATTAATAGACTGAGTAAAGAAGATTGCCCTCATCAGTGTGAGTGGGCATCATCCTACCCATTGAGGGCCTGAATAGACCAAAAATGCAGAGGAAGGGCAAATTTGCTCTCTCTTTCTTTGAGCTGGGACATCCATCTTATCGAGCCCTTGGAGATTGGTAATCATGGTTCTTCAGCCTTCAGACTCAGACAGACTAGGACTTATACCAACTGCCCCCACCCACAACCCTACCCCCGGATTTTCAGGCCTTTGAACTGGGACCAGGATTTATACGATTAGCTCCCTGGTTTTGCAGCTTGTGAACAGTACATTGTAGCACTTCACAGCTTCCATAATCACAGTGAGGCTAATGCCGTAATATGTCTACACACACACACACACACACACACACACACACACACACGCATGTACACACAAGTTCTTAACTCCTTTTGGTTCTGTTTCTCTGGAAAACCCTGACTAATACAAACGTCATTTCACATTAAGAGTGTAAAGGCAAGCCACAAAGTTGGAGAAGCTATTTCCAATATATAGATATAAAAAGGTCTCATCCAGGATATATAAATAACTCTTAAAAATCAATTGGATAAACTAGACAACCCAATAGAAAAATGGGCAAAAACTTGAACAGGACTTTACAAAAGACGATATCTGAATGGCCAATAAATGTATGAAAGCATGGTGATCCTTATTAATTATCAGAGAAATTCAAGTTAAAAATGGTTTTGACAAAAGATGCAAAAGCAATTAAATGGAGAGAGCATAGCCTTTTCAAAAACTGGTATTGAAACAATTAGACTTTCATAGGCCAAAAACAAACCTTTACTTAAGCCTTACCCATATTTTAAAAAATCAAGTCAAAAGGAATCATAAATCTAAATGTAAAACTATTATACTTGTATAAGAAAACAGAAGAAAATCTTCTGCATCTAGGGTTAGTCAGAGTTCTTAGTCATGATGCCAAAGGCATATAACCCATTAAATAAAAAATCAATAATTGGACTTAATCAAAAATAAAAACTTTTGTCTGTGAAAGACTCTTAGGGAAAGGAAAAGACAACTTATAGACTTGGAGAAAATATTTGCAATTTGCATATTTAACAAAGGACTCATTCAGAATGTATAAAGAACTCAGAAAGAAAACAACCCAGTTAGTAAATGGGCAAAGGACTTGAACTGACACTTCTCTGAAGAAGGCTATGCATGTCAAATAAGCATATGAAAAGATAGCATCACTAGCCATTAGGGAAATGTAATTTAGGTGAGGCTAGTGGCTCAGGCCTGCAATCCCAGGGCTTTGGGAGGCTGAGGTGAGAGGATCACTTGAGGCCATGGGTTCAAGACCAGCCTGGGCAACATGGTGAGAATCTGTCTTTACAAAAAATTAAATACAATTAGCTGGGCATGGTGGCACATGTCTATAGTCATAACTACTTAGGAGGCTGAGGAAGGAGGATCACTTGAGCCCAGGAATTCGAGGTTGCAGTGAGCTATGATTGTGCCACTGCACTCCAACCTGGGAGACAGAGTGAGATCTTGTCTCTAAAAAAGAAAGAAAATGTAATTTAAAACCACATGAGTTGTCACTTCACACCTATCAGCATGGCTAAAATAAAAAATAGTGACAACATTAAATGCTTGTGAGGATATAGAGAAACTAGTTCTATCCTACATTACTAGTGGGAATATAAAATAACAACCATTCTGGGAAACAATTTGGCAGTTTAAAAAAACAAAACTAAACAACTAAACATACTTGTCATATAACCTTGCAATTACACTCTCAGAAATGTATCCCATGGAAATGAAAACATTTTCACATAAAAACCTAAACACAAATGTTCACAGCAGCTTTTATTTAGAATGGTCCTCAACTAGAAACAACCAAATGTTATTTAACATGTGAATGGATAAACAAATTGTGGTATATCTATGTAGTGGAATGCTGCTCAGCTTACTGATCCAAGCAACAACTTATATGGATCTCATGCTAACTGGAAAATGCCATTCTTGATTTGACAGAAGTATAATGATAGAGAACTGATCTGTAGTTGACAGGGTTTAGGGTTAGGGGAAGGGCATGAATACGAAGGGATAACACAAGGAAGGTGTTTTTTTGTGATGACAGAACAGTTCTGTATCCTGCTATGGTAATGGTTATGTGATTCTACATGCATGATAAAATTTTGTAGAACTATACATCAAACAAAAAACTGATGAAACCCAAATGAGCTCTGTACTTGAGTTCATACCAACATCAATTTCCTGGTTTTGACAATGTATTGTTGTTATATAAGTTGTAGGTTACCATTGGAAGCCGAGAGTGAAGGATATATGGGAGCTCGACTGCTGTAATTTTTGTGAACCTTAAACTGTTTTTGAAAGGTTATAATAAAAACAAAAAGATAGTACCATGAGTTGTCAAGGACCTGAACAACTGGAAGCCTCATATAATGCTGGTGGGAATATGAATTGGAATAACTACTTTATAGAACAATTTGTTCAGTTTAACAGTGCATGTAAATACCCTATGACTCAGCAATTCCACTCTTAGATATGTACCTGACAGAAATGCTTTTATCAAAAGACACGTATAATATGGTTTATAGGAGCATTATGCAAATAATGCTTTATATTTTAATTATGTTTGTTTTGAGCATATACTTTAATACTAATACTTAGTATTAAGAATATCTAAAAAAGGTATTGGGTAGTTTATCTCAATATGGACTTGCGTATTGAAGTTCTTTAAGGTTTCATGTGTGTTGTGTGTGTGTGTATGTATGTATGTATGTGTGTTTTTTAACCTACATAGTTTATACCATTCTATATGCTTGATTCTTTTGTATAGCTCTATGCCATCTTTTGCTTATGTGGGATAGATATTAATAACTGGAATAATTTTGGACCAGCATTTACCCATATACCTTCAAGTATGTCCTCTAATGAAAGATGCTACAGTTTATTCTCTGTAATGACTATGTGTTATAGAGGTATAAAGATGAAACTTGTCATCATAATCCCACTGACCACAGAGAACCACTATTAACATTGTGTTTATATGTTTTGTTTTTAATGCATTTGCAATTGTATTTAGTAAGGCTCTATATTCTGCTTTTCTTCCGCATAACATAGTATTTTGGATTTTTAATGGTAACATAGCCAGAGTGTAATTTACTTCTCTATGTTATACATATTGTTTAATTTTCAACCTTATGCTACTGTAAAATAACACTGTGATAAATACATTTTCTTCAAAATTGGTCAACTTTTGTGATAATTTCTATAGTCTGTATTCATAGATGTGTGGTAGCTCCAAATTGACATAAAACATGAATTTAGTATCTCTATTTATTTTATACCAGGATTTTTCTTTAGTATATAATATGATTGGTAGACTAAATTGTAAACTTTTTCCCATCATTTAAATTTAGAGTTTCTTTGCATTCTAGTGTATAGTGAATGCTATAAATGTAATTAGTATGGCATTTTAGTCATTAATTTTCTTTCATGAAAGAAAAGAAAAACATTTTGTGTTGATTATTGAGAGCTTATTATATTCCAGGGATTTTTGTCACTCTGTAAGTTACCAGCAATAAGCAAATTATTAAATAAATTACTGTACAATCATCCAATGAAATACTATGCAGCTACCAAGCATGATGTTTACCAAGAAATTTGGGGAAATGTTCATAATACATATTGTATATACAGTTACTATCCTGACTGCAAAATTTAAAAAGTATATATTTAGAAAAAAAGAAAACTGTAGGAAATATATCATGATTTGAATGGAGGTTGTTTCTGGGGAGTGGAACTGAGTAATTCTTTTCCTTAGAGTTGTTTTTATTTTCAAAAAGTGTTTATCCAATCTTTTTCAAATTAAATTTTCATTAATATCAAAGTAATATATTTACATATTTTTAAAAAACAGATAGTTTTACAAGGCTTCAAATAAAAACCAGTCCCGTGACCAAACCTCTTTCTACCTGTGATTTCTACTTTCTGGAGGTAACCAATTTCAACTCTTGGCAATTCTTACTTACTTACATACATCCTTTCTAAAGTGTAAGGTAGTAATTTACCACAAGCACAGGCACACTTTTCCTCATTCGTTTTCCCAGTATAATTTTTCATAATATTTGCCTAAATTAATTTGCAGTATTTTCTTTATTGTGGCTACGTAAATATTTGTAAGCCACTTGAATACTGTGATTGTTTTTCCTTTTTCGTGTACTTGTTTATTATATTTTGCTGAAGTATTCATTCGTTTTTACCATTTGCTTAGTTTTCTATATACCTATCACCAATTCATTCCTAAATTATCCTGTAGAAATATTGTAAATCCTGGCCAGGCATGGTAGCACATGTCTGTAATCCCAGCACTTTGGGAGGCCGAGGTGGGCAGATTACCTTAGGTCAGGAGTTCAAGACCAGCCTGGCCAACATGGTGAAACCCTATCTCTACTAAAAATACAAAAATTAACCAGGCATGGTGGTGTTCCTGTAATCCCAGCTGCTCAGGAGGCTGAGGCAGGAGAATCACTTGAACCTGGGAGGCAGAGGTTGCAGTGAGTCGAGATTGCGCCATTGCACTCCCGCCTGGGTGACAGAGTGAGTCTCCGTCTCAAAAAAAAAAAAAAAAAAAAAAAAAAAGGGAAAGAAAGAAAGAAACCTTATAAATGCTTGTGTTCCAACAAATCAGGTAATCTATCAGTTTCTTTTTTTTTTTCTTTAGACACCCTTCCTGGAGCCCCGTGTCTGTCTTCTTGCTTCTGTTTTATCTACCTCAGTACCTTGCATCTGTCTAACGCCTCTCCTTACATTCTTTATGCTGTATTATAAATGTTGAGTCACCCCTACATATTCACCTACTTTTGCATTTTCCTTCATTTTGATGTACTTAGTGCCCCTAGCTGTACCCAATACAATATAGACTTTCAGGTTACATATAAATTCTCTAAATTTATTCAGAAATCTGTAGATAAAACCTTGACTACATTGTAAATATTTGATTTTTCATTTCATCTTTATTCTTAAATCAGACGATTTTATTTTCCAACAATAGGATTCTTCCTGGGCATATGTATTATCATCCTGACTCCTTAGATAATATATTATTTTCTTCAGTAAGTAAGAAATGAATTCTCTGAACTCTTGATAGTTAAAAAAAAACTAAGTATCAAAAAGTCATATTGTAATTAAAATATTTGTAAAGTACTAATTACTGAAGCATTTATTCTATATTTTCATTTTCAGAGGACGATTATTTATCATTTCTACTAAAGCAGGATCTCTAGGAATTAATCTGGTAGCTGCTAATCGAGTAATTATATTCGACGCTTCTTGGAATCCATCTTATGACATCCAGAGTATATTCAGAGTTTATCGCTTTGGACAAACTAAGCCTGTTTATGTATATAGGTTCTTAGCTCAGGTAGGTTTATAATTCTCTTTTTCATATTGAAAGTTTATGTGAAACTGATAATATTTTAGAGATATGGAACATATGTGTATTACAGAGAGGGAAACAAAGTTGGAAATACCATTTCTGTACATAAAGCAGCAGAAGTCAGTTTTGGCTTTTCTTGATTTTCTGTTTTGTAGTGTATCCATTTCTGTGATGTCATCTTTCTCAGGTTGAGATTGTTTTGCATGAACACATTTAGCAGATGCTACCCCCAGCAGATGCAACCCCTCTCAGCCTGCCTCCAAATCTGGGCTTCTTAACCAGAAACTGGGTTTTTTTTGGTAGATCCTTGCTTATTTGATCTTCTTTAGTACATAAGTTGATTGACAACTTTATGTAAACTCTTTCCTGTTATTTGTTTATTTATTCAATTTTCTTTTATTTTTTTCTTTCCTGTTAAGTTTAAAACTTCTGTACATTCTCATTTATAATTTGTATTATATTTAATATACATTTAATATAATGTATACATTTAATTAATGTAGTTTATATGTAATGGATATGGTATTTTATATTTGTTTTCTGTCTTGAAATTATAGAAAATAAAACGATATAAAGGCATTTTATGGTGTTTGTTGATAGCTTATTATATTACATTGAAAAGGAATCAAACTGCTCTCTTGCATTCTAACTTCAATATTTACCTAAATGTTTTTTGTGTCTGTCCCTTTATTTCTGTTTACTCTGGTATCTGCCTGCTGTCCTCCTCCTACAGAGTACAGAAATAAATAAAGCAACACTTGAATGCATTTTGGTCAGTTAATATAGAATAATTATCAGTAATGTAATTTTATTTATTATGGTAAACTATGCTAAACAGATGAAATCTTTCATGAATTAAGCAAAATTGCTGATGAGTTTTTCTTTATGGCAATATACTACCATAAAGTTTTACCATTTCATATTAACCAGTAACCGTATTTATCCTTGATTAAGTTTCATGCTTACAAAATTTTATTTTTTTGTATATTCTTCCTTCTTTTTACAAAGGGAACCATGGAAGATAAGATTTATGATCGGCAAGTAACTAAGCAGTCACTGTCTTTTCGAGTTGTTGATCAGCAGCAGGTGGAGCGTCATTTTACTATGAATGAGCTTACTGAACTTTATACTTTTGAGCCAGACTTATTAGATGACCCTAATTCAGAAAAGAAGAAGAAGAGGGATACTCCCATGCTGCCAAAGGTAAACATATTTAGATTATTGGCTTAACAAACCAACGTGGACTAAGGAAATTTTACTACTGATATCAAATTTAGTCATCTGATTAAGGCTATATTTCAGAATTTTTCAAGGATAATAAAATGATATTTAATGAATTTTGTCTAGAAAATTATAAATGATAGGGTGCTTGATCTGTTCTCCATATAGCACCACAAAAAGATAGTATATTCTGAAACACATATTTTATGCCACATATAATATATCTAATTAGCATATTTTCTAATATACTTTACACTTCAACTTTTATAAGAAGTAGCAGACAAATTTTCCAATTAGAAAAGGGGAAATTACTTCGAATTTATTCATATGGTGAATTTCGGGTTGCAGGAAACCAGTTAATTTTATAAACGTGTATTATTTGCTGACTTTGAGAGGTATACTGTGAGAGAATACTAAGAAAAACAAGACATTGTTCAGATTATCTCCCTCAATCCAGCAGCTGAAAAGCAGATAGTCCTGTTTTCATTTTCAAGATGAGGAAACTGAGGTTCAGAGAGGCTAGGTAACTTACCCAAGTTTACACACCATATTGTAAAGCTGGTCTTCAAATCATATCTGACCAACTCAAAAGCATTACTCTTAATCATTATAATTTTTTGTCCTCCAAATGGAGATTAGAAAGTTATTTTCAAATACAAGAAGCAAAGCAGAGGACCTGGGATTTCCAGAATTGAATGACATTTAGGATGCTTTATTTTAGTTTAAATAAATCTGGACTTTAAAATATAGAATGCTTTCACAGTCAGTAATATTGTGTGATATAACTGTTAAGATGGTATAATATAGTCAGTTTAGCTTATGTCTTGTGAAGGTTAAATACTCCTCAAATTTATGGAAAACTTTAAGGTTTACAAAGGCCTGTCTCATATACATTATCTCAGGAAGCTGAGATTTAGAGTTTGTGATTACACAAGGGTACATGACCAGTAAGTGTTACAGCTAGAATTTGAACCCAGTAGTTTTCTTTCTCTCTTCTCCCCTCCCCCTCTCTCCCCCACCCCCACCTCCCTCCTCCCCTCTCTCCCTCTCCCTCTTCCCCTCTCTCCCTCTCCCTCTTCCCCTCTCTCCCTCTCCCTCTTCCCCTCTCTCCCTCTCCCTCTTCCCCTCTCTCCCTCTTCCCCTCTCTCCCTCTCCCTCTCTCCCTCTCTCCCTCTCTCCCTCTCTCCCTCTCTCCCTCTCTCCCTCTCTCCCTCTCTCCCTTTCCCCCTCTCCCTCTCCCTCTCCTTCTACCTCTTTTTGAGACAGTCTCACTGTGTCGCCCAGGCTGGAGTGCAGTGGCGCAATCTCAGCTCACTGCAACCTCCACCTCCTGGGTTCAAGCGATTCTCCTGCCTCAGCCTCCCAAGTAGCTAGGACTATAGGCGCCTGCCACCACGCCCAGCAATTTTTTTTTCTATTTTTAGTAGAGATGGGGTTTTACTATGTTGGCCAGGTTGGTCTTGAACTCCTGACCTTGTGATCCACCCACCTCAGCCTCCCAAAGTGCTGGGATTACAGGTGTGAGCCACCGCGCCTGGTCCTTTTTTTTGTTCTTTTTTCTTTTTTACTTTAAGTTCTGTTATACGTGTGCTGAACATGCAGTTTGTTACATAGGTATACATGTGCCATGGTGGTTTGCTGCACCTATCAACCCGTCATCTAGGTTTTAAGCCCTGCATACATTAGGTATTTGTCCTAATGTTCTCCCTCCCCTTTCCCCCCACCCCCTGACAGGCCCCAGTGGGTGATGTAACCCTCCCCATGTCCATATGTTCTCATTGTTCAACTGCCACTTATGAGTGAGAACATGCAGTGTTTGGTTTTCTGTTCTTGTGTTAGTTTGCTGAGGATGATGGTTTCCAGCTTCATCCATGTCCCTGCAAAGGACTTGAACTCATTCTTTTTATGGCTGCATAGTATTCCTTGGTGTGTATGTGCCACATTTTCTTTATCCAGTCTGTCATTGATGGGCATTTGGGTTGGTTCCAGGTCTTTGCTATTGTAAATAGTGCTGTGATAAACATACGTGTGCATGTGTCTTTATAGTAGAATGATTTATAATCCTTTGGGTATATACCCAGTAATGAGATTGCTGAGTCAAATGGTATTTCTGGTTCTAGATCCTTGAGGAATCGCCACACTGTCTTCCATAATGGTTGAACTAACACTCCCACCAACAGTGTAAAAGCGTTCCTATTTCTCCACATCCTCACCAGCATCTGTTGTTTCCTGACTTATTTAATGATCATTATTCTAACTGGTGTGAGATGGCATCTCATTGTGAACCCAGTCGTTTTCAAACTGTGTTACAAGGAACCCCAGGAGATGCTTTAGGGACTGCTACCATGTGGCTAAGCAAGTACAGAGGGGCCAGGCAATGAACACTCTGATCCCGACATCCCATTTCAGTCAGAGCCCCTCTTTTATCTTTTTAATGTATTGGACTTCAACATAAGATTTAATTCAAAGAGAGGACGTGCCTGCTTTTTAAAAAAAAGTTTTTAAAACACAATGCCATGTTGCCTTTCTATCACAGTAACTAAAAACTGTGAGAGATCTATCCAGGAAGTACAATCAGATACCTGAAGGAGCTGATAATCCGGTTGGGGAGAAAAAAGTAACATTCTTAAAAGGGAAAGAATGAAGTGCTGATGTGACTGGTGCTGAGTATCTTTGCTTATAATAGGGGAAGGATGGAGCATTCAGATACAATTTTGATGGGAGAAAAATCAGACTTGGTTGGCCTATAAAAGATGGTTAGTATTTAATTGGATAAAGGGAAGAATCAAGTGTGAATGAGAGATTGAACAGTTTGGGCAAAGGGACAGAGGTAAGAATTTATGTACCAGGCTTAAGGGATGATGAAATTGGCCTGGCATTGATGAAGAGTGGAGGTTAGATAAGTAGGAAAGCCATGAAAGGCAAATGGAGGCATTGCGCTTTAAAATAATGTTTACTATAAGTTCTTGAATGGGACTGTTGTATGATGAATCTGGGCTTTTAGAAAATTAGCCTGGAGTGATTATTGTGGGCTCGATCAGACATTTCATGAAAATAAATGGTAGAACTCAACTGATAATAGACTAGCTTTTAAAGGGATAGGCAGCGAAAATGTTTTTTTTTTCTTTGAGACAGAGTCTCACTCTGTTGCCCAGGCTGGAGTGCAGCGGCATGATCTCGGCTCACTGCAGCCTCCGCCTCCTGGGTTCAAATGATTCTTGTGCCTCGGCTTCCCGAGTAGCTGAGGTTATAGACATGTGCCACCACACCCAGCTAATTTTTATATTTTTAGTAGAGATGGGGTTTCACCATGTTGGCCAGGCTGGTCTCAAACTCCCGACCTCAGATGATTCACCTGCCTTGGCCTCCCAAAATGCTGGGATTGCAGGTATGAGCTACCTTGCCCAGCCAAAAAATTTTATCTTAAATAATGAAGCTTAGTTATTCATTCATTGATTTAAACTTTTTGGGGTGCCTATGATATGCCAATTGTACTGGTCTCTAAGGATACACTCATAAATAAGTCTAGGATTCTGTTCCCAAGAAGCTATAGTCTTAAAAGCTTACCTTAAGCAAGTAATATAGTAAGAGTTACAGATCCTATAATAGAAATCTGTGCAGGTGCCAAGGAAGGAATATTCATTTCTTTCTTGGAAAGTTTGGGATGGATATTGATGTGCTTGAACAGATGTTGAAAGTAGAACTGGGTAACTGTTTGCATTGCTAAGACGGCAGAAGAGCAAAAGGCCTTTCAAGATGGGGAATAGAAAAAAAGAAGCACATGCATAACATGGCATGATAAGTTTGAAGAACCTCAAGTAGTTAAAAATAAATAAGAGTATAAGGAGATACTGGTAGAGTAAGGGTGAGTGTGGGAAGAGGTAAAAGTAAAGACTGGAAAGGTAGGTGGGAATCAAATCATAGAAATTAGTTTGTAAGTTGTGTTATAGGTTGTGGTATCTATTTAACAATTTTAAGCAAGAGACTACCGTCACATTTTCATTTTAGAAAAAAATCATTTTATGTATCAGTGTGGAGGATGGATCAGAGAAAAGAAAATGGATATTAAGATACTTGTTAGGATGCTACTAAAATGATTCAGGTGGGAGAGGTAATACAGGCCTGATATGAGATGTTAGCAGTGGAGACAGAGAAGTACTGGGCATAATATAGATACTCAGTAATTATTAATGTTCCCTTGATTTATAATTAGAATTTCATGTAAGATTTCCACTAGTTTAATAGAATTTGAAAACTGGTCATCTGAAATGGGTACGTTTTGATATTCATGGCGAGGGATTTCTTGGTACGTTTGGATATTCATGGTGATGGATTTTTTGGTATTTGAAGCTGCTTTTATTCAAGGTATTTTGAAGTTGGTTCCTGTTATTATAGTACAATTGCAAACACCTTCCTTCTTGTCCATGATTTTTAAGATGAAAGACTGCTAAAAATGATACATTTTCATCCTTTCAATTGCTGTTATCTAAGTAATAATTAAATTCCATGCTTTTATGAGGTTTTTTTGTCTTTTGGTAGTCCCGAAAGCACTTCTTTTTAACTTACTTGATATGTGATTACTGTATCTCTTTCTGCTTCATCACTTCCTCCTTAGGTCATTATTACTTAATTCCTGTTCCTCCATTTCTCTTCTTGTTCAGTTTTTACTTCTCTACTTCTAATTTGATTTAATACCTCAGACTTAATTAGCCACCTGACTATTTTTCTTGTCTTTGTACCTCTTTAAAGGCAAGAACTGCATTCTGTGCTTCCTTCAGTATCCTTAGTGAATAATGCAATGCTTGGCACTTTTTTATTATTATTATACTTTAAGTTCTGGGGTACATGTACACAACGTGCAGGTTTGTTACATATGTATACGTGTGCCATGTTGGTGTGCTGCACCCATTAACTCGTCGTCTAGGTTAGGTATATCTCCTAATGCTATCCCTCCCCCCTCCCCCCACCCCATGACAGGCCCTGGTATGTGATGTTCTCCTTCCTGTGTCCAAGTGTTCTCATTGTTCAATTCCCACCTATGAGTGAGAACATGGGGTGTTTGGTTTTCTATCCTTGCAATAGTTTGCTGAGAATGATGGTTTCCAGCTTCATCCATGTCCCTACAAAGGACAGGAACTCATCATTTTTTATGGCTGCATAGTATTCCATGGTGTATATGTGCCACATTTTCTTAATCCAGTCTATCATTGGTGGGCATTTGGGTTGGTTCCAAGTCTTTGCTATTGTGAATAGTAAACATACATGCGCATGTGTTTTTCTAGCAGCATGATTTATAATCCTTTGGGTATATACCCAGTAATGGGATTGCTGGGTCAAATGGTATTTCTAGTTCTGGATCCTTGAGGAATCGCCACACTGTCTTCCACAATGGTTGAACTAGTTTACAGTCCCACCAACAGTGTAAAAGTGTTCCTATTTCTCCACATCCTCTCCAGCACCTGTTGTTTCCTGACTTTTTGATGATTGCCATTCCAACTGGTATGAGATGGTATCTCATTGTGGTTTTGATTTGCATTTGTCTGATGACCAGTGATGATGAGCATTTTTTCATGTGTCTGTTGGCTGCATAAATGTCTTCTTTTGAGAAGTGTCTGTTCATACCCTTCACTCACTTGTTGACGGGGTTGTTTGTTTGTTTTCTTGTAAATATGTTTGAGTTCATTGTAGATTCTGGTTATTAGCCCTTTGTCAGATGGGTAGATTGCAAAAATTTTCTCCCATTCTATAGGTTGCCCATTCACTCTGATGGTAGTTTCTTTTGCTGTGCGGAGGCTCTTTAGTTTAATTAGATCCCATTTGTCAATTTTGGCTTTTGTTGCCATTGCTTTTGGTGTCTTAGACATGAAGTCCTTGCCCATGCCTATTTCCTGAATGGTATTGCCTAGGTTTTCTTCTAGGGATTTTATGGTTTTAGGTCTACCATTTAAGTCTTTAATCCATCTTGAATTAATTTTTGTATAAGGCGTAAGGAAGGGATCCAGTTCCAGCTTTCTACATATGGCTAGCCAGTTTTCCCAGCACACCATTTATTAAACAGGGAATCCTTTCCCCATTTCTTGTTTTTGTCAGGTTTGTCAAAGATCAGATGGTTGTAGATGTGTGATATTGTTTCCGAGGGCTCTATTCTGTTCCATTGGTCTATATCTCTGTTTTGGTACCAGTACCATGCTGTTTTGGTTACTATAGCCTTGTAGTATAGTTTGAAGTCAGGTAGCGTGATGCCTCCCGCTTTGTTCTTTTGGCTTAGGATTGACTTGGCAATGCGGGGTCTTTTTTGGTTCCATATGAACTTTAAAGTAGTTTTTTCCAATTCTGTGAAGAAAGTCATTGGTAGCTTGATGGGGATGGCATTGAATCTTTAAATTACCTTGGGCAGTGTGGCCATTTTCATGATATTGATTCTTCCTATCCATGAGCATGGAATGTTCTTCCATTTGTTTGTGTCCTCTTTTATTTCATTGAGCAGTGGTTTGTAGTTCTCCTTGAAGAGGTCCTTCACATCCCTTGTAAGTTGGATTCCTAGGTATTTTATTCTCTTTGAAGCAACTGAGAATGGGAGTTCACTCATGATTTGGCTCTCTGTTTGTCTCTTATTAGTGTATAGGAATGCTTGTGATTTTTGCACATTGATTTTGTATCCTGGACTTTGCTGAAGTTGTTTATCAGCTTAAGGAGATTTTGGGCTGAGACAATGGGGTTTTCTAGATATACAGTCATGTCATCTGCAAACAGGGACAATTTGACTTCCTCTTTTCCTAATTGAATACCCTTTATTTCTTTCTCCTGCCTGATTGCCCTGGCCAGAACTTCCAACACTATGTTGAATAGGAGTGGTGAGAGAGGGCATCCCTGTCTTGTGCCAGTTTTCAAAGGGAATACTTCCAGTTTTTGCCCATTCAGTATGATATTGGCTGTGGGTATGTCATAAATAGCTCTTATTATTTTGAGATACGTCCCATCAATACCTAATTTATTGAGAGTTTTTAGCATGAAGGTTGTTGAATTTTGTCAAAGGCCTTTTCTGCATCTATTGAGATAATCATGTGGTTTTTGTCTTTGCTTCTGTTTATATGCTGGATTACGTTTATTGATTTGCATATGTTGAACCAGCCTTGCATCCCAGGGATGAAGCCCACTTGATCATGGTGGATAATTGCTTGGCACTTTTATCTAGACTTTTTTGAAATTCTAGTTGTCTTTATAGTGTTCCTTAGTGATCCATATATCATTGAAAAGCAGTGTTGGAATTAGACTTACTTTTCAAGCAGTAAAATTGAGATGAAGATTGGTTAGTCTGTCACAGTGGGTTTGTGGAAGGAAGAGAATTCGAGCTTTAATTTATATCTTCAGTTAGATTCTTAATTTGCTATCTTAGCTTCATTCACCACTCTACTCATTACTTTATTATTTTTATTTTATTTTATTTCATTTCATTTCATTTCATTTCATTTCATTTTTGAGACAAGGTCTCGTTCTATTGCCTAGGCTGGTCCTGAACTCCTGGCATCATGTGATCCTCCTGCCTTGGCCTCCCAAAGTGTTAGGATTACAGGCATGAGCCACTATGCCTGTCCACTTTATTATTTTAAATCCCCTCATTGGATTCTTACTGTTGCTGCTTTTCCCTTTTGGAAATATAATAGCCTTGACGTCCTGTGAACCTATTTTTTAATAAGTTGATTTAAGGGCCTCCTGAATCATCTCTACCAAGTATCTGTGCATCTTTTTAGTTGTTCAGGATAATGTTTCTCAGCCATTTTGAAACTGTAGCATGATCTAGACTTATAAGTAGTTTAACACAAGTTTCTAGCAATACCGATTTGTTAACTTATTCTTAATGGCTTGTGTTTAAAATGTTAAATTAATAGCTAACCTCTGTTAACGTTTATGTAAATGTTAAATTGATAGCTAACCTGTTAACATTTATGTAAATTATGTTAGAGAAAGTACCTTTTCTGGTAATAAACTTATTAATTATACAGATATCAGAGATGAAAATTTTGGTCAAGGTCATGTTTTATTTTATTTTGAGACAGTCTCACTCTGTCACCCAGGATGGAGTGCAGTGCTGCAATCTCAGTTCACTGCAACCTCCGCCTCTGGGGTTCAAGTGATTCTCGTGCCTCAGCCACCTGAGTAGCTGGGATTACAGGCATGCGCCACCACGCCTGGCTAATTTTTGTATTTTTCATAGAGATGGGCTTTCTCCATGTTGGCCAGGCTGGTCTCGAACTCCTGGCCTCAAGTGATCGACCCACCTCGGTCTCCTAAAGTGCTGGGATTACAGGCATGAGTCACCACCTGCAGCCAAGGTTATATTTTATAATATGCTTAAGTGGGTGTTTTGTTCCTCTTAAGTACAGTATACACAGCCTACTCTGTACCTTTTATTAAGAAAACAAAAGCCAATAAAACTGGCATAGAAATGTTTTTATACTTCCCTTTTCCAGCACTGGACTACGTATGTCTTTTTAAATGTGAACTACTTGATGATTACAGGGAGAACAAAATGGGGATTTAAATTAAAGTATCTTAAGTGAGGCTTTAGGTTTGTTTTCTCTACGCTGAATTTGTGTGCAGTGTTCTCCCCTTTCTTTAGTCCTGTATTCAAACTTTAATACTTCAAAGCATAATTTACTGAACAGAGATGTTATTGTACAGTTTTATTAGCCGGCAGATGGTAATATAAGGTTTCACCTTAGTCATTCTTAATACCAGTGTGAAATACATTCCATTAAAATAATTTGATGTAAAGTATGAAATAGCTAATCCACTTATTTCAGGAACTTTCTGGTAACCTGCCTACATTTACTTTTGAGAATAAAGGTTCAAAATAACACATTTAATTGTAGAGCAAGTGTTAGTAGCCTATGGGGTATGAACCACATGGTGGTATGTGAACCTAATATTTGTTGTCATATTCTTCTAGGAAGCCATGCTCATAATTGAAGCATATATAAGGTTTGATGTCATTGTCTCCTACTTCTTTGCCTTTTTTTTAATCACAGGTTTTGGATTTTTTTGTTTAATAAAACAAGTTTGAATATTATTCCTATCTTTGTATTTACTAGTATAAAATGATTGTTATTCATCTGTATATGAATAGACCACCAGAAAAAATAACGGGCATCAGAAAAATTGTTTGAATTCTACCATTTCTTTGCAGATTACAAAAGTGTCCTATTCGTTTTTTGTTGGGGTGATTGATGCCAAGTAAAAAGAGCAGCTTGTTTAAGCCCTCTCCTAAATAACTTGCCAACCACCCTTTTCAGATGTAATCTTAGGCAAACCATGTAAGCTTTCTAAGCCTCATTTTTCTGAAGAAAATAAGAATAGTGCCAGTACTTCTCTCACAAAGGAGGTAATTCATGTAAACATACTACCTAGCACATAGTAAGTGTTCAAATGTTAGCTGCTGTTTTTGTTTCCATAATTGTTATTAATATTACCATTATAGTAGGTTCATTTCTCTGAAATACTTATGGACTTACATTTTTGGAATTTCAGAGGAGTCATGTGAGGTCCTGATCCTGAGTAGAAAATTAAGCTTGATATATGACAGACCAGTAGAAAACTAAAAACATTTAGGAGCCAGAGGAGATCATCTCAGCTAAGCTGCAGAAGACATAGGTATTTGAGGCTTGCATTCCCCCAGAGATCAGTTGTAATCAGGAAGGAATATATTAGATATTGATCTTCACTTTCAATAAAGTTAGCATGCAGTTGACAAAGAACATTGAAAGGGGTTTTTTTTCTTAAATAATATAAGCAACTTTAGAATAAAGTCTACCTTATAGCCAGCTGATGCTTCTGTAGTAATTTTCCAAAGTAAAGAGATGCTTCTATTTTCCCTCCACAAACTACACAATAAATACTTGTTAACAGACTGACCATACTTTATTTATAGTGCTGTTTTGTCTTATTTTTTATTGTACCACCTTATGACACAAGAAAAACTATTAAGGAGCCATTTACCAAGTCTTTTAGGGAAAACATTTGGGTTACAGAAACCATGGAGCCAATGATACCCTGAGATGGCAGCCTCCCTAACGCTGGCAAGCTGTCTTATAAATAATTGTCCATGGAAACATCAATGTAGATAAGGCAGCCTTGCTGGCAGTGTTGGGGTGGAGGGCAGAGTTGGGGATGGTATGCAAGATTCTATTGGGGAGAGTTTAGGATAGACTTTAAAAAGTGTCTCCTTATGGAGAGTTGGAAGTACTAGAAATATTTGCTGCTTAAGGTCATAGAAATCCTGAAATTTAAAATACCAGGTTTGCATTTAATAAATGCTCATTTAATAAATGAATTAAATGGTAAGCTTTTTTACTTTATAGGCAAATTAAAATATCTATTCTCTCTAGAATATGAACTTCCTATTAGCCTAGGAAGGCAAGAACTATATTAATGCATCTTCATCACTCTATCCCCAATACCTGGCATAATACATAATATAGCACATAGCAAGTATTCAATAAAAATGTGCTATGTGAACAAATGAATTTTTGTGCTAAAATTGCAAGCTAAATGTTGTGAGGCAATAGTTGACATGCCTTTGAAATAGTGTTTTTCCTTGTGTGTACTTCTTGGAGAATCACCTGGTGGCTTGATTAAAAATGCAGATTCCTAGTCGGACACAGTGGCACACACCTCTAATCTCAGCACTTTGGGAGGCCAAGGTGGGAGGATTGCTTGAATCCAGGAGTTCAGGATCAGCCTGGTCAACGTGGCAAGACTCTGTCTCTACAAAAAATTAGCCAGGCTTGGTGGCATGCACCTGTAGTCTCAGCTGTTTTGGAGACTGAGTTGGGAGGATCCCTTGAACCTAGGAGGTCGAGGCTGCAGTGAGCAAGTTTGTACCACTACACTCCAGCCTGGGTGACAGAGTGAGACCCTGTCTCAAAAAAAAAAAAATGCAGATTCCTGGCTTCATCTAAGACCTACTGAATCAGAATTTCTGGAGGTAGGCCTTGGGAATCTATTTTTGACAAGGTCTACCACTCTTGTGTGTACAAGGTATGTAGTAGTATAATTTGCCTTTACAATAGTTATCAGCTAAACCTTTGAATTAAAAAAACAAACAGTATCTAAGCTTTATTGAGCAATGTTTATGCCAGGAACTGTGCTAAGGATTTTACTAGCATTACCTTATTTAATCCTTACAAAGCAGGTACAATTTTTTCTATTTTCTGATGAAATTATGGCATGGAAAGTGGTGGCACCGGGGCTTGAACTCAGTGCTGTGACTCCAGACTCCACACTCTTTAACCATTACACTATACTATCCTGACATTAATATTCTATATGATTAAGCTTGCGGAGAAGTAAATTGAGGTTTGATATGACTTTACACCGTTTTAATCAATACTGTGGGTTTATGGAAAGGCACAGTGTTATCAAGGTGTATAATATTGGGGAGGGTATGGATTTCATCTAGTTACTACACAATCTTACAGTGTCAGAGCTGATCCTAGTCCTCCTTGATTGTCTTTGGTGCTGAACTTACTGATCCTTAGCCCTAAGTCAGTGTAGCAGAGTGGTTAAGGACAGGGGTCCTGGGGCAAGACCAGGGTTTGAATCTTTATCTTAGTCAAAATATCTGACTTCTATGCCTCAGTTTTTTCATTATACTTCTGAGAAATGTATGTCCATTAGTTCTTCAAAAATATCATCCTTTGCATTTTTATTTTTGTCTCTTTCTGAGACTGTTACTATCTGAATGCCTGCTCTTCTAGCCTCCATATCTTTTAGCTTTTCTTTTGCATTCCTATTTCTTTATTCTTTCTTACTATCTTCTGGAAGAGTATCTCAGTCTTATCTCCTAATTCACTAAGATATTCAACTGTACCCCGCTTGCTGTTTATACTGAGTTATTTTTTCAACTGTTATTTTTTTTTCCTAATATTTCATTTAGACTCTTAAATTTGTTTGAATTCCATATTGGTAATATCTTCCTTTATTTCATCTGTTTCAGTAACTATGTTTTAGATAAAATATGATGCCAGTTGTTACCCCAGGGATGTCTGTGTGTGTGTACATGCACATATGCACACATTGTCTATAAGTTTCTGGAATTCATATTGCCTTTTCCCTTCTATAGTTTCTGCAGAGTTGGTTTTGAGGGCAGGAGCTAGCAGCTCATGCTGGTTTGCCATGGGAGTAGTTTCGTCCATAATATGGGGATGATGATTATATGTGCTTCATAGAGTTATTATGAAAAATTAAATGAAGTTCTTAGAACAGTGCTGGTATGCAGCCATGCATTCAGTTTAGCTTTAAACAAATCTACAGATGGCTAAGTTTCCAGATCCCAACTTTCGAATATACTCTTTTGAAAAGCTAGATTATGGTTTTGATTTGCATTTCTCTGATGGCCAGTGATGATGAGCATTTTTTCATGTGTTTTTTGGCTGCATAAATGTCTTCTTTTGAGAAGTGTCTGTTCATGTCCTTTGCCCACTTTTTGATGGGGTTGTTTGTTTTTTTCTTGTAAATTTGTTTGAGTTCATTGTAGATTCTGGATATTAGCCCTTTGTCAGATGAGTAGGTTTATTCACGATAGCAAAGACTTGGAACCAACCCAAATGTCCAACAATGATGGACTGGATTAAGAAAATGTGGCACATATACACCATGGAATACTATGCAGCCATAAAAAATGATGAGTTCATGTCCTTTGTAGGGACATGGGTGAAATTGGAAATCATCATTCTCAGTAAACTATCGCAAGAACAAAAAACCAGACACCGCATATTCTCACTCATAGGTGGAAATTGAACAATGAGATCACATGGACACAGGAAGGGGAATATCACACTCTGGGGACTGTTGTGGGGTGGAGGGAGGGGGGAGGGATAGCATTGGGAGATATACCTAATGCTAGATGACGAGTTAGTGGGTGCAGCGCACCAGCATGGCACACGTATACATATGTAACTAACCTGCACAATGTGCACATGTACGCTAAAACTTAAAGTATAATAATAAAAAAAAAGAAAAAGAAAAGCTAGATTATAGAGCTAATCAGAAGGGGGAAGGGTACTGACCCTCTCTTTTAGAGTTTGAGCTGTCCCAGGATTCTGCCATATATTCTAATGTTTTCTGTCTCTCTTGTTGCAAGGAAAATATGAAAAAAATTGTTAATTAATTTTCAAAAATTCCCATTGTGAACATATTCAAACCAGAAAAATATATTCATATACCCATCCGCTAGATTTACCAATTATTGTTTTGCCACATTTGCCTCATCTATTTTTCTGAAATCTTTTAAATTACAAGTATATGGCATTTCACTTGTAAATACTTCAGTATATAATACATCTTTGAAATAGTAAGACATTTCTTATATAATTACAATACCATAAAATGAATAACTTCCTAATTCCCTAACACCATCTCATAACACATCCATATTTTGATTACCCTGCTTGTGTCCAATATATATATATATATATTTAATATTCTAAGTTCTGGGGTACATGTGCAGAAAGTACAGTTTTGTTACATAGTTATACACATGCCATAGTGGTTTGCTATACCCATCAACCCGTCACCTACATTAGATATTTCTCCTAATGCTATCCCTCCCCTAGATCCCCACCCCTCAACAGGCCCCAGTGTGTGATATTCCCCTCCTTGTGTCCATGTGTTCTCATTGTTCACCTCCCGCTTATGAGCGAGAACATGTGGTGTTTGATTTTCTGTTCTTGTGTCAGTTTGCAGAGAATGATGGTTTCCAGTTTCATCCATGTCCCTGCAAAGGACATGAACTCGTTCTTTTTTATGGCCGCATAGTATTCCATGGTGTATATATGCCACGTTTTCTTTATTCAGTCTGTCATTGATGGGCATTTGAGTTGGTTCCAAGTCTTCGCTATTGTGAATAGTGCCGCAATAAACATATGTGTGCATGTATCTTTATAGTAGAATGATTTATAATCCTTTGGGTATATACCCAGTAATGGGATCGCTGAGTCAAAATGGTATTTCTGGTTCTAGATCCTTGAGGAATCGCCACATTGTCTTCCATAATGGTTGAACTAATTTACACTCCCACCAACAGTGTAAAAGCATTCCTATTTCTCCACATCCTCTCCAGCACCTGTTGTTTCCTGACTTTTTAAAGATCGCCATTCTAACTGGCATGAGATGGTATTTCATTGTGGTTTTGATTTGCATTTCTCTAATGAGCAGTAATGATGAGTATTTTTTCATGTCTGTTGGCTGCATATATGTCTTCTTCTGAGAAGTGTCTGTTCATATACTTTGCCCACTTTTTGATAGGGTTGTTTTTTTCTTGTAAATTTGTTTAAATTCTTTGTAGATTCCGGATATTAGCCCTTTGTCAGATGAGTAGATTGCAAAAATTTTCTCCTGTTCTGTAGGTTGCCTGTTCACTCTGATGGTAGTTTCTTTTGCTGTGCAGAAGCTCTTTAGTTTAATTACATCCCATTTATCAATTTTGGCTTTTGTTGCCATTGCTTTTGGTTTTTTAGACATGAAGTCTTTGCCCATGTCCTGAATGGTATTGCCTAGGTTTTCTTCTAGGATTTTTATGGTTTTAGGTCTTATGTTTAAGTCTTTAATCCATATTGACTTAATTTTTGTATAAGGTGTAAGGAAGGGGTCCAGTTTCAGTTTTCTGCATATGGCCAACCAGTTTTCCCAACACCATTTATTAAATAGGGAGTCCTTTCCCCATTGCTTCTTTGTGTCAGGTTTGTCAAAGATCAGATGGTTGTAGATGTGTGGTGTTATTTCTGAGGCCTCTGTTTTGTTCCATTGGTCTATATATCTGTTTTGGTACCAGTACCATGCTGTTTTGGTTACTGGAGCATTGTGGTATAGTTTGAAGTCAGGTAGCATGATGCCTCCAGCTTTGTTCTTTTTGCTTAGAATTGTCTTGGCTTTGCAGGCTCTTTTCTGGTTCCATTTGAAGTTTAGAGTAGTTTTTTCCAATTCTGTGAATAAAGTCAGTGGTAGCTTGATGGGGACAGCATTGAATCTATAAATTACTTTGGTCAGTATGGCCATTTTCACGATATTGATTCTTCCTATCTTTCAGCATGGAATGTTTTTCCATTTGTTTGTGTCCTCTCTTTATTTCCTTGAACAGTGGTTTGTAGTTCTCCTTGAAGAGGTCTTTCACATCCCTTGTAAGTTGTATTCCTAGGTATTTTATTCTCTTAGTAGTAATTGTGAATGGGACTTCACTCATGATTTGGCTCTATGTTTGTCTGTTATTGGTGTATAGAAATGCTTGTGATTTTTGCACATTGATTTTGTATTCTGGGACTTTGCTGAAGTTGCTTATCAGCTTAAGGAGATTTTGGGCTGAGGCGATGGGGTTTTCTAAATATACAATCATGTTGTCTGCAAACAGACAATTTGACTTTCTCTTTTCCTATTTGAATACCCTTTATTTCTTTCTCTTGCCTGATTGCCTTGGCCAGAACTTCCAATACTATGTTGAATAGGAGTGATGAGAGAGGGCATCCTTGTCTTGTGCTGGTTTTCAAAGGGAATGCATTCAGTTTTTGCCCATTCAGTATGATATTGGCTGTGGGTTTGTCATAAATAGCTCTTATTATTTTGAGATACGTTCCATCAGTACCTAATTTATTGAGAATTTTTATCATGAAGGGTTGTTGACTTTTGTCGAAGGTCTTTTCTGCATCTATTGAGATAATCATATGGTTTTTGTCATTGGTTCTGTTTATATGCTAGATTACATTTATTCATTTGAGTATGTTGAACTAGCCATGTATTGCAGGGATGAAGCCGACTTGATTGTGGTGGATAAGCTTTTTGATGTGCTGCTGGATTCGGTTTGCCAGTATTTTATTGAGGATTTCATGGATGTTCATCAGGGATATTGGCCTGAAATTTTCTTTATTTTGTTGTGTCTCTGCCAGGTTTTGGTATTCAGGAGGATGCTGGCCTCATAAAATGAGTTAGGGAGGATTCCCTCTTTTTCTATTGATTGGAATAGTTTCAGAAGGAATGGTATCAGCTCCTCTTTGTACCTCTGGTAGAATTCAGCTGTGAATCCATCTGGTCCTGGACTTCCTTTTGTTTGTGGGCTATTAATTACTGCCTCAGTTTCAGAACTTGTTATTAGTCTATTCACAGATTCGACTTCTTCCCGGTTTAGACTTGGGAGGGTGCATGTGTCCAGGAATTCATCCATTTCTTCTAGATTTTCTAGTTTATTTGCACCAAGGTGTTTTTAGTATTCTCTGATGTTAGTTTGTATTTCTGTGGGATCAGTGGTGATATCCCCTTTATCATTTTTTATTGCGTCTATTTGATTCTTCTCTCCTTTCTTCTTTATCAGTCTGGCTAGCGGTCTATCTATTTTGTTGATCTTTTCAAACAACCAGCTCCTGGATTCATTGATTTTTTTTGAAGGTTTTTTTATGTCTCTATCTCCTTCAGCTCTTCTCTGATCTTAGTTATTTCTTGTCTTCTGCTAGCTTTTGAATATGTTGCTCTTGCTTCTCTAGTTCTTTTAATTGTGATGTTAGAGTGTTGATTTTAGATCTTTCCTGCTGTCTCTTGTGGGCATTTAGTGCTATAAATTTCCCTCTACAGGCTGCTTTAAATGTGTCCCAGAGATTTTGATACGTTGTATCTTTGTTCTCATTGGTTTCAAAGAACTTCTTTATTTCTGCCTTAATTTTGTTATTTACCCAGTAGTCATTCAGGAGGAGGTTGTTCAGTTTCCATGTAGTTGTGCAGTTTTGAGTGAGTTTCTTAATCTCGAGTTCTGATTTGATTGCGCTGTGTTCTGAGAGACTGTTTGTTATGATTTCCATTCTTTTGCATTTGCTGAGGAGTGTTTTACTTCCAATTATGTGGTCAATTTTAGAATAAGTGCAAGGAGTTGCTGAGAAGAATGCATTGTTCTGTTGATTTAGGGTGGAGAGTTCTGTAGATATCTTTTAGGTCCATTTGGTCCAGAGCTGAGTTCAAGTCCTGAATATCCTTGTTAATTTTCTCTCATTGATCTGTCTCATATTGACAGTGGGGTGTTAAAGTCTCCCACTATTATTGTGTGGGAGTCTGAGTCTCTTTGTAGGCCTCTAAGAACTTGCTTTATGAATCTGGGTGCTCTTGTATTGGGTGCATATATATTTAGGATAGTTAGCTCTTTTTGGTGCATTGATCCTTTTACCATTATGTAATGCCCTTCTTTGTCTCTTTTGATCTTTGTTGGTTTTAAAGTCTGTTTTATCCGAGATTAGCATTGCAACTCCTGCTTTTTTTTGCTTTCCATTTGCTTGGTAAATATTCCTCTATCTCTTTGTTTTGAGCCTATGAGTGTCTTTGCAAGTGAGATGGGTCTCTTGAATACAGCACACCAATGGGTCTTGATTCTATCCAATTTGCCAGTCTGTGCCTTTTAAGTGGGGGAATTTAGCCCATTTACATTTAAGGTTAATATTGTTATGTTTGAATTTGATCCTGTCATTATGATTCTAGCTGGTTATTTTGCCCATTAGTTGATGCAGTTTCTTCATAGCGTTGATGGTCTTTACAATTTGGCATGTTTTTGCAGTGTCTTATACTGGTTGTTCCTTTCCATGTTTAGTGCTTCCTTCAGGAGCTCTTACAAGGCAGGCCTGGTGGTGACAAAATCTCTCAGCATTTGCTTGTCTGTAAAGGAATTTATTTCTCCTTCGCTTATAAAGCTTAGTTTAGCTGGATATGAAATTCTGGGTTGAATATTCTTTTCTTTAAGAATGTTGAATATTGGCCCCCATTCTCTTCTGGCTTGTAGGATTTCTGCAGAGAGATCTGCTGTTAGTCTGTGGTGGTCGTTTCTGTTTGTTATGTCTCTTTTTTTTTTAGCGTATTCATTTTCTCACCCTCCATTCTGGATTTGTTTGATTATTTCCTGGCGGTGTTTGAACTTATTCTACCTCTTATATGTTCTACCTCTTATATATCCTGTACACTAGAAATCAGAAATTAGATGTAAAGGCTTGATTAGATTTATGACATACATTTTTGGCAAGAATGTCTTAGGAATGACATGTAAAAAGGGGTTAATATTTTTTTAAAAACCAGTATGGGAAAGGGAGTAATATATATATTGAGTGCTTATACTATCTACTTTTAAATACATTGTCTCATTTACTCCTTACAATAGCTCTGAGCTATAGATGATATTATTCCTTTGTAGTAAAGGATCGCCCAACTATTAAGGAGCAAAGTGGCCAGGTGCAGTGGCTCATGCCTGTAATCCCAGCACTTTAGGAGGCCGAGGCAGGCGGATCACGAGGTCAAGAGATCGAGACCATTCTGGCCAACATGGTGAAACCCTGTCTCTACTAAAAGTAGAAAAATTAGCTGGGCTTGGTGGTGCTCACCTGTAGTCCCAGCTACTCGGGAGGCTGAGGCAGTAGAATTGCTTGAACCCAGGAGACGGAGGTTGCAGTGAGCTGCGATTGCGCCACTGCACTCCAGCCTGGCGACAGAGTGAGACTCTGTATCAAAAAAAAAAAAAAAAAATGGAGCAAAGTTAGCATTCAGAAAGAGAAGAAAATAAATCCAACAAGGCCCTTTACCTTTACTTAAACTTAAAAATTACTAACAAATCACTTAATGTCTGCGCCTCAGTCTCTGGTAAAGTAAGAGCAGCAAATTAACTTACTTCCAAAGTTTCTTATAGTTCCAACATTATTTGATCCTCACAATTGCTCAGGCTACTGTGTTTTTCATTTTAGGTAATGAGAGGTGTTCTTTATGCATCAGCTAACTTTTTTAATTTAAAAATTTCTTTATTTTTATAGATTTAGGGAGTACAAGTGCATTGTTTTTAAACAGATATATTGCACAGTGGTGAAGTCTGGGTTTTTAGCGTAACCATCACCTGAATAGTGTTAATTGTACACAATACGTAATTTCTTATCCCTCATCTCCCTCCTACCCTCCCACCTTTTGGAGTCTCTAGTGTCTATTATTCCATTCTGTTTGTCCCTGTGTGCACATTGTTTAGCCCCCACTTATAAGTGAGAATATGTAGTATTTGACTTTGTATTTCTGAGTTATTTCCTTAAGATAATGGCCTCTCTAGTTCCATCAATGTTGTGGCAAAAGACATGATTTCATTTATTTTTATGTCTGAGTAGTATTCCATGGTGTGTGTGTGTGTGTGTGTGTGTGTGTGTGTGTGTTTGTGTGTGTATACACACATTTCCTTTTTTATCCTTCAGCTTTTAAGTTCGGGGGCACATGTGCAAGATGTGCAGATTTACATGGGTAAACGTGTGCCATGGTGGTTTGCTGTACAGATCACCTCAACACCTAAGTATTAAGCCCAGCATCTATTAGCTATTCTTCCTGATGCTCTCCCTCCCCTCAACCCTCACCCCGACAGTCCCTAGCGTGTGTTGTTCCCTTCAACGTGTTCATGTGTTCTCATCATTCAGCTCCCACTTATAAGTGAGAACATGCACATACCACATTTTCTTTATCCAGTCATCCATTGGTGGACACTTAGGCTGATTCCGTGACTTTGCTATTGTGTATCTGCTAAGTTTTTAAAAATACATATATATATATTCAGGACAGGTAATAACTATTGGTCTTTCCAAAGTTATGACAGCCATATATCTAGGATTTTCTTGGACAACTCCAATATCAGATAATTTGTCCTGTCAAACATCTCAATTTTTTATTAGAAAAACTTGGTTAGGGTGTAAAACACCTCTGTATAGAAATATGTTTTTTTTTTAAGAGATAGAGTCTCACTATGTTGCCCAGGCTGGTCTTGAACTCCTCAGCCCAAGCAATCCTCCCGCTTCAGCCTCCCAAGTTGCTGAATCTACAGGCGTGCACCACCATGCCAGGCTCTTTTCTTTCTTTTTTTTTCTTTTTAAGGTGAGGGTCAGCTTTCACACTATTAGAAAAGGTGTTAGAAATAATAGAAAGTGGTAAATAACACCAGTAGAGTTCTCCCAGAAGCCAGCCAAGAGAAGAGAGTATTTTGATGAAGAGAGTGATTAAATTCTGTCACATGTTACTGATGAGTAAGATAGGATCAGGTCTGATAATTGACCAATTAGATTTAGTGACACAAAGGTCATTGGTAAACCAGGCACTGTACTCAGCACTTCATGTGTAGTATTTAATCTCCACAATAATCCCATGAAGTAGATGCTTAGTAGCCCATTTTATATACCAGAAGACTGAGGGTTCAGCAAGTTAACTTGCTCAAGGACAAAGGGCTAATAAGTGGTGGAACTAGGATTAAAATCTGCTTGAGACTCACTGTTCAATACAAGAGCCACTAGCTCCATATGGCTACTTACATTTACATTAAAATTAAGTTAAAAAATCAGTTTCTCCATCACATTAGTCACACTTCAGATACTCAGTAGTCACATGTGGCTTGTAGCTACTGTCTTGGATAGTGCAAACACAGAACATTTCCATCGTTGCAGAGAGTACTATTAGAGAGCAGTATTCCAGAGCCTGTGATCTTAATCACTACACCTAAAGCCTCCCAGTTGACAAAGTTACCACCTTTTTTTGGTGTGTGTGCACGTGCGTGTGTGTGTGTGTAAGTATATATAATTTAAATCATTCCATTAAATTTACCTCTGAAATTCAAAAGACTGAAACAGATCTTCTTTTTATCAAATAAGTTGATTGCAGAGATTATATTGGTGTTTACATTTCAGGCAACCTGCTCATGAAATTATCCATTGTAGAGAGAAACCTGGGAAACAAAGCTATACGTCCTTTAATTTTTTTCCCCATTTTCATTTAAAGTTCAGAAGAACATAATATGTTGGAATGATCAATGATTCTGAATTAATATAGATATTTGAATGTCACAGTATCTGTATATTAATATCCTAAAGTGGTGTTACTATATTGGTTAGGTTGACTGATTCATACATGTAAGTCTTTTAACACTCCTGGAGTAAGAGTAGCAAGAAACTGAAGCTATGATCCTTTTAAGGGTTTAAGTAGGTGAATACCTCACTTTTGTCTCTTCCATTACTAGTGTTTTCATGACCAAGTTTTTTACATCAGATTTATTATTTTGGACCCTTAAAGGAATATAAATTGCAAGAGAGATTTTGATCAGTGTAAGAATTACTAGATGGCCTTATTTATTTCCTTCTTTATTATTGTACTTCTTATCTTTTATTAATGTTTTCTTTCTCTAAGATATATTTGAAAGCCAGGCATGGTGACACACCCCTGTAGTTCCAGCTACTCAGGAGACTGAGGCAGGAGGATTGTTTGAGCTCAGGGGTTCGAGGCTATGTAGTACATAATCACACCTATGACTAGCCACTGCATTCCAGCCTGGGTAACATAGCGAGCCCCTGTCTCTTAAAAAACAAAAGATGTGGCCAGGCATGGTGGCTCACACCTGTAATCCCAGCACTTTGGGAGGCTGAGGTGGGCGGATCACTTGAGGTCAGGGGTTCAAGACCAGCCTGGACAACATGGTAAAACCCTGTATCTACAAAAATACAAAAAAAAAAAAACACAAAAAAATTAGCCAGGCATGTGGTGGTGGCAGGCGCCTGTAATCCCAGCTACTTGGGAGGCTGAGCCAAGATAATTGCTTGTACCCAGGAGGCAGAGGTTGCAATGAGCTGAGATTGCGCCACTGCACTCCAGCCTGGGTGACAGAGTGAGACTCTGTCTCAAAAAAAAAAGACATAATTTAAACTGCTAAATAGCTGCTTTCATTCCTATTTCATATCTTCTGTTTCCTTTTTACATTGTACCTATAATTGAGTTAGAGAATGTAACAATGTTTGTGAAATGTTAACTCAAGATTGTGTAGAATGAAAATTGAGTTTCGATTCAGGCTATACTTGGAAAGCTGCAACCTCTAGAATGTCACTGCAGTCATATAAAATCTAGAATGATGACTTTCTACCTCACAGTGGCATGTGGCATATGTAATAGTTGTAATGGATATCCAATTTTTAAAGGTAAATTGCTAAATATAGTATCTAGTTCTTTAAGTGTTAAGGAGAAAACATTCTTATCAAAGGAGGCTTTTACCTTCCACCTAAGTCATTTTGGCAGGCCTGCCTTTTCTTTCATTTAAAGTGATAAGTTCTGTAGTTGTCACTATCTTATTCATACCAACAATTTGGGAATCTGGATATATTTATAAATGCTCTTTGGCAAAGGTTATGTGCTCGTGACCAAAAAATCTGATACAAGGTGTTATGTGAATTTCATTCAATAAGCTCTCTAGTTACTTATCAAATTCACTGCATTTTTTCCAGCGTAGTTTGGGAAGAAAGAACCTTCAAATTTGAAAGTAGAGGCTTTTTGACCAGGAATATTAAATTTCTTTACTAAGAAGCTAGATTTATTTAAGCAATAAAAGGAATTTTTCATAGCTTTTTGAGTGGGTCATGTGGCAGTTAAGTATTCTGGTGATTTTATTTCCAGATATTACAAAACTCAAATTGAAAGTAATGGCAAGCAAAATATTTTTGAAACATGGCAAACCCCCTCCCTTACCCCCAGGCAAAGCCTTGATTATTTTTTTAGATATTTTATTTTCAAGGTTGAATTTCAGAATTAATTAGATGGGAATTTTTGTCAGCTTGCCAAATACTTTAAACTTCTAAGTAAATTAACTTAAACTTATAATTTATCATTAATTTTGTTTTATTAATTGAACTAGTCGTTTTAAAAGCTTAAACTAATTTAGATTGTGAGCTAGAATATAGACCTTGCTTTTCCCTGTGTATAAGCTTTTTCACTTATTTAAGGAAAAAAAAGTTTAGACAAAGAAAAGTAAAGGTACACATTTGGATGTAATTTAAATCTCATTTTGATGACTGTTGGCTTAGTGATTATAGATTCTGCTCCACTATTGTTTTCAATAATAGTGTTACTCTAGCAACTAATATAAATGCATGCTTTTACAGGATAAAACAAAAACCTTTCCACCAGTTGTGTTGTGTATTGGGATGAAATTTTCTTTATTAACTTTTATAACTTGCTCTGGACTTTGCAAAACTGTTTTTTCCCAAAGAAATAATCTGAAGATCCTGTTACAAATACTTTTTTGTCCCCTTAATTTCATTATTTGTTTCTTATATTGATAGTATGCTGCTATTAATTTAAAAGGGGAAGATTTAGAAACAGTTTGTATCAGAAATCCTATGTCTTTTTTTTCTCTTATTCATGTCTTACATAGCACTCTGGAGGAAAGAAAGACTTCTGCCTTCCTGCTTATGAACTACATAAATGATTTTCAATTTAAAAAACCAGTTAACTTACTTGCACGGTCTTTTCTTTGTTAAAATGAAAATTATGGAAAGCATGCTTATCTTTAGTCTTTGAATTTTTTGGCATAATCATATAAAGAAGTGATTGAAATACATTAAACTTTATTCATTAACCCTTGTTCGCAGATTTGGTAATAAAAACTGGAAGCAGTCTTAATGTTTTAATAAACTCTTAAGTAAGGGAATGATTAAATAGATGATAAAGTATAACTATATAAGCACTGTGCAGCTATTAGAAATGATGAAGGTTTGGATTTGATGTAAAATGATATCCACGGAAAGGTATTAAGAGATAAGAGTATGTTTCAAAACTACATATACTTCAATTCCATTTTTTTTCTTTCAACTTTTAAGTTCCAGAATACATGTGCAGCTTTGTTATGCAGGTAAATGTGTGCCATGGTGGGTTACTGCACAGATCATCCCATCACCCAGGTATTAAGCTCAGCATCCATTAGCTATTCTTCCTGATGCACTCCCTCCCCCAACCCCCCACAGGTGCCAAGTGTGTGTTGTCCCCCTCCATGTGTCCATGTGTTCTCATCGATCAGGTCCCACTTTATAAGTGAGAACATGTGGGGTTTGGTTTTCTGTTCCTTCATTAGTTTGAGAATAATGGCTTCCATCTCCATCCATGTCCCTGCAAAGGACATGATCTTGTTCCTTTTTATGGCTGCATAGTGTGTATATGTACCATCTGGTATATGTACCACATTTTCTTTATCCAGTCTATCATTGATGGGCATGTAGGTTGATTCCATGACTTTGCTTTTGTAAATAGTGCTGCAGTGAACATACGCATGCATGTATCTTTATAATAGAATGATTTCTATTCCTTTGGGTATATACCCAGTAATGGGATTGCTGGGTCAAATGTTATTTCTGCCTCTAGGTCTTTGAGGAATCGCCACACTGTCTTCCACAATGGTTGAACACCAACAGTATAAAAGTGTTATTTTTCTCCACAACTTTTCCAGCATCTGCTGTTTTTTGACTTTTTAGTAATAGCCATTCTGATTGGCATCAGATGGTATCTCATTGTAGTTTTGATTTGCATTTCTCTAACGATCAGTGATGATGAGCTTTTTTTCATATGTTTATAGGCTACAAGTGTGTCTTCTTTTGAGAAATGTCTGTTCATGTCCTTTGCCTACTTTTTAATGGGGTTGTTTCTTTCTCATAGATTTGTTTAAATGTCTTGTAGATTCTGGATATTATACCTTTGTAATATAGATAGATTGCAAACGTTTTCTTCCATTTTGTAGGTTGTCTGTTCGCTCTGATGATCGTTTCTTTTGCTGTGCAGAAGCTTTTTAGTTTAATTAGATCCCATTTGTCAATTTTGGCTTCTGTTGCAATTGCTTTTGGTGTTTTTCTCATGAAATCTTTGCCCATGCCTATATCCTGAATGGTATTGCCTAGATTTTCTTCTGGGGTTTTTATAGTTTGGAGTTTTACATTTCAGTCTGTAATCCATCTTGAGTTAAATTTTGTGTATGGTGTAAGGAAGGATTCTAGTTTCAGTTTTCTGCATATGGCTTGCCTGTTCTCCTAGCACCACTTATTAAATAGGGAATCCTTTCCCCATTGCTCGTTTTGGTCAGGTTTGTCAAAGAGCAGATGGCTGTAGGTGTGCAGTCTTATTTCTGGGTTCTCTATTCTATTCCATTCCATTGGTCGATGTGTCTGTTTTTGTACCAGTACCATGCTGTTTTGGTTACTGTAGGCTTGTGGTATAGATAAAATCAGGTAGCATGATGCCTTCAGCTTTGTTCTTTTTGCTTAGGATTCATTGGCTATTTGGGCTCTTTTTTGGTTCCATATGAATTTTCAAATAGTTTTTTTTTTCTAATTCTGTGAAGAATTGTCAGTGGTAGTTTAATGGGAATAGCATTGAATCTGTAAGTTACTTTGGGAAGTATGGCCGTTTTCACACTATTGATTCTTCCTATCCATGAGCATGGAATGTTTCTCTATTTGTTTGTATCCTCTCTGATTTCCCTGAGCAGTGGTTTGTTGTTCTCCTTGAAGAGGTCCTTCACTTCCCCCTTGCTAGCTGTATTCCTAGGTATTTTATTCTCTCTGTAGCAATTGTGAATGAGAGTTTATTCATGATTTGGCTCTTTGCTTGCCTGTTGTTGGTGTATAGGAATGCTAGTAATTTTTACACATTGATTTTATATCCTGAGAATTTGCTGAAGTTTCTTATCAGCTTAAGAAGCTTTTGGGCTGAGACAGTGGGGTTTTCTAGCTATAGGGACATGTCATCTGCAAACAAAGATATTTTGACTTCCTCTCTTCCTATTTGAATATACTTTATTTCTTTCTCTTGCCTGATTGCCCTGGCCAGGACTTCCAATACTACGTTGAATAGGAGTGGTGAGAGAAGGCATCTTTGTCTTGTGCCAGTTTTCAAGGGGAATGCTTCCAGCTTTTGCCCATTCAGTATGATATTGGCCATGGGTTTGTCGTATATTGCTCATATTATTTTGAGATATGTTCCTTCAATGCCTAGTTTATTGAGAGTTTTAAACAATGAAGGCATGCTCAATTTTATTGAAGATGTTTTTTGCATCTATTGAGATAATCATGTGGTTTTTGTGTTTAGTTCTGTTTATGTGATGAATCACATTTATTTATTTCCATATGTTGAACCAACCTTGCATTCCAGGGATGACGCCATCTTGATCATGGTGGATAAGCTTTTTGATGTGCTGCTGGTTTCATTCAGTTTGCCATTATTTTATTGAGGATTTTTTTGCATCAATGTTCATCAAGGATATTGGCCTGAAGTTTTCTTTTTTTGTTGTATCTCTGCCAGGTTTTCATATCAGGATGATGCTGGCCTCATAGAATGAGTTACGGAGGAGTCCTTCCTCTGTAATTTTTGGAATAGTTTCAGTATTCAGCTCCTCTTTGTACCTGTGGTAGAATTCGGCTATGAATCCATCTGGTCCTGGGCTTTTTTTGGCTGGTAGGCTATTTATTACTGCCTCAATTTCAGAACATGTTACTAGTCTATTCAGAGATTCAGTTTTTTCCTGGTTCAGTCTTGGAGGGTGTGTTTGTCCAGGAAATTGTCTGTTTCTTCTGGATTTTCTAGTTTATATGCGCAGAGGTATTTATATTATTCTCTGACGGTTGTTTGCATTTCTGTGGGGTCAGTGGGGATGTCCCCCTTATTTCTGATTTTATTTTTTATTTGATTTTTATTTTATTTGATTCTTCTTTCTTTTCTTCATTAGCCTAGCTAGCGGTCTAACTATTTTATTAATTTTTTTAAGAAACCACTTCCTGGATTCGTTGAATTTCTTTTGTTATTTTTTTTTTCTTAGGGGTTTTCCATGTCTCTGTTTGCTTCAGCTCAGCTCTGATCTTAGTTGTTTCTTGTCTTCTGCTAGCTTTGGGGTTTGATTGCTCTTGGTTCTCTAGTTCTTTTAGTTGAGATGTTTGGTTGTTAACGTGAAATCTTTCTAGTTTTGTTTTGTTTGTTTGTTTGTTTGTTTGTTTGTTTTGAGACGGAGTCTCACTCTGTTGCCCAGGTTGGAATACAATGGCACGATCTCAGCTCACTCCAACCTCCGCCTCCTGGGTTCAAGGGATTCTCCTGCCTCAGCCTCCCAGGTAGCTGGGATTACAGGTACCTGCCACCACGCCTGGCTAATTTTTTGTATTTTTTAGTAGAGATGGGGTTTCACCATGTTGGCCAGGCTGGTCTCGAACTACTGACCTCAAGTGATCCACCCGCCTCAGCCTCCCAAAGTGCAGGGATTACAGACGTGAGCCACTGTGCCCAGTCTTTCTAGCTTTTTGATGTGGGCATTTTAGTGCTATAAATTTCTCTCCCAGAGATTCTGATGTGTTTTCTCTTTGTTCACATTAGTTTCAAAAAATTTCTTGATTTCTACCTTAATTTCATTATTTACCCAAGAGTCATTAAGGAGCAGGTTGTTCAATTTCCATGTAGTTCTGTGGTTTTGAGTGGATTTCTTATTCTTGAGTTCTAATTTGATTGCGCTGTGGTCTAAGAGACTGTTATGATTTCAGTTCTTTTGCATTTGCTGAGGAGTATTTTCCTATTATGTGATAAATTTTAGAGTATGTGTTGTGTGGCAATGAGAAGAACGTATATTCTGTTGTTTTTGGGTGAAGAGTTCTGTAAATATCTATCAGGTCCACATGATGCAGAGCTGAGTTCAGGTCCTGAATATCCTCGTTAATTTTCTGTCTCAATGATCTAATATTGTCAGAGGGGTGTTAAACTCTCCCACTATTATTGTATGGGAGTCTAATTCTCTTTGTAGGTCTCTAAGAACTTGCTTTATGAATCTGCTTTAGCATCATCGTGATGCTAGCTGGTTATTTTGCAGACTTGTTTGTGTGGTTGCTTCATAGTGTCACTGGACTGTGTACTTCAGTGTTTTTTTTAGTGGCTGATAATGGTTTTTTCTTTCCATATTTAGTGCTTCCTTCAGGACCTCTTGCAAGGCAGGCCTGCTAGTGATGAATGCCCTCAGCATTTGCTTGTCTAAATGGGATCTTATTTCTCCTTTGCTTATGAAGCTTGGTTTGGCTGTATATGAAATTCTGGGCTGGAATTTCTTTTATTTAAGAATGTTGAATATTGGCCCCTAATCTCTTCCGGCTTACAGGTTTTCCACTAAGAGGTCTGCTGTTAGTCTGATGGGCTTTCTTTTGTGTAAGTGACCTGGCCTTTCTCTCTGGCTGCCCTCAACATTTTTTCTTTCATTTCGACCTTGGATAATCTGATGATTATGTGTCTTGGGGTTGATCTTCTCGTGGAATATCTTACTGGGGTTCTCTGCATTTCTTGAATTTGAAATTTGGCCTGTCTTGCTAGGTTGTGGAAGTTCTCCTCGATGATATCCTAAAGTATGTTTTCCAGCTTGGTTCCACTCTCCCTGTCAGTTTTAGGGACCCCAGTCAGTCGTAGGTTTGGTCTCCTTACATAATCACATAATTCTCAGAGGTTCATTCCTTTTCATTCTTTTTTCTCTATTCTTGTCTGCCTGTCTTATTTCAGAAAGATAGTCTTCCAGCTCTAAGATTCTTTCCTCACCTTGGTCTCTTCTGCTATTGATAGTTTGCATTGTGAAGTTCTCATGTTGTGTTTTTCAGCTCCATCAGGTTGGTTATGTTCCTCTCTAAACTGGCTATTCTTGCTATCAGCTCCTGTATTGTTTTATCGTGATTCTTAGCTTCTTTGCCTTGGGTTAAAACATGCTTTTTTTTAGCCCAGCGATATTTGTTATTACTCACCTTCTGAAGCGTATTTCTGTTATTTCATCCTTCTCAGCCTCAGCCCAGTTCTGTGCTCTTGCTGGAGAGGTGTTGCAGTCATTTGGAGAAGAAAAGGCACTCTGGCTTTTTGAGTTTTCAGCATTTATGCATTGATTGTTTCTCATCTTTGTGGGCTTATCTACCTTTGATCCTTGAGGTTGCTAACCTTTGAATGGGTTTTTTTTCGGGGCCTTTTTTTGTTGTTGTTGACATTGCTGCTGTTGTTTTCTGTTTGTTTGTTTTTCTTTTAACAATCACGCCACCCTACTGTAGGGCTCCTGTGGTTAGCTGGGGGTTTGCTCCAGACCCTAGTTTCCTCGGCTTCTCCAGCACTTGCAGGAGGCGGCTGGCAACCTGCACTGGAAGATCTCACCCAGTCAGGAGGGATGGGATCAGGGACCCACCCAATGAAGCAGTCTGGTTGCTTCTTGGTAGAGCAGGTGTGTTGCACTGGGGTGGACCCTTTTCTTCCTCTGTACCACCTGTATTCTCCATAACCAGCAAGCTGAAATGGCTGATTTAACGGAAGCACAGAGATGGCCGCTGGCCCTCCCCTGGGGAGCTCCCTCCCATGGAGAGATCAGATCTCTGTCTGCAGGAGTGGGTCGGGACCTGTCAAAGAAGCAGTCTGGCTACAATCTGGCAAGGCAGCTGCGCTGTGCCTTGTGCGGGGAAGGAGGGGGTGCTCCTTGTCTGGGTGGTCTGCACTCTCCACAACGGGGAGGCTGGAACAACTGAGTCCCCAGAAACCACAGAGATATCAGCCGCCCCCCACCCCCCCACCACCCCCAGCTCCCTCCCAGCGAGAGATCAGATCTCTGACCCTGCATGGGAAGTCCTGCTCAGTTTGGAGTGGGTCCGTCTGGTTGAAGAAGCAGTCTGGCCCCCTTATCTGGCAAGGCCACTGCACTGCGCTGTGGGCGGCCCCTCCTCCTCTGGGCCGTGTCCACTCTTCACAGCTGGCAGGCTGTATTGGCTATTTCCCCTGAATTGCAGAGATGGCGACCGCCCCTCCCGCTGGAACTTGGTCTTGTCTCAGGCGGACTTCAGCCCTCTGCTGTTGGCTAGCTGAGATTCCAAGCCAGTGGGTCTTAGCCTGTGAGGTGCGATGGAAATGGGGCCTGCCGAGCCATGCTGCTTGGCTCCCTGTATTCAGACCCCTTCCTAGGGATGTATATGGATGGATTTTATGCCTTGGCGGGGATCCCGGGGCAGGAGCATGCAGAACTCCCAGATCTCTGTGTGCGCCTGAGCTGCTGTTTTGCTGAGACTCCACACAGCTCTGTGTATCAGACCCAAGGTCCTGGTGGAATGGGTTCACAACAGGATCTCCTGCTCCGCATGTTGCAAAGATCCATGGGAGAAGCGTGGTGGCTTCCTGAGCGGGTTGCACAATCACTCACTGCCTCCCCTGGCTGGGGGTGGGGGTTCCTTTTGCTCCACGTGGCTCCTGGATGGGCCGTAGCCCTTCTCCTTGCTCTCCATGCTTTTTGCCTATTCAGTCCCAATGTGAGAACCTGGATATTTCATTTGAAGGTATTGGATTCATTCACCCCTTTTCATGCCTCTCTGTGAGTGCCACAGACCACAGCTGCTTCTCATCAGCCATCTTGCCCTTTGTCCAGTTCCATTTTTATGCAAAGGTGTGTGTGTGTCAATGTGTGGAGGAATAAAATAAAAAATGGTACTGGTAGTTATTTCCTGGTTTTGTAATTGGATGTTAGTATTGTTTGCATTTCTTTGTTTTGTTCGGTTCTTTGAAAAGAGGATTATAGTAGCCAGGATGGAGGTAATGTTTTAGGCAAAAAATCTGAAACTTTTTAAGATAGAAAACAAACAAATTCACATGTACTTTTCCTGTGACTTACATTGGCATTTCAGTTGACTGTAAGTCAAAAGGAAAGTTATTGCATCATTAGAGGCTGAACCTTCACCATAACCTGACCTTAGACAGTCATGTCTGACTTGATAGGATAGGTTTTAAATCTGGAATTAGTGGGGTGAATACGTTAAAGGGGTTTAGAAATGGCGTTTCTCAAAATAAGTGTCTCCTGAAGATGAAAATGGTAAAATAGTGCGTGGTATTATTTTCAGGCATAGTATAAGCCTGAACTGGCCTTTCACAAGTTTGTCTTGAGACTTGTCATTGTTTCAGTTTTTATGTTTTCTTTTATTAAATTAACATGCTTGTTTTAAAAAGTTCAAAAAGTACAAAAGTACTTTTAGGTTCAGTGGCTCATGCCTGAAATCCCAGCACTTTGGGAAGCCGAGGCAGGTGGATCACTTGAGGTCAGGAGTTCGAGACCAGCCTGGCCAGCTTGGTGAAACTCCATCTCTACTAAAAATACAGAAATTAGCCATGCGTGGTAGCGAGTACCTGTAGTTCCAGCTACTCAGGAGGCTGAGGCAGGAGAATCGCTGGAACCTGGGAGGTGGAGGTTGCAGTGAGCACTGTATTCCAGCCTGGGCAATAGTGAGACTCTGTCTCTAAATAAATAAATAAAAGTTAAAAAGTGCTAAAAGTAAGAAAATAGACATAAGTTCCCCCTCCCCTGGAATCTTTCATTGAATTACCTTTTTTTTTCTAAGGGAATAGTTCTGGGAAGTAGAGGAACTGTATCTCAATAAAACAGACATTCTTTGTGGTGTGATAGAATCATCACTGCATAGGAGCCAGGAAATTTAGTTTCCAGTCCCAGGTAGTCCTTAGCTGTATAATCGGAAAAAGTTACTTTGCCTCTTTGGGCCTCAATTTCTACTAATTCTATGATGACACAGTTGGACTTAGAAATTTTAGGATGCTAAGGACTGACTTAATAAAGCTTTCCTGGTATCTCAGACATTTTTTAAAAGGCTGTATATGAGTTTGTGTATATGTGTATGTGCACATGCATTTCTGGAAAGGCTTCCCCTCCAACCATTAAATATATAATTAATGTTATAAATTGTGTTGTTTATAATTGAGAAATAAATACCACACTTGACAATGTCTATTTCCAAAGAATTGGGTATTTTTGTGCTTTTGTTTATTCCTGGTATTTTCATATCATCCTGTTACACACGTGAGCAGAGAATGTGTGTATCATCCATATTTAATTTACAGTCATAGCTAGACTAAGTTATTATCCAATGTTATTGAAAGAATCAGTAGCACAGATAGAAATGAATTAGTTCCTAGTATACAGTTTTCTTGGCCTTTCTCTTAACCAGTTTGCTTTCTTAGAGAAATGAACTGATCTGACTATGATTAAGATCATTTATTGCTAGACAGAAGTAAAATTAGAGATTATCCATAGAACATTTTAATCTTGTAATTTATTTGGTGTGTTGTAGAACACCTGACTTTTCTCATTGTATTTGGTAAATGTGTTAAAAATGTTAAGTCAGTGTTATCTGGTTTTATTTTATCTCTTGAGTCATGTTTGGCATGTATGTGTTGGGGGGGTGGGCATAGGAGTTACACATTTAAGAAAGCCCTATCTTTTAGTAGAATAAATTAATGCAGATTGGCCTGTCTTCCTGCCTGCCTGGTCAGTAACAGTGGACTTTGGAGATTGATCTAGTGATGATAAACCTATTGTATGTGGCATAAGCCAGAGAAGTCAGCTTCGATAGCAAGTTTCTACATTGGCGTGAGAGAGAAGCATTTAGTTAACATTTCAAAGTAACTAAGCCTGTTAGCATCCATGTATTCTATCAGTAGACTTTATTGAGTCCTGTCATTTGTATGGTCTTTTATTGTTTTTTGTTTTCAACAAAGGAAATAGCACACACATACATCTCAAAATGGATTATACCTGTTGTAATCTCAGTATTTTGGGAGATCAAGGTGGGAGGATCACTTGAGGCCAGGAATTTGAAACCAGCCTGGGAAACATACTGAGATCCTATGTCTACAAAATTTTTAAAATTAGCCAGGTACAGTGGTATGCACCTGTAGTCCTAGCTACTCGGGAGGCTGAGGCAGGAGAATCACTTGAGCCCAGGAGTTCAAGGCAGCAGTGATCTGTGATCAAACCACTGCACTCCAACTTGGGTGACAACATGGGACCCTATCTTAAAAAAAAAAAAAAAAGAATTATAAAGTCTCTATTATGGTTGTATCTATTAAGAATATCAGTTCTGTTAAGAAAGGAAATAATTGTTTCAAATGTTTATTGGGGTAGCAAGATAAAAAGTTGTTTACAAGATATTAAATATCAGAATATTTGGAATTAGTGTCAGTATTTGCTATTATATAGAAAAAAAACCTGGGGCCTCATGATTTGAATTTTTCATCTTGAGTTATTTAATGCACATTTGAGTTCTTACCACTTTTTGGACCCTATACTCAAGGTGTGTAAAGGCATAATTATTTTCAAATGTGGGCTTTGTCTATGCAAAAATTTATGAGTGCATTAAGCATCACTAGGTGCAGATTAAATTTGAATTCAGTGTGCTGTATGTATACCTCCACTACTTTCATTTGATCAGAAATGCACAATTTAGAAAGTGTGTTCTAGGAAAACTTGTTAAAAGCTATGGAAAATCCTTCTGTAAAGTGAATTAATTTGCCTTTTATAGATCCAGGTTTTCATATGTGATTTCTTAATGAACAACTTGTGAATATTTTAAATTTATTAAAAGTAACATATCTGTAATTCACTTTAAACCCCCACCCCATCTATCTTTGTGTCTCACTCTCACAGTCATAATTAAACAGAGCAGGAGTTTAGTTGTTCTTACTGAGTATATAAATGATCCCAATTTTTAAGCTTTTAATTTTTTAATCTTAAAAGACTGGCTTAAGATACCATGATTTCTTTAAACTATATATACTATGATAATAAATTGAAAAATGTATATCAATTTAAATTTGACCCATGGGTCTTTACAGTGTAATTTAACATTTACATTCCTGCAGTTGGAATATAAGGGCTATATGTTTCAGTTAAACTCTCCTATAACTGTTTAGATTAATTTAGATTAGTTTTTTGTTAATATAGTGGTTGGCAGTTGAAATGATTGTGAAAATAAAGTTGTTTATGATGTATAAATAGGAGTAGCCTTGATTTCTAGCACAGGCATCCAATATAGTCACTAATTTAAGCAGACTTATGTTAGCATTTATCAACTCAGAATTAAGCACAAAATAAAATGCATATAAAAAATGTTAAGTTGGTGGAAAGACCTTGAAATCTGAAAAGTGGTAATTAAAAAACAATGGAATGCCTAAACCATACTGTATAAACATGAAAGTCTTACATAAGAGGCTGGTGTTACATGTTTTGCTGCTGTTTTTTAGGTAATCTGTCATATATATCAGAAATATATATAGCAATCAGGTTTTAGTTTCTAGTACAGTTGACCATAGAACTATGGAGATATTATACTGTCCAGAGGGGAAAAATAATTGTCTCTTATTTCAACCCCTCTAAACAGGATACCATACTTGCAGAGCTCCTTCAGATACATAAAGAACACATTGTAGGATACCATGAACATGATTCTCTTTTGGACCACAAAGAAGAAGAAGAGTTGACTGAAGAAGAAAGAAAAGCAGCTTGGGCTGAGTATGAAGCAGAGAAGAAGGTAGTTGATGCAAAATGTGTTTTTGTTTTTGTTATGTTAGTGATTTGAAAGAGCAATGAAGAAGAAAAGGGTCACATTTGAAACAGGTAATAATAATATAGTGGGTTTTAGGAACACATTCCCCAATTACAAGAATCTCTTTATGGGTTGGTTTCAGCTACCTTTAGTGGTAGAGTAGGAGGAGAAGACAGAAGAAAACAGTTTACACTTAAAGAGTAGTAATCCCATTTCTGCCTAGTATTTGTTGAATTGAGAAATGAGTGGGAAGCCATATATTTAGCATCACTAACCTCCCATCAGTACCCTCTCTGTAGTAACAAACATACAGGAGCTTAGTGTTTGGAGGTTGTAGTAAATGTAGCTTTGCATGTATACCATGAAATCTAAATTTTGGCTGAATATCAGAACACAAAAATATTTCATTATTAGACATTAATGCCATTTGCTCCAGCAGCAACTTTATTTAAGATCATTCTATGTCTGTTTTAAACATCAACCCACTTGAGCAAAAATGTGCCTGAGCATGGGAAACCTTATCCTAATACCTGAATCCTTTTCAAACTCCTAACTTATTGTACCAAACTTCTTTAACATTAGTGTGATGTTCAGAGTCTCATCAGAATTCTTTGAGTTGCCCCCATTCTGTGGGAATTATCAGAAAAAAAAAGTACACCTTTAGGGGTTAAAGCTTTCCTTGTAATAAGATCTTGGTTTCGGGTGAAAAGGGTGTTTTGTTTGTGTGTGGAAGAGTGTTAATAATTTCCTGGATCTGAGAATGTGGATTCTTTTCTAAACCAGTAGGTGATGTAGAATTTCAAGTTTTAAATCACAATGTGAAAAGTGCATAATTTTTTTGTTTTTAGGGACTGACCATGCGTTTCAACATACCAACTGGGACCAATTTACCCCCTGTCAGTTTCAACTCTCAAACTCCTTATATTCCTTTCAATTTGGGAGCCCTGTCAGCAATGAGTAATCAACAGCTGGAGGTGAGTTGTGAAGTACAAAAGTAGTTTGACATGAATTAAAGGCAATTTCAAGTGCCTTGTTGTTGAGGGTTCCCTATGCAGAAATATCACATTCTCCAAAAGATTACCCCTGAATAGACGAATAAATTTTTGTTTTATTTGTTGACCGTTTTGAACCAACATGATGTTGTAAAATGTGGTTTGTTCAGAGCACAAAGGAATCAGTCGGTGAATTAATGTAGTTTGAATTATTTTAATTAAGAAACAATAGGGCTGCTGACTCGCTTGGGAAATAGCACCTTCTTCAGTTATAAAATAGTTATAATAAATTGCTATCTTACTGTTTGAAAGTAAGATAAATATACTCATTAACTTCTATTCTAGTGCATTATAGATGCACAATTAAATATATAATGCCCAATATTATGAAATAAATGATTTAAAGCTAGAATCAATTGTAAATTAAATAGGAAAGACTGGGTTTTTATTATACCAATAATGACTTAATTGAATCTGAAACACATTATAAAATGTGCTTATGGATTCTTCTGCATTATTAAATTATTGGTGTGATAAAACTCAAACTTTTTTAATCTTCCTAACAAGACTCTTTGAGCATTGATATGGTTTACTCCACTTTATTGATACTGAATTTTGCTGTTCTCTTCAATTATTTAAAGAGTTTTAAAACCGACTGCTCTAAGTTGGCAAATGGAAGGATTCCCTATACTTTAACACTATGCTGTCTTTCTGCCTTATATAACTTATTTCTTGCATTCTTCTAGGACCTCATTAATCAAGGAAGAGAAAAAGTTGTAGAAGCAACAAACAGTGTGACAGCAGTGAGGATTCAACCTCTTGAGGATATAATTTCAGCTGTAGTAAGCTAATTGGCAATTGTCTTATTCCAACCTCCAATTTGTACCCTCCACCCCCTACTGCCATTTTTTTAAATTTTTAATTGTTCCTTCTTATAAATTGATTTGCAATAGTAAAATACTGGTAAAATGGATGGATAATGCCAAACCGTAACCCAGCAATTTTACATAGATGTTGGCACAAGAGAGAAATGGGTAAAATGTAAGAATTGAGAAATCAAACATGGAAATGTATGCATTGTTTATATAAACATTTTAATTACCAGTTGTACAAATTAAATCTAAATTATTGTTTCATTCCAGAGATAGCCAGCCCAGGTACAGCAGTGAACAACTTAGTACCCTGTTTTGCATCATGTTTTTCTTCAGAAAAGAATAAAGGAAAAGGGGGGTTTGAAACCTTGGGAAATCCCGAATATCTTAAAATACCTTAATTATTTTTCCTCAATTGTACAGTAATAAGGAGTAAATAGAAAATTTTTCTTTTAGTGGAAGGAGAACATGAATCTCTCAGAGGCCCAAGTACAGGCGTTAGCATTAAGTAGACAAGCCAGCCAGGAGCTTGATGTTAAACGAAGAGAAGCAATCTACAATGATGTATTGACAAAACAACAGATGGTAAGAATTCTGACGTCTGACTATTTCTAGGTTATGTTTAATTTTCTTGACTTTATAATAAGTTTGTATGACATCTACGTCAGTAATTATTCCTACTATGGAGGGATGGATAGTCATTGATAATTCTGGAAGAAATGTAAAAAACCCAGGAATGTCAAGTAAAAGTAATATATTTTGTTACAAAAATGCAACAGCTACCTAAATGGGAATCCTTGAAGTTTACATATGATCTAGTCCATATAATTTTATTTCTCATATATTCTGGACATCTACGTAGGAATTTTTGCCAGAGTTTTACCACATTTGCCAATTGTATTTTATTTAACTTTTAATTTTTGTGAGTATATAATAGGTATATATATTTATGGGGTACATAAGGTATATTGATACAGGTATACAGTGCATAATAATCACATCAGGGTAAAGGATATCTATCACCTCAAGCATTTATCCTTTCTTTGTGTTACAAACAATCCAGTTATACTCTTCTAGTTATTTTTAAATGTGCAATAAATTATTTTTGACTGTAGTCACCCTGTTGTGGTATCAAATACTAGATCTTATTCATTCTAACTATACTTTTGTACCTATTAACCATCCCCCATTACCCCACTCCCTGCTACCCTTCTCAGCCTCTGGTAACTACCATTCTACTCTCTTATCATCATGAGTTCAATTGTTTTAGTTTTTAGCTTCCAGAAATAAGTGAGAACATATGAACTTTGTCTTTCTATGCCTGGCTTATTTCACTTAACATAATGATCTCCAATTCTATGCATGCTATTGCAAATGGCAGTATCTCGTTCTTTTTTATGGCTGAATAGTACTCCATTGTATATATGTACCACATATTCTTTGTTTATTCATCTGTTGGTTGATACTTAGGTTGCTTCCAAATCTTAATGTTGTGAACAGTGCTACAATAAACATGAGAGTGCAGCTACCTCTTCAATATACTGATTTCCTTTCTTTTGGGTATAGGCCTAGCAGTGGGACTGGTGAATCATATAGTACCTCTGTTTTTAGTTTTCTGAGGAACCTCCAAACCGTTCTCCATAGTGCTTGTACTAATACACGTTACTAACAACAGTGTACACAAGTTCCCTTTTCTCCACATCCTCACCAATATTAGTTATTGCCTGTCTTTTGGATAAAGGCCATTTTAACTGGGGTAAGATGATATTTCATTATCTTTTTTGTTTGGTTGGTTGGTTTTGTAGAGACGGGGTCTCACTATATTTCCCAGGCTGGTCTCAAACTCTCGGGCTTAAACGATCCTCTGACCTCAGCCTCCCAAAGTGTTGGGATTACAGGCGTGAGTGACCATGCCCAGCCTCTCATTGTAGTGTTGATTTGCATTATCTAATGACTGATGATGTTGAGTGCCTTTTCCTATGCCTGTTTGCCATTTGTATGTCTTCTTTCGAGAAATATCTATTCAGATATTTTGCCCATTTTTAAATCTGATTATTAGATTTTTTTTCCTATGCAGTTGTTTGAGCTCCTTATATATTCTGGTTATTAATCCCTTGTCAGTTGGATAGCTTGCAAATATTTTCTCGCATTCTGTGGGTTGTCTCTTCGCCTTGTTGATTGTTTCCTTTGCTGTGCAGAAGCTTTTTAACTTAGTGGTATCCTGTTTGTCCATTTTTTATTTGGTTGCCTGTACTTGTGAGATATTACTCAAGAAATCTTTGCCAGTTCAATGTCCTGGACAGTTTGCCCAGTGTTTTTCTGTAGTAGATTCATAGTTTGAGGTCTCAGATTTAAGTCTTTAATCCATTTTGATTTGAATGTTGTATATGGCAAGAGCTTGGGGTCTTCTTTCATTGTTCTGCGTATGGATATCCAGCTTCCACAGCACCATTTATTAATGAGACTGTCCTTTCTTCAATGCATGTTCATGGCACCTGTGCAAAAAATGAGTTTACTGGTGTGTGGATTTGTTTCTGGGTTCTCACTTCTGTTCTCTTGGTCTGTGTGTCTGTTTTTATGCCAGTACCATGCTGTTTTGGTTACTGTAGCTCTGTAGTATCATTTGAAGTCAGGTAATGTGATTCCTCCAGTTTTGTTCTTTTTGCTCACTACAGCTTTGCCTATTGTGGGTCTTCTGTGGTTCCATGAAAAGTTCAGAATTTTTTTTTTGTTTCTGTGAAGAATGTCATTGGTATTTTGATAAGGATGCATTGTATCTATGGATTGCTTTGGGTAGTATGGGCATTTTAACAATATTAATTTATCCAATCCATGAACATGGAAGATCTTTTCATTTTTTTGTACCCTCTTCCATTTCTTTCATCAGCATTGTGTAGTTTTCATTGTAGACATCTTTCACTTCTTTGGTTAAGTTTATTCCTAGGTATTTAATTTTGACTGTGGCTACTGTAAATGGGATTACTTTCTCAATTTCTTTTTCAGATTATTCACTGCTGGCATTTAGAAATGCTGCTGATTTTGTATGCTGCCACTTTACTAAGTTTGTTTATCAGTTCTAAAATATTTTTGGTGGAGTCTTTAGGTTTTTCCAAATACCAGATCATAACATTTGCAAACAGGATAATTTGACTTCTTCTTTTCCAACTGGGATGCCCTTTATTTCTTTCTCTTGTCTGATTGCTCTAGCTATGACTTGCAGAACTATGTTGAATAACAGTGGTAAAAGCTGGCATCCTTGTTGTGTTCCAATTTTTAGAAGAAAGTCTTTCAGTTTTTCCCCATTGAGTACGATACTGGCTGTGAGTCTGTCAATATATGGCTTTTATTGTGTTGAGGTATGTTCCTTCTATAACCGTATTTTGAGGATTTATATCATGAAAGGATCTTGAATATTATCAGATGTTTTTTCAGCATCAGTTGAAATTATCATACAGTTTTTGTCCTTCATTCTGTTATTTGATGTATCACATTGATTGATTTGCATAGTTAAATCATCCTTGAAGCCCTTGGATAAATCCCACTTGGTCATGTTCAACAACACCTTTTTAATGTGGTGTTGAATTGTGTTTGCTATTATTTTGTTGAGAATTTTTGCATGAATGTTCATCTCAGATATTGCCCTGTAGTTTTCTTTTTTTGATGTGTTTGTCTGGTTTTGGTATTAAGGTGTTACTGGCCTTATAGAATGTGTTTGAAGTATTCCCTCCTCCTCTACTTGTCACAGCAGTTTGAGGAAGATTGGTATTAGTTCTTCTTTAAACGTTTGGTAAAATTCAGCAGTGAAGACATTGGTTTCCAGGCTTTTCTTTGCTGGAAGACTTTTTATTACAGCTTTAATCTCGTTACTTGTTACTGCTCTGTTCAGATTTTGGATTTCTTAATGTTTCAATCTTGGTAGATTGTATGAGTCTTGGAATTTATCCATTTCTTCTAGGTTTTCCAATTTTTTGCATGTAGTTTGTCATAGGAGCCTCTAATGATCCTTTGAATTTCTTTGGTAACAGTTTTAATATCTACTTTTTGATCTCTGATTTTATTTACTTGAATCTTCTCCTTTTTCTTAATCTGGCTAATGGTTTGTCAGTTTTGTTTATCTTCTCAAAAAACCAACTTTTTATTTATTTCTGTGCTGATCTTTATTATTTATTTTACTAATTTGGGGTTTTATTTTCTTTTGTTTTTCTAGTTCTTTAAGATGCATTGGTAGGTGTTTGTTTTTTTTTTCTTTTCTGATGCACGCACTTAGAGCTGTAAACTTTCCTCTTAGTAATGCTTTTGCTGTATCCCATAGGTTTTTGTATGTTGTGTTTCCTTTATCATTCGTTTTAAGAAGTTTTTCAGTTTTTTTCTTAATGTTTTCTTTGACCCACTGGTCATTCAGGAGCATATTGTTCAATTTTCATGTGTTTATATAGTTTCAAAAATTCCTCTTGTTATTGATTTCTAGTTTTATTCCATTGTGGTCAGAGAAGAAACTTGATATGATTTCATTTGTTTGAATGTTTTAAGACTTGTTTTGTGGCCTAATATATGGTCTTTCCTTGAGAATGATTTATGTGCCAAGGAAAAGAATGTATATTCTGTGACCATTGGATGAAATGTCCTGTAAATATCTATTTGGTCTATAGTGCAGAATAAGTCCGTTGGTTTTTTTTATTGATTTTCTGTCTGGATGATCTGTCCAATGTGTAAAGTTGAGGTGTCGAAGTCTCCAGCTATTATTATTTTGGGGTCTGTCTCTCTATTTAGCTCTAATAATATTTGCTTTTTATATCTGGTGCTCCAGTGTTGGGTGCACATATATTTACAATTGTTGTATCTTGTTGCTGAATTGACCCCTTTATCATTATATAATGACCATCGTTGTCTCTTTTTATATTTTTTGTCTTGAAATCTGTTTTGGCTGATGTAAGTATAGCTAGTCCTGCTCTTTTTTGGTTTCCATTTTCATGAAATATCTTTTTTCATCCCTTTATTTTCACTGTATATGTGTCTTTATAGGTACAATGTATTTCTTACAGGAAACAGATGGTTGGGTCTTTTTTAAAAATCCATTCAGACACTATATGTCTTGATTGGAGAGTTTAGTCCATTTATATTCACTGTTATTCTGTTTTTAAACTTTCATTTTAAGTTCATGGATACATGTGCAGGTTTGTTATATAGGTAAATCTGTGTCACGGGTTTGTTGTACAGATTATTTTGTCACCCAGGTATTAAGCCTAGCACCCATAAGTTATTTTTCCTGATCATCTCCCTCCTCTCAGCCTCCAACCTCTGGTCAGCCCCAGTGTCTGTTATTGCCCTCTATGTGTTCATGTGTTCTCATCATTTAGTTCCCACTTTTTAGTGAAAACATATGGTATTTGGTTTCCTGTTCCTGCATTAGTTTGCTAAGGATAATGGCCTCCAGCTCCATCCATGTTCCTGCAAAGGACATGATCTTGTTCTTATTATTAGGTTTATAGAAGATATTAATAAAATTAAATAAATAGATTGACAACAGTCTTGAAAATGTGTGCTGAGATCTGGGCTCAGCTTTACAAGCCGAGAATGAGAAAGTAGATTTTTGATCTCTGAGATTTCTAATAGTTGAGTCAGCTACTGTTGGAATGAGAAAAGCTCTAGTTGTCTATAACATGTTGAATTTGTCAGACTCTTTGTGATGAGCTGCGTTCAATAAACCAAATGCAGAGGCATTAGTAGCAGGCTATGGCTCTGCTAGCTGAGGTTTGGAAATCACAGGATGCAACGCCTCAATTTTTGCTGTGGAACTTGATAATGGGGCATTCCGTAATGAATGCCGTATGAGGGGACGTGAGTATGAGTAGGCAGAGGGCACATGTATCTAGAGCTTCAGTCACTGTAGGTATCAGGAAGAAAGGCACATTTAGAATACACCTTTACACACGTGGATTTTTTTTTTTCACCCCTCCTGAACTTTTTCTTTATTTTTATTTTTTATTTCCACATTTTCTTTATCCAGTCTACCATTGATAGGCATTTAGCTTTATTCCATGTTTTTGCTTTTGTGGATAGTGCTGCAATGAACATATACGTGTGTCATTATAATAGAACAATGTATGTTCCTTTGAATTTATACCCAGTAATAGGATTGCAGGGTTGAATGGTAGTTCTGTTTTTAGCTCTTTGAGGAACTACCACACTGCTTTCCACAATGGATGAACTAATTTACACTCCCACCAGCAGTGTATAAGCATTCCTTTTTCTCTACAACCTCACCAGCATCTTTTGACTTTTTAATAATGGCCATTCTGACTGGTGTAAGGTATCTCATTGTGGTTTTGATTTGCCTTTCTCTAATGATCAGTGATGTTCAGCTTTTTTTCATATGATTGTTGGCCACGTGTGTGTTTTCTTTTGCAAAGTGTCTGTTCATGTCCTTTGCCCACTTTTTAATGGGGTTGTTATTTTCTTCTATATTTCTTTAAGTTCCTTATAGATAATGGATATTAGTTGCTAGATGGATAGTTTGCAAAACTTTTCTGCAATTCTGTAGGTTGTCTCTCTACTCTGTTGATAGTTTCCTTTGCTGTGCAGAAGCTCTGCTGTGCAGAGTTTAGTTGGATCTCATTTGTCCATTTTTGCTTTTGTTGCAATTGCTTTTGGCATCTTCATCATGAAATCTTTGCCCATTCCTATATCCAGAATTATATTGCTTAGGTTGTCTTCCAGGGTTTTTATAGTTTTCGGGTTTACATTTAAGTATTGAATGCATCTTGAGTTGATATTTGTATATGGTGTGTAAGGAGGGGGTCCAGTTTCAATCTTCTCCCTGTGGCTAGCCAATTACCCCAGCACTGTTTATTGAGTAGGGAGTCCTTTTCCCATTACTTGTTTTTGTCAACTTTGTCAAAGATCAGATGGTTGTAGGTGTGTGGCCTTATTTCTGAGCTGTCTATTCAGTTCCATTGGTCTGTGTGTCTTTTTGTACCAGTACCACACTGTTTTGGTTACTGTAGCTCTGTAGTATAGTTTGAAGTTGTATAGCATAATGCCTCCAGCTTTGTTCATTTTGCTTACGATTGCCTTGGCTATTCAACCTTTTTTTTGTTGTTCCATATGAATTTTAAAATAGTTTTGTCTAGTTTATGAAGAATATCATTAGTAGTTTGATAGGAATAGCATTGAATGTATAAATTGCTTTGGGCAGTATGACCATTTCAACAATATTGATTCTTCCTATCCATGAGCATGGAATGTTTTTCCATTTGTTTTGACATCTCTAATTTCTTTTAGCAGTCTTTTGGAGTTCTCATTGTAGAGACCTTTTACCTCCCTGGTTAGCTGTATTCCTAGGTATTTTATTCTTTATTGTGGCAGTTGTGAATGGGATTGCATGCCTGATTTGCCTCTTTGCTTGACTTTTGTTGGTGTATAGGAATGCTACTGATTTTTGTACATTGATTTTGTACCCTGAGATATTGCTGAACTTGTTTATCAGCTTAAGAAGCATTTTGGGCCAAGACTAGAGTTTTCTAGATACAGAATCATGGCATCTGCATACTGTGATAGTTTGACTTTCTCTCTTCCTATTTGGATAACCTTTATTTATTTCTGTTTCCTGATTGCTCTGCCCAGGACTTCTAATACTATGTTGAATAGGAGTGGTGATAGAGGGCATCCTTGTCTTGTGCCAGTTTTCAAGATGAATACTTCCAGCTTTTGCCCATTCAGTATAATGTTGGCTGTGGGTCTCCTCCTGGCGGAATTCCAGAGGCCCGAGGCAAGAGCCAGTTGCTTCTTGCCACTTCAACTCACTCATTCCCCTGGAGTTCTTGTGGGCCAGGAATGAGTCCTGGTGTGCGGTAGCCCCATTCAGGGTTCCCAGCTTCCTCCTCCAACCAAGCTTCTGTTTCTTCCCTCCGCCCACTCTCATTGCCTTCTCTCTGAAGATCTGTTAGGAGTGTGCCAGTCATCCTTGTCTTTCGGTGGCAGCTTTTCCACCTTGCTGCATCTAGTCATCCATCTTGCCCAACCCCATTATTCTTTTTTTTTTTTTTTTTTTTTTTTTGAGACGGAGTCTCGCTCTGTCGCCCAGGCTGGAGTGCAGTGGCGCAATCTCAGCTCACTGCAAGCTCCGCCTCCCGGGTTCAGGCCATTCTCCTATCTTAGCCTCCTGAGTAGCTGGGACTACAGGTGCCCGCCACCACGCCCAGCTAATTTTTTGTATTTTTAGTAGAGACGGGGTTTCACCGTGTTAACCAGGATGGTCTCAGTCTCCTGACCTTGTGATCCTCCCGCCTCGGCCTCCCAAAGTGCTGGGGTTACAGGCGTGAGCCACTGTGCCCAGCCTCCAACCCCATTATTCTTGATAAGTTAGGACTTACTCCTGCCATTTTGTTATTTGTTTTCTGGTTGTTTTGTGATCCCTGTCTTCCTTCTTTTCTTCCTATCATCCTTTTAGTTAAAGCAATTTTCTGTGGTTGTATGTTTTAATTTCTTTTATTATTATTTTTTTGAGACGGAGTTTCACTGTGTTGCCCAGGCTGGAGTGCAGTGGCATGATCTCAGCTTACTGCAATCTCTGCCTTCCCGGGTTTGAGCGATTCTCCTGCCTCAGCCTCCTGAGTAGCTGGAATTATAAGCACCCGCCACCATGCGCAGCTAATTTTCACATTTTTACTAGAGACAGGGTTTCACCATGTTGGCCAGGCTGGTCTCGAACTACTGACCTCAGGTGATCCATCCACCTTGGCCTCCCAAAGCGCTGGGATCACAGGCCTGAGCCACCGCGCCCGGCATGATTTCTTGCTTATAGTTTTTTGTTTATCTGTTGTATGTTTGTTTTTTTGAAGTTACCATGAGGCTTGCAAATAATGTAATGCATCATTTTAAGCTGATGATAACACTGATTGCATAAACAAGCAAACAAAGTAACAAACAAGCAAAGAGAAAACTAATGTTCTATTGCCAGTGAGTTTTATACCTTCATGTAACTTTTCGTTGTTTGTTAACATCCTTTTCTTTCAGATTGAGAAACTCCCTTTAATATTTCTTGTAGGACAGGTTTGATATTGAAATTCCTCAGCTTCTGTTTGTGTGGGAAAGTCTTTATTTCTCCTTCACATTTGAAGCATATTTTCACCAGATATGATGTTCTAGGGTAAAAGTTTTTTGTTTGTTTGTTTGTTTGTTCCTTCACCCCTTTTAAATATCTCATGTCACTCTCTCCTGGGCTGTAAGTTTTCTACTGAAAAGTCTACTGCCAGATGTATTGGAGCTCCTTTGTATGTTATTTGTTTCCTTTCTCTTGCTGCATTTAGTATACTTTCTTTATCCTTGACCTTTGAGAGTTTGATTATTAAATGGTAGGAGGTAGTCTTCATTAGGTTAAATCTGCTTGGTGTTCCATAACCTTCTTTTTCTTGAATATTGATAGTTTTCTCTAGGCTTGGGGAATTCTCTGTTGTTGTCCCTTTGAATAAACTTTATACCCCTATCTGTCTCTCTGCCTCCTCTTTAAGGCCAATAACTCTTAGATTTGCCCATTTGAGGCTATTTTCTAGATCTTGTAGATGTGCTTCATTGTTTTTTGTTCTTTTTTCTTTTGTCTCCTCTGATGGTACATTTTCAAATAGCCTGTCTTCAAGCTTACTAATTCTTTCTTCTCCTTGATCGGTTCTGCTATTAAGAGACTCTTAATACATTCTTCAGTATGTCAATTGCATTTTTTGACTCCAGAATTTCTGCTTGATTCTTTTAAATTATTTCAATATCTTTGTGAAATTTATCTGATGTGATTATCAGTTTCTTCTCCATATTATCTTGAATTTCATTGAATTTCCTCAAGACAGCTCTTTTGAATTCTCTGTCACATATATTCACATGTATCTGTCTCTCTAGGATTGGTCCCTGAGGCCTTATTTAGTTCGTTTGGTGATGTCGTGTTTCCTGGATGGTCTTGATGGTTGTGGACATTGATTCGTGTCTGGGCATTGAAGAGTTAGGTATTTATTATAATCTTTGTAGTCTAGCCTTGTTTGTACCCATCCTTCTTGGGAAGGCTTTCTAGGTATTCAAAGGGAGTTGGATATTGTGATCTAATGGTCACTGCATCTGTATCTGCATTAGAAGGCATCCCAAACCGGGTAATGCTGTGACTCTTGTAGTCTTGGAGACTCATAGAGGTACCGCCTTGGTGGTCTTGGATAAGATCTGGAAGAATTGTCTGGATTACCAGGCAGAGACTCTTGTTCTCTTCCCTTACTTTCTCCCAAACAGAATCTCTCTCTGTCTGTGCTAAGCTGTCTGGAAAGCTGGTGGAGAGGTGACACAAGCACCCCTCTGGCTCCCTTCACGGGGACCACACTGGGTTAGACCTGAAGCCTGCATAGCAATGGGTCTCACCCAAGATCCACAGTAACTACTGGCCTCCGCCTTTGTTTGCTCAAGGCTCTAAGGCTCCACATTCATCAGGTGGCAAAGCCAGCTCCTCTTGTGTCCTTCCCTTCTGGGCTGCAGATTTCCCCCAGCCCTAGGCCGATCCCAAGATGCTATCTAAGATCCAGGGCCTGGAGTCAGAATCTTTAGGAATCTGCCTGGAGCTCTATTCTACTTCGGCTGAGCTGGCACCCAAGCCATAAGACAAAATCTTTCTACCCTTCCCTCCGCTTTTCACAAGCAAAGGAGTCTCTCCCTGTGACCACTAGCACCCCAGGCCCACAGCAGGTATTGCCTGGCTACTGCTGATGTTCACTCAGGGCCCAAGGGCTCTTCAGTCAGCTTGTGTTAAATGCTACCAGGACTACGTCTCTCCCTTCTGGGCAGTGGGCTCCCCTCCAGCCCAGGGAAGGTCCACAAATGCCATCCAAAAGCCAAGGCCTGGAATTAGGGTCCCCGAGGGTCTGCTTGGTACCCTAGCCCACTGTGGCTGAGCTGGTACCTAAGCTGTATGTCAAAGTTCTCTTTACTCTTTCGTCTTCTTTTCTCAAGCAGGAGTCTCTTCCCATAGTGTCCACAGCTGGGAATGTGCTATGTCACACCTGAAGGTAGCATGTCTCTGAGTCTCACTGAAGGCCCACTGCAAGTACTGCCTGGGTACCACTGCTGGTTATTCAGGGCCCAAGGGCTCTTCAGACAACAGATGTTGAATCCTGTCAGGATTGAGTCATTTCCTTCAAGAGAATGAGTTTCCTCTGGCCCAGGTTATGTCTGGAAATGTCATCCAGGAGCTAGGGCCTGGAACAAGGGCCTCAGGACTCTGCCTGGTGCCCTGTCCTACTGTGGCTGACGTGATATTCAAGCTGCAAGACAAAGTCTTCTTTACTCTTCCCTCTCCTCTCCTCACCTCAAGCAAAAGGAAAGAGTCTCTCCTGGAGCTGTGAGCTGTGCTGCCTGGGGTTTGCGAAGGTGTGGCACAAGCAATCTCCTGGCCACCCTGGCTGGTGTCTCACTAGGTCATGTGCCCCCCCCCCCCGCCCCCCGTCCACTGGCTTTCAGCCCAGCACAGTACAGGACTTGGACTCTTGGTGGCCTAGATTGCCTTTCAGGTTTATTTAGGCCCCCAGAACTCTTTAGTCCACAGTGGCAAAGCTTGTCGGAACTCGGGTTCTGCCTGCTGGGATAGGTGATTTCCCTCTGGCTGTGGCTGGTGTAAATGCTCCCTCTGTGGGTGCCAGCTGAGTTCTGCCTGGTGTTTCTTTTCACTGTGACAGGGCAGCCCTGAGTTCCAATGCAGAGTCCCATAATCACTGTACTCTTTTCCTGCAAGCACATAGATTCTCTCTCCCTGCCACACGGCTGCTGCCAGGGGATGAGTGAGGGGTGGCATTGGCAGTTCAAGACTGTCTTTCCTACCCCCTTTAGTGCCTCTTTCAGTGATATGAAGTTAAAATCTGGTACAGTGATTGCTCACCTGATTTTTGGTTCTCATGAAGGTGATTTTATTGCAGATAGTTTTTCAATTTGCTGTTCCTTCGGGGAGGACGATCAGTGGAGGCTTCTATTCAGCCATCTTGCTCTGCCTCCAGTCACATTTGCCATTGTTAAACAACCTCGAAATAGTAGTATACTTATCAGTGTGTTTAATTTGAGAATAAAAGGTAGAGCTATGGATGATACATATCAAAGGTTCCTACTAAGTTATATAATTCTTTAAAAGGGTACTGTATTCCAGGATCCTTGATCATGTTTCCCAACACAGTCGTTTGCCAGCCTTCTGCCTTATACTTGGAAATTTCTACGCTTGACACCAGGGAATCTATTTCTGTGGCATATATTTTACTTAGAAAGCACTGCAGGGTTATGTGGTTTTACAATATATTAGTACATTTGAGATATTCCTGGTCAGAATTATTCCTACTGCAAGTGCCTTTCCCTTTGGTGTTTGTCACTAAAATGTTTGTCTGTCATCATGTGAAATATTCAAAAGAATGACAAAGAAAGGAGTCTTAACAAAAAGTGTTGTAACTAATACTTGAGACTAATCACAGTACAGAACACATTACTATGGCAACTAAGCTAAATGCTGCTTGCAATATAATAGTCAAGACATTAAGAGAATTTAGCCCTAAATGATCTTACTAACTGGTTTCTACAGTAATGGTCCTGTGAATGCCATCACATTAGTAATGGTGTTAACAATAATGTGTTTTCCTTTTGGTATGGTACCCCCTTAACAAATTGATTTTAAGTCAAAACTTGATACCTCTTTTGAGACAGGTCATGCACTTGTAATGACTCCCATTTTTTCTCTATAGTTAATCAGCTGTGTTCAGCGAATACTTATGAACAGAAGGCTCCAGCAGCAGTACAATCAGCAGCAACAGCAACAAATGACTTATCAACAAGCAACACTGGGTCACCTCATGATGCCAAAGCCCCCAAATTTGATCATGAATCCTTCTAACTACCAGCAGATTGATATGAGAGGAATGTATCAGCCAGTGGCTGGTGGTATGCAGCCACCACCATTACAGCGTGCACCACCCCCAATGAGAAGCAAAAATCCAGGACCTTCCCAAGGGAAATCAATGTGATTTTGCACTAAAAGCTTAATGGATTGTTAAAATCATAGAAAGATCTTTTATTTTTTTAGGAATCAATGACTTAACAGAACTCAACTGTATAAATAGTTTGGTCCCCTTAAATGCCAATCTTCCATATTAGTTTTACTTTTTTTTTTTTTAAATAGGGCATACCATTTCTTCCTGACATTTGTCAGTGATGTTGCCTAGAATCTTCTTACACACGCTGAGTACAGAAGATATTTCAAATTGTTTTCAGTGAAAACAAGTCCTTCCATAATAGTAACAACTCCACAGATTTCCTCTCTAAATTTTTATGCCTGCTTTTAGCAACCATAAAATTGTCATAAAATTAATAAATTTAGGAAAGAATAAAGATTTATATATTCATTCTTTACATATAAAAACACACAGCTGAGTTCTTAGAGTTGATTCCTCAAGTTATGAAATACTTTTGTACTTAATCCATTTCTTGATTAAAGTGATTGAAATGGTTTTAATGTTCTTTTGACTGAAGTCTGAAACTGGGCTCCTGCTTTATTGTCTCTGTGACTGAAAGTTAGAAACTGAGGGTTATCTTTGACACAGAATTGTGTGCAATATTCTTAAATACTACTGCTCTAAAAGTTGGAGAAGTCTTGCAGTTATCTTAGCATTGTATAAACAGCCTTAAGTATAGCCTAAGAAGAGAATTCCTTTTTCTTCTTTAGTCCTTCTGCCATTTTTTATTTTCAGTTATATGTGCTGAAATAATTACTGGTAAAATTTCAGGGTTGTGGATTATCTTCCACACATGAATTTTCTCTCTCCTGGCACGAATATAAAGCACATCTCTTAACTGCATGGTGCCAGTGCTAATGCTTCATCCTGTTGCTGGCAGTGGGATGTGGACTTAGAAAATCAAGTTCTAGCATTTTAGTAGGTTAACACTGAAGTTGTGGTTGTTAGGTTCACACCCTGTTTTATAAACAACATCAAAATGGCAGAACCATTGCTGACTTTAGGTTCACATGAGGAATGTACTTTTAACAATTCCCAGTACTATCAGTATTGTGAAATAATTCCTCTGAAAGATAAGAATCACTGGCTTCTATGCGCTTCTTTTCTCTCATCATCATGTTCTTTTACCCCAGTTTCCTTACATTTTTTTAAATTGTTTCAGAGTTTGTTTTTTTTTTAGTTTAGATTGTGAGGCAATTATTAAATCAAAATTAATTCATCCAATACCCCTTTACTAGAAGTTTTACTAGAAAATGTATTACATTTTATTTTTTCTTAATCCAGTTCTGCAAAAATGACCTATAAATTTATTCATGTACAATTTTGGTTACTTGAATTGTTAAAGAAAACATTGTTTTTGACTATGGGAGTCAACTCAACATGGCAGAACCATTTTTGAGATGATGATACAACAGGTAGTGAAACAGCTTAAGAATTCCAAAAAAAAAAAAAAAAAAAAAAAAAAGAAAACTGGGTTTGGGCTTTGCTTTAGGTATCACTGGATTAGAATGAGTTTAACATTAGCTAAAACTGCTTTGAGTTGTTTGGATGATTAAGAGATTGCCATTTTTATCTTGGAAGAACTAGTGGTAAAACATCCAAGAGCACTAGGATTGTGATACAGAATTTGTGAGGTTTGGTGGATCCACGCCCCTCTCCCCCACTTTCCCATGATGAAATATCACTAATAAATCCTGTATATTTAGATATTATGCTAGCCATGTAATCAGATTTATTTAATTGGGTGGGGCAGGTGTGTATTTACTTTAGAAAAAATGAAAAAGACAAGATTTATGAGAAATATTTGAAGGCAGTACACTCTGGCCAACTGTTACCAGTTGGTATTTCTACAAGTTCAGAATATTTTAAACCTGATTTACTAGACCTGGGAATTTTCAACATGGTCTAATTATTTACTCAAAGACATAGATGTGAAAATTTTAGGCAACCTTCTAAATCTTTTTCACCATGGATGAAACTATAACTTAAAGAATAATACTTAGAAGGGTTAATTGGAAATCAGAGTTTGAAATAAAACTTGGACCACTTTGTATACACTCTTCTCACTTGACATTTTAGCTATATAATATGTACTTTGAGTATAACATCAAGCTTTAACAAATATTTAAAGACAAAAAAATCACGTCAGTAAAATACTAAAAGGCTCATTTTTATATTTGTTTTAGATGTTTTAAATAGTTGCAATGGATTAAAAATGATGATTTAAAATGTTGCTTGTAATACAGTTTTGCCTGCTAAATTCTCCACATTTTGTAACCTGTTTTATTTCTTTGGGTGTAAAGCGTTTTTGCTTAGTATTGTGATATTGTATATGTTTTGTCCCAGTTGTATAGTAATGTTTCAGTCCATCATCCAGCTTTGGCTGCTGAAATCATACAGCTGTGAAGACTTGCCTTTGTTTCTGTTAGACTGCTTTTCAGTTCTGTATTGAGTATCTTAAGTACTGTAGAAAAGATGTCACTTCTTCCTTTAAGGCTGTTTTGTAATATATATAAGGACTGGAATTGTGTTTTTAAAGAAAAGCATTCAAGTATGACAATATACTATCTGTGTTTTCACCATTCAAAGTGCTGTTTAGTAGTTGAAACTTAAACTATTTAATGTCATTTAATAAAGTGACCAAAATGTGTTGTGCTCTTTATTGTATTTTCACAGCTTTGAAAATCTGTGCACATACTGTTTCATAGAAAATGTATAGCTTTTGTTGTCCTATATAATGGTGGTTCTTTTGCACATTTAGTTATTTAATATTGAGAGGTCACGAAGTTTGGTTATTGAATCTGTTATATACTAAATTCTGTAAAGGGAGATCTCTCATCTCAAAAAGAATTTACATACCAGGAAGTCCATGTGTGTTTGTGTTAGTTTTGGATGTCTTTGTGTAATCCAGCCCCATTTCCTGTTTCCCAACAGCTGTAACACTCATTTTAAGTCAAGCAGGGCTACCAACCCACACTTGATAGAAAAGCTGCTTACCATTCAGAAGCTTCCTTATTACCTGGCCTCCAAATGAGCTGAATATTTTGTAGCCTTCCCTTAGCTATGTTCATTTTCCCTCCATTATCATAAAATCAGATCGATATTTATGTGCCCCAAACAAAACTTTAAGAGCAGTTACATTCTGTCCCAGTAGCCCTTGTTTCCTTTGAGAGTAGCATGTTGTGAGGCTATAGAGACTTATTCTACCAGTAAAACAGGTCAATCCTTTTACATGTTTATTATACTAAAAATTATGTTCAGGGTATTTACTACTTTATTTCACCAGACTCAGTCTCAAGTGACTTGGCTATCTCCAAATCAGATCTACCCTTAGAGAATAAACATTTTTCTACCGTTATTTTTTTTCAAGTCTATAATCTGAGCCAGTCCCAAAGGAGTGATCAAGTTTCAGAAATGCTTTCATCTTCACAACATTTTATATATACTATTATATGGGGTGAATAAAGTTTTAAATCCGAAATATATACTGTGTCAAAGCTCAATATGTGCCAGGTAACTAAACTGTTAACATCACTAGCGTTGGATGTAATAACAGGATAGTGGCTCACCCCCAAGAGCTGCCATAAAATTCCATTATGATAGGTACTACCACCGTCTCTTTGGAACAACCTTCCTGACACCATTGTGCCACTAAACTAAGGGAATCATCCTTCCTCGCTTTCTAGGGATCTTTTTGATAGCGACTGTTGCACACACCTTCACCAAGAAAGAGAGCATATAAATTGAGGCCATTAGTAAAGATAAGGATACAACTATAATTGAAAGAATGAAGGAGTGAGGCAAATCCTAAAATACTGCAGGCAGGCCGTCTTTAATACAGCATATCACAAGCAATCTCTACCCAGCAACACTCCCCCACATTAAGTTCCTGAACATTCTACCCTTCTCTGATAGAAACATGTAAGGGATGAGGGAGCTTGGCTGTAATCTTCAGCTTTGCAAATACAATGACTATTAAGAGACTTTCCTATTAAGTATACCCAGGTCCATCCCTATGCTCCTTGTGTCGTATATGTGTTGTTTTTCAAGAAAGGTGAAGAAAGATGGCTTATATGCAAGGATGGGATTTGTTTTAGTTATATGGGGAGAAAGTATAGTACTGAAAGAGAGCAAAGAAGGATCGGGAAAGAGACTAAATTGGAGTGGATTGATGAAGAGCCTTGAAATCCTGAATGAGTAATTCAGTACAGAGGATAACAAGGGTTTGTGAGGCAGATGATAATGTTTAGCAAGTAAAGATGGCTATTTGGGTGAGGGTAATTTGGTTTAGAATGCAAGGTGGAAGATTGGAGACAGGAAGATAATTGGTCCAAGTATGAAGGACAAAAGAAAAAAAAATCATTAGAGGCTGTATAGGATAGTGAACTTTTACAATGATACTTATAATAAAAACCTGTTATTTTACTTTCCCCCTAAGGAGGCTTTGTTTCAGAATTTTGATTTTTACACACAAAATTCACTTACTCTGATTACTCTCAAACATAATGGTATGTTCGTCAGCGACATTCCTATTCTTTCTCAATTTTTTTTGTACTCCTTTACATTTGCAGAAAGTGAGATTGGTCCATTGAGTGTAATTCTACTTCTTTCCTCAAGCCAATTCTTAAAAAAGTGAAATCCAAATATTTCTGTTACATTTCTTTGAGACCCATTCATTCAAAGTGCTAGTAGCTTTGTGGGTAATGTTATATTTATAAGCTTTCCTTAGTATTTTCAACGTGCTTTGTAGTTATCGTGTTAACCCTATACACAACGTATCTGTGAGAGAAGTGAAAATAATGCCATTTTCCTTATGACAAGTTATAAGTGAAACCAAAATCAAATCTGTTGCACTTAAGGAGGCAGAAGACATAGTCTAGTTAGTTAAATTTTCCAGGTCTTTCATATCTAATTTGAGAAAAATGGGACAATAATAATACCTTGCCTGCTAGAAGGCAGGGGACTAGACCAGGTGATTTCCTAAGTCCTGTTAAGCTCCCCGAGTTAAACTTTGAGCAAAGCACAGTCTAAAGCCAAAAGGCAATGTGTTTGTCTAAGATTACAGGGTAAATTTGTAAACAGTACTAGAAATCCCTTCCCTTTGGCTAACCCTCTCCCCTACTAAGCTATACCTTTTCTTTCCCTCTGTGTAGAAAAATGAGAGGTCTGACAGACATTTTAATGACAAAGCAGGTAAGTTAAGTTGTAATTGGCTCTAATTACAACTTCCACTAGCTGTAACCTTTATCTTTTGCCCAGAGGCTCTCCCAGAGCTTCCTACTGCCTTTGAAACTCATTGCAGAAAATGAAAAAAACATGTTTAAGGATCTGATTCTTGTATCTTGATTGGCTGATCGGGTTACAAACATGACAAAACATCAAGGAAAATATAGATCAGCTTTGTGAAGCCCACTTTTAAGCAAATAATTGGTGATTTACCACTCTTGTTTATAACTGTAAAGCCAAATTAGACCAATGTTTAAATTGTCTGGTCTGGAAAAAGTTTATAGTGAGTAATAGGCAATATTTGTTTATGTTGACTCCTGTGTAACTACATGGAACACCTTTTGAGATGTAGGTTTTATAGTCAAATTATGTGACAAAAACTAAGAAAACTAATAGATGAGTTTTATTTTTTTCTGTAGCTGCTTGTCCCCACATGCCAATAACAAAGCAGGTAGACACACTAGCCTATTGAATACATTCAATGAAAACAAAACCAAACTTAAGGTGAGAGGGGGACGTGGTTTACAACTATTTGAGGTCTTATTAGTTTATTCCCAACTCTTAGTAAGTTTTCAACAATACAGCATGGAGAGGTTGGGCTTCAAAGGCTTTAGCAATGTGGCTGGCTTGGATCTAATTATCCTTCTTAACAAAGTAAACCTTTTATTCTATTAGCAACTTTTCTGCCCTCTCTTCCCACGTCTTGCACACACTATCCCTGAATATGCTGAGTTCAAACGAAGTGCCTGCCTGCGATTTTTTCCCCCTTTACTTCTCCAAAGGATCTTTCCCCAACTGTAGCCCCCTGTCACCTCCCCACCCCACCACACACACCCCTTATATTCTGATGCCTAAGTGTGTGAGGTCGGGAGGACTTGTAGAACCTTAGAATGCCAGGGATGGTAGGGGTCTTAGAGACCATGTAGCCCAGGCCCCTACCTTTACAATCAGGAAGACAAAGTCCCAGAGAGGGGAAAAGGTGCCCTAGGGCACTCATGTCTTCTAGCTTTTATTCCAGTTCTCATTCCACTCCATTCAGATGCCTCTTACTGCATTTAAATTCTAATTCATTTTCTTCAATCCGCCAGACCGCATTAAGCAAATTTTCAGAATAATGGGTACTGAATGAACTAAGCTTTAAAATGAGAAATGTTAGTGAGAAGTAGAATATGTAAACCAAAATGAAAGGGAAACATTCTTGTGATAACTGTAAAACAGGAAGCCCCCTGACAAATCCCCTAAACCTTTAATTTGGCATCCAGTATATGGGCTTCAGGATTTTGTTTCAGAGGGATATTTAATTTCTTTAAATGGTTCTTTCACCACGCTCAGCATGGTTTAGGCCAATAGGATCTAGAAGCTCTGTTCTATTTTCTGGATCTCAGTATCCAGTGACAAGGATAGAATCATTCAGCCTTCCTTAGACCAGGCAAGTTTATGCACCGAGTACTTTAAAATCCTCTATTTCAAATGAGAAATGATGATATATTCACAAGAAAACAAAATAGAAAGCTCTGTGTTAGTATAGTGATCTCTGTCAGAATAAGGGTGACTGTTATTGAGTTACAGAGATGTACCACATGGACCATGAACAGTTTTCATATTTCTGAAGAAATGAAAGACAGCAAAATGATTTTTTTTTTTTTTGAGACAAGGTCTCGCTGTGTCACCCAGGCTGGAATGCAATGGAGTGATCTTGACTCACTGCAGCCTTGACCTGGGCTCAAGCAATCCTCCCACCTCAGCCTCCTAAGTAGTGCGACTGACTACAGGAGTGCATCACCATGCCTGGCTAATTTTGTTTATTTTTTGTAGAGATGATGTCTCACTATGTTGGCCAGGCTGATCTTGAACTCCTGGGCTCAAGTGATCCTCTAGCCTCAGCTTCCCAAAGTGCTGGGATTACAGAAGTTAGCCAGTATTCCCGGTCCTAAAATGATTTTAATATGCTAGCACTTAGGAGCGTGGATCCATCTCTAAACTTGGACAAATTACTTCACCTCTCTGAATCTTCTCTCACACAGTGATCAAGATTTATTGAACACCTATTGTGTTTCAGGACCTATGGCCAGTCACTTTTCATTATTCCTGTGTTACAGATGAGAAAATAGGTTTGAAATACTTATTCACTCAGTGTCTCACAACCAACTGGAAGAGGCAAATGTTTTTCTTCCCATTGAACAAGCCTGCAATTCTTCCTTCAACTATGATTTAACCCCAGCCTTTTGTGAACCATTTAGAGTACCTTATTTTGTTATTTTGCATATCAGCTCTCATGTCTGTTTTTACTTTAAGCAAGACTTAAATAAAACAGAATACTCCCTGATATGATTTGGATCTGTGTCCCCACCAAATCTCATGTTGAATTGTAATCCCCAGCGCTGGAGGTGGGGCCTGGTGAGAGGTGATTGGATCATGTGGGCGGATTTCTTTTCTTTTTTTTTTTTTAATTTATTTATCTTTAAGTTCTGAGATAAGTGTGCAGAACGTGCAGGTTTGTTACATAGGTATACATGTGCCATGGTGGTTTGCCGCACCTACTGACCTGTCCTCTAAGATCCCTCCCCTCACCCCCCAACCCCTACAGGCCCTGGTGTGTGTTGTTCCCCTTCTTGTGTCCATGTGTTCTCATTGTTCAATTCCCACTTATGAGTGACAACATGCAGTGTTTGGTTGCCTGTTCCTGTGTTAGTTTGCTGAGGATGATGGCTTTCAGCTTCATCTATGTCCCTGCAAAGGACATCCTCTCATTCCTTTTTATGGCTGCATAGTATTCCATGGTGTATATGTACCACATTTTCTTTATCCATTCTATCATTGATGAGCATTTGGGTTGGTTCCATGACTTTGCTATTGTAAATAGTGCTGCAATAAACATACACGTGCATGTGTCTTTATAGTAGAATGATTTAATTCCTTTGGGTATGTACCCAGTAATGGGGTTGCTGAGTCAAATGGTATTTCTGGTTCTAGATCCTTGAGGAATCACCATACTGTCTTCCACAATGGTTGAACTAATTTACATTCCCACCAACAGTGTAAAAGTGTTCCTATTTCTCCACAGCCTTGCCAGCATCTATTGTTTCTTGACTTTTTAATAACTGCCATTCTAACTGGTAGGAGATGGTATCTCATTGTGGTTTTGATTTGCATTTGTCTAATGATCAGTGTTGTTGAACTTCTTTTCATATGTTTTTTGGCCTCGTAAATGTCTTTTTCTGAGAAGTGTCTGTTCGAATCCTTTGCCCACTTTTTGATATGGTTGTTTTCTTCTTGTAAATTCATTTAAGTTCCTTGGAAATTCTGATATTAGACCTTTGTCAGATGGATAGATTGCAAAAATTTTCTCCCACTCTGTAAGTTGCCTGTTCACTCTGATGCTAGTTTCTTTTGCTGTGCAGAAGCTCTTTAGTTTAATTAGATCCCACTTGTCAATTTTGGCTTTTATTGCAACTGCTTTTGGAGTTTTTGTTATGAAGTCTTTACTCATGTCTATGTCCTGAATGGTATTGCCTAGGTTTTCTTCTAGGGTTTTTATGGTTTTGGGTTTTACATTTAAGTCTTTAATCCATCTTGAGTTAATTTTTGTAAAAGGTGTAAGGAAGTGGTCCAGTTTCAGTTTTCTGCCTATGGCTAGCTAGTTTTACCAGCACCATTTATTGAATAGGAGATCCTTTCCTCATTGCTTGTTTTTGTCAGGTTTGTCAAAGATCAGTCGGTTGTAGATATGCGGTGTTATTTCTGAGGTCTCTGTTATGTTCCATTGGTCTATATGTCTGTTTTGGTACCAGTACCATGCTGTTTTGGTTACTGTAGTCTTGTAGCATAGTTTGAAGTCAGGTAGTGTGATATCTCCAGCTTTGTTCTTTTTGCTTAGGATTGTCTTTTCTATCCTGGGTCTTCTTTCACTCCATATGAAATTTAAAGTAGTTTTTTTCTAATTCTGTGAAGAGGCAATTGTAGTTTGATGGGAATAGCATTGAATCTATAAGTTAATTTGGGCTGTATAGCCGTTTTCACAATATTGATTCTTCCATTCCATGAGCATGGAATGTTTTTCCATTTGTTTGTGTCCTCTCTCATTTCCTTGAGCACAGGTTTGTAGTTCTCCTTGAAGAGGTCCTTCACATCCCTTGTTAGCTGTATTCCCAGGTACTTTGTTCTCTTTTTAGCAATTGTGAATGGGAAGTCATTCATGATTTGGCTCTCTGCTTGTCAATTATTTGTGTAAAGGACTGCTTGTGATTTTTGCACATTGATTTTGTAACCTGAGACTGCTGAAGTTGCTTATCAGCTTAAGGAGTTATTGGGCTGAGATGATGGGGTTTTCTAAATATACAATCATGTCATCTACAAACAGAGACAATTTGACTTCCTCTCTTCCTATGTGAATACACTTTATTTCTTTCTCATGCCTGATTGCCCTGGTCAGAACTTCCAATACTACGTTGAATAGGAATGGTGAGAGAGGGCATCCTTGTCTTGCACCAGTTTTCAAAGGGAATGCTTCCAGCTTTTGCCCATTCAATATGATATTGGCTGTGGGTTTGTCATGAATAAGCTCTTACTATTTTGAGATATGTTCCATTAACACCTAGTTTATTGAGAGTTTTTAACATGAAGGGATGTTGAATTTTATCAAAGGCCTTTTCTGCATCTATTGAGATAATCATGTGGTATTTGTCTTTGGTTCTGTTTATCTGAGGGATCACATTTATTGATTTGTGTATGTTGAACAACCCCTGCATCCCAGGGATAAAGCCAACTTGATCGTGGAAGATAAGTTTTTTGATGTGCTGCTGGATTTGATTTGCCAGTATTTTATTTAGGATTTTCACATTGATGTTCATCAGGGATACTGGCCTGAAGTTTTCTTTTTGGTTGAGTCTCTGCCCGGTTTTGGTATCAGGATGATGCTGGCTTCATAAAATGAGTTAGGGAGGAGTGACTCCTTTTCAATTGTTTGGAATGGTTTCAGAAGTAATGGTACCAGCTCCTCTTTGTACCTGTGGTAGAATTCAGATCTGAATCTGTCTGGTCCTGGCTTTTTTTGTTGCTAGGCTATTAATTACTGCCTCAATTTCAGAATTTGTTATTGGTCTATTCAGGGATTTGACTTCTTCCTGGTTTAGTGTTGGGAGGGTGTATGTGTCCAGGAATTTATCCATTTCTTCTAGATTTTCTAGTTTATTTGCATAGAGGTGTTTATAGTGTTCTCTGATGGTAGTGTGTATTTCTTTGGGGTCAGTGATGATATCCACTTTATCATTTTTTATTGTGTCTATTTGATTCTTCTCTCTTTTCTTATTAGTCTAGCTAGCAGCCTATTTATTTTGTTAATTTTTTCAGAAAACCAACTCCCAGATTCATTGATTTTCTGGAGGGTTTTTCATGTCTCTGTCTCCTTCTATTCTGTTCTGATCTTAGTTATTTCTTGTCTTCTGTTAGCTTTTGGATGAGTTTGCTTTTGCCTCTCTAGCTCTTTTATTTGTGATGTTAGTGTGTTGAGATCTTTCTAGCTTTCTGATATATGCTTTCTGATATATAGCTTTCTGATATTTAGTCCTATAAATATATAAAAAATATATAGCTTTCTGATATTTAGTCCTATAAATATATAAAAAATATATAGCTTTCTGATATTTAGTCCTATAAATTTCCCTCTTAACTCTGCTTTAGGTATGTCCGAGAGGTTCTGGTACATTGTCTTTTGGTTCTCATTTGTTTCAAAGAACTTTTTGATTTCTGCCTTAATTTCATTATTTACCCAGGAGTCATTCAGGAGCAGGCTGTTCAATTTCCATGTAATTGTGTGGTTTTGAGTGAGTTTCTTAATCCTGAGTTCTAATTTAATTGTACTGTGGTGTGAGAGACTGTTTGTTATGATTTCTGTTCTTTTGCATTTGCTGAGGAGTGTTTTACTTCCAATTATGTTGTTGATTTTAGAATAAGTGCCACGTGGTGGTGAGAAAAATGCATATTCTGTTGATTTGGGGTGGAGAATTCTGTAGCTGTCTATTAGGTCCACTTGATCCAGAGCTGAGTTCAAGTCCTGAATATCCTTGTTAATTTTGTGCCTTGTCAACATGTCTAATATCGACAGTGGGGTGTTAAAGTCTCCTACTATTATTGTATGGGAGTCTAAGTCTCTGTAGATCTCTAAGAACTTGTTTTATGAATCTGGGTGCTCCTGTATTGGGTGCATATATATTTAGAATAGTTAGCTCTTCTTGTTGAATTATTCCCTTTACCAGTATGTAAGCCCTGGTCTTTTTTGATTTTTATTGGTTTAAAGTTTGTTTTGTCAGAGACTAGGATGGCAATCCTTGTTGTTTTTTGCTTTCCATTTGCTTGGTAAATTTTTCTCCATCCCTTTATTTTGAGCCTATGTGTGTCTTTGCACGTGAGATGGGTCTCCTGAATACAGCACACCAATGGGTCTTGACTCTGTCCAATTTGCCAGTCTGTGTCTTTTAATTGGGGCATTTGGCCCATTTACATTTAAGGTTAGTATTGTTATATGAGAATTTGATCCTGTCATCATGATGCTATCTGGTTATTTTGCACACTAGTTGATGGAGTTTTTCATGATGTAATTGGTCTTTATATTTTGGTGTGTTTTTGCAGTGGCTGTTACCTGTTTTTCTTTTTCTTTTTTTTTTTGAGACGGAGTCTCGCTCTGTTACCCAGGCTGGAGTGCAGTGGCGCGATCTCGGCTCACTGCAAGCTCCACCTCCCGGGTTCATGCCATTCTCCTGCCTCAGCCTCCCGAGTAGCTGGGACTACAGGCACCTGCCACCACGCCTGGCTAATTTTTTTTGTATTTTTAGTAGAGATGGAGTTTCACCATGTTAGCCAGGATGGTCTCGATCTCCTGACCTCGTGATCCACCTGCCTTGCCCTCCCAAAGTGCTGGGATTACAGGCGTGAGCCACCGTGCCCTGCCAGTTTTTTCATTTCCATATTTAGTGCTTCTTTCAGAAGCTCTTACAAGGCAGGTGTGGTGGTAATGAAATTCCTCAGCATTTGCTTGTCTGTAAAGGAATTTATTTCTCCTTTGCTTATGAAGCTTAGTTTGGCTGGATATGAAATTCTGGTTTGAAAATTCTTTTCTTTAAGAATGTTGAATATTGGCCCCAACTCTCTTCTGGCTTGTAGAGTTTATGCTGAGAGGTTTGCTGTTAGTCTAATGGGCTTCCCTTTGTAGGTTACCTGACCTTTCTCTCTGGCTGCCCTTAACACTTTTTCCTTCATTTCTACCTTGGAGAATCTAATGATTATGTGTCTTGGGGTTGATCTTCTCATGGAATATCTTAGTAGTGTTCTCTGTATTTCCTGAATTTGAATGTTGGCTTGTCTTGCTAGGTTGGGGAAGTTCTCCTAGATAATATCTTGAAGTGTGTTTTCCAGCTTGTTTCCATTCTCCTTGTCTCCTTCAGGTACTCCAATCAATTTTATGTTCAGTCTTTTTATGAAGTCCCATATTTCTTGGAGGCTTTGTTCATTCCTTTTTATTCTTTTTTTCTCTAATCTTGTCTGCATGCCTTATTTCAGCAAAGTTGTCTTCAAACTCTGATATCCTTTCTTCCACTTGGTCGATTTAGCTATTGATATTTGTGTATGCTTCACAAAGTTCTTGTACAGTGTTTTTCAGCTCCATCAGCTCACTTATGTTCCTCTCTAAACTGGTTATTCTACTTAGCAGCTCCTCTAACCTTTTAATAAGGTTCTTAGCTTCTTTGCATTGGGTTAGAACATGCTCCCTTAGCTCAGCGGAGTTTTTGTTACCCATCTTCTGAAGCCTACTTCTGTCAATTCATCCATCTCTTCCTCCATCCAGTTCTGCACCCTTCCTGGAGAGGCGCAATCATTTGGAGGAGAAGAGGCACTCTGGCCTTTTGGGTTTACAGCATGTTTTTGTTGATTCTTTCTCATCTTCATGAGTTTGTCTAGTTTCGATCTCTGAGGCTGTTGACCCTTGGATGGGGTTTTTGTGGAGAATTTTTTTGTTGTTGATGATGCTGTTGTTGTTGCTTTCTGTTTGTTTTTCTTTTGATGGTCAGATACCTCTTTTGTAGGGCTGCTATGGCTTGCTGTGGGTTCACGTCCTATTCATCTGGTTTGCTCCCATGCCTGGAGATGTCTCTCAAGGAGGCTGGAGAACAGTAAAGATGGGTGCCTCTTTCTTCTTCTGGGACCTCTAACCTTCAGGGGAACCAACCTGATGCCAGTAGGATCGCTCCTGTATAGAGTATCTGACAACCCCTGTTGGAGGGTCTAACCCAGTTGGGTGGCTCAGGGAACAGGACCAATTTAACGAAGCACTTTGACTGTTCCTCGGTGGAGGGGGCATGCTTTGATGAGGGTAAACCCACTCATCTGGGCTGGCTGGATTCCTCAGAACTACCAGGAGGAAAGGCTAAGTCTGCTGGTCTACAGAGACTATGGCCACCCCTCCCACTAGGGGCTCAGGCCCAGGGAGATCCAGGTTCTGTCCTTGAGCCTCTGGCTGGAGTTGTTGGAGTTCCTGCAGGGAAGTCCCACCTAGTGAGGAAGGATGGCTCAGGGTCAGGACTGAAGAGGCGCTCTGGCCGCAGTCTGCCACTGCCAGTGTGTTGGGCTATGGGGGAAACCTCTTGGGACCAAGCCATCCAGTCTCCCTGGCTCCAGCAGGGGAAAAGCGTGGCCTGGAGCTATAGAGATGGAAGCCTCCCTTCCCCCACCCAGGGAGCTTAGCGTGTTAGGCAGTTATGAGTCGCAGTGCTGGCTGCTGCCCCTCCCACAAGGAGCTCAAATGGCTTACATAGCAGGCAGTCGCAGCTGTGGTGCTTGTCGCCCCTCCCCCTGGGAGCTCTGCAGGCTTAAGCAGATTCCAGCTGAGAGGCTGTTGAGAATCTGCGTGACTCAGGGGTTGGGACTCTGGGCCCCAGTGGCGTGGGTTCACGAATGGGATCTTCTGATCCATGGGTTCCACAGTTCCATGGAAAAACCACGGTTTCCCCGCCTGGGTAGCGCACTCAACACCTCCCTTGGCTGGGGGGTGGGGGCTCCCCTGCCCCGTGTGGCTCTCAGGTGGACCGCTGCACCACACTGCTCTTCCTTTCTCTCCATGAATCACATCAGCTGCCTAGTCAGTTCCGATGAGAGAACCTGGATACCTTGGTTACCTGTGAAGGATTCACACGCTAATTATGGTTCTTTTCGATGAGCGCCTCTGATCGCCTCTGTTTCTAGTTGGCCATCTTGGCCTTGCCCCCTGTGGATTTCTCATGAATAGTTTAGCACCATCCCCTTTGTGCTGTTCTCATGATAGTGAGTTCTCATGAGATCTAGTCATTTAAAAGTGTGTAGCACCTCCCCACCTTCTCTTGCTCCTGCTCCTGCTCCTGCCATGTGAGACACCTGCTCCCTCTTTGCCTTCTGCCATGATTGGAAGCATCCTGAGCTTGCAGAACTGTAAGCCAATTAAAACTCTTTTCTTTTTAAATTACCCAGACTCAGATATTTATTTATGGCCTTTATAGCAGTGTGAGAACAGACTATTACATTCCCTTCTTGATGTTTTCAAGGTACTTCCTTCTGTCTCTCTTCAGTAGTGCTAGAGGGTTCTGCTTTTTTCTTCCATTTTGTTCTGTGATCCAAACAGAAGTGTCTGAAAACCCCAGTCTGAATACTTTAAAATATGTTTTAATATAGTAAAACTCATTTTTAATGCAGTGGCTTCCACACAAATTCAATTAGTCACCAATTGAGAACCCTAAAGGTTGAAGTATTCTGAACTAAGTTTATTGTTCATTGTTCCACCTCATAAAATTTAGGCAACATTTGAGCAAGGCCTTAAAATATAACTAGAATATGGACATGTAGAGGTTAAGGAGGAGGGCATCTCAGGCAGAGGAAACAGCAAATACAAACACAAGTAGGCAGCAAAGAACATAACTCAGAATAGGATAGTTCCAGAAAATCCCATGCTCTACACTTGTGCACAAAGATTATAGTCCCATTTAAGCCAATGGTTTCTGTAATGCATTTAAATGGTGTGGTAGGCAGAATAATAGTCTCCCAAAGATGTCTAAGTCCTAATACCCAGCACCTGTGAATATGTTACCTTATATGGCAAATGATAATTAAGGTTGCTAATTAACTGAACTTGCAATGGGAGAGATTCTCCTGGATTATCTAGATGGGTCCAATGTGATCACAAGGATCCTTAAAAGTGGAAAAGGGAGTGTATTAGTCCGTTCTCCCACTGCTGTAAAGAAAAACCTGAAACTGGGTTTTTCTTTATAATATAGTATAATTCATAAAGAAAATTTATAAAGAAAAGAGGTTTAATTGGCTCACAGATCAGCATGCTGTACAGGAAGCATGGCTGGGGAGACCTCAGGAAACTTTCAATCATAGTGGAAGGCAAAAGGGAAGCAGGCAACATGTTAACATGGACAGGAGTAGGAGGAGGAAGAGAGTTAATGGGTGGGGACGGTGCTACACACTTTTAAACAACGAGATATCCTGAGAACTCACTATCATGAGAACAGCAAGGGGAAAATTCACCCCGACCATCTAATCCCCTCCACCAGGCCCCTCCTCCAACATGGGGGATTACAATTGGACATGAGATTTGGGCAGGGACTCAAATTCACACCATATCAGGGAGGTAGGAGAGTAACAGGAAGATGTGATTAGGAAAGAAAGGCTCAGAGAGTTTCAACATTGTTGGTTTTGAAGAGGAAGAGGACCATGGGCAAGGAATGTGAGTGGCCTCTAGAAGCTGGAAAGGGCAAGGAAAAAAATCCTCATCTAGAGCCTCCAAAAAGGAACACAGTTCTGCTGACATGTTGACTTTAGCTCTGTCCATGTCATAACTCTACCCTACAGAATGGTAAGACAGTAAATGGGCATTGTTTTAAGCCACTATGTTAGTGGTGATTTGTTACAGCAGCAATAGGAAACTAATATAAATGGTTATTTGTGTGATTACTTGATTAATGTCTTGCTCCCCTGCTAGATATGTAAACTCCTTAAGTGCAAGAGCCCTTTTTTTGCTCACTTTAATATCTTCAGCATCTGACACAGAAAAAGTATGGTATAAATGTTTGATAAATTTGTGACTGAATGGCTTACCAGTCATATCCTACATGAGAACATTATGGCAACATCAATACCATCAGAGTCAGATTCTTTGTCCTTGTATATATATGTATGCCTGTTTCTGTCTTTTTTGCGTGGGCTCTTTGTCTTTCTTCTTCCCCTTCTCTCTTCCTTACTTCTGTCCCTATTTCTTAATTGGTCATAACAAAGAACTGAAGTACACCTTGTAATTACCTATTATCTTCATGGAATAAAGTCTTACATTTAATGTTCATGGTTTTTAAAAATAAATAAGTAATGTAGCTTATTGCAATGAAAAAAAGCATTATACTCAAGAGCCCCTTCATTTACTAACTATAATTTATGTCAGTGGGTGAGTGATCCTTGATAGAAGTTTCTCATCACTGACTTAGGATGATGTATGGAACCCACAAGTAGAAATATCCTACAGAAGCTGTCCGTTTGTGCCTGCTGGTGGGAACTTGTTCCCTGATTGCATGGCCCACATTCTTCTGAGAAGAAATTGTTTGACATTGTCTACTCAAAGTGGATTCCCCTATCACTTAGGACCAGAGATACTCAGTATTTTCCCTGGCCTCATCCTCTGGCTGCTGAGTTTGGGTATAAAAATGTTTGAAGTTTGAGCAGAGTGCACTGGAATTGCATGGAAGGCATAGGGCCTATTCACCTACAAATCTCAATGTATTGCATAAAATGGAATGGCCTGAAGCAAAGTAAAACTTTTAATGGAAAAGTTATTGAAATTTCTAGAGTTCAAGAACATTTAGAGAAAATTTCATTTTTGAATACAAAAGGCCCTTAGAGATCACCTAGTCCAGTGTTTCTCAAAAATTAATGTATGGAGGAGTCACGTGAGAAGCGTATTAAACTTTAGATTCTGATTTAGTAGGTCTGGTGTAAGGCCCAAGAATGTGCATTTCTAAAAGTTCCCAGGTGATGTTGATGCTGTTGGCCCAGGCACCACCCTTCAAGGAGCAAGGGGAGAATAGATGTAAGGCAGTCAGAGAAAAGGTATCTGCATTCTACACACAGGAACCAGAAAGTGGGAGTTCATAGAACCAGAACCTCAGGGATGTCTCAGCTTTCTTATGGACAGATGGAGAGCCTAGGTCTCTCACGAGTTTGGGTCCCTATATCTAGTTGCTGCTACAGGGAAGGTGTATCTGATCTCTAGTGGTGTAGGGTCAAGGAAAATCAGGAAAGCATGTGTATTGGGGCAATTAACTCTAGCTACCACAAGAGACAAAGCTCAAAAGCTTAGCAAAAGTACTTGTCTAGCCTCCCTGCTGTACACACACACACACATGAAAATGTTATTAGATAAGTAGAAAAAAGTCTGCAAAGATATATGCCAGGATGTTGAAGATGATAAGAAGTGAAGATACAGTGTTTTTTGTTTTCTTCTTTTTGCTTATCTTTATTTTCTAGAATTCTTCTCCCCAGATACCAATGGGATTTTATTTGGGATAAGATACATTGATTCTACATGTCATGTGAAAAAATGTAAAAATTAAAAAGGCATCCAGACAACCTTTAGAAATAATAGCAATGAGAGGTAACTAACTGTTATAGACATTAAAATTCTGGGCTGGCACGGTGGCTCACGCCTGTAATCCCAGCACTTTGGGAGGCCGAGGCAGGCTGATCATGAGGTCAGGAGATCGAGACCATCCTGGCTAACACAGTGAAACCCCGTCTCTACTAAAAAAAAAAAAAAAAAAAAAAAAACCACAAAAAAATTAGCCAGGCGTGGTGGCGGGCACCTGTAGTCCCAGCTACTCGGGAGGCTGAGGGAGGAGAATGGCGTGAACCCAGGTGGTGGAGCTTGCAGTGAGCTGAGATCGCACCACTGCACTCCAGCCTGGGTGACAGAGTGAGACTCCCTCTCAAAAAAAAAAAAAAATTCTGAAGGCTCAGTAATTTAAAAGTATTATACTAGTGCATGAATAGAGGGATCAATTAAATGCAATAAAAAATTTTAAAATAGACACAAGCACATACAGGAATTTGGTGTATTTTGAATATGTCATTTTAAGTTAATAAGAAATTTCTATGAAGAAAGAAAAATAAAAATTGAATTTCTACCTAATAATTTGCATCAAAATAAAATCTGATGGATGAAATATTGATATATTAAAAATGGAATAATTCAAAGTACTAGGAGAAATGAAAACAAAACAAGACAAACAACCAGAAGTTGCAGTGTCAGTATCCTGAGCATCACATCAAGAGCTTCTTCCTAGATTCTTAATTTAAATATGGTACTTTTTGGCCTCCCTCATAACTCTCTGGGAACTTGAGACAGAAAGTTCAAACAAAGTCTAACAATTATATATGGGACAACTGACCACATCAGACAGAAGTGATTCTTATGCCTTGGTTTCATTCCACCTCATGTTGATATGCCCTTATAGAGACCACCCAAACAGTAAATTGAATAAATTCCATGATTATGGTACTCAGTCTAAGTCTATCAAGTTCAGTTTTTTTAAGTTCAACTCTATTTATATATTATTTTTTAATTTTATTTTAGGTTCTGGGGTGCACATACAGGTTTATTGTATAGGTAAATTGCATGTCATGGGGATTTGTTGTACAGATTATTTTATTACCCAGGTAATAAGCATAGTACCCAATAGGTAGTGTTTCGATTCTCACCGTCCTCTCACCCTCCACTCTCAAATAGGCCCCAGTGGCTATTGTTTCCTTCTTTATGTCCATATGTACTCAAAGTTTAGCTCCCACTTACAAGTGAGAACATGTGGTATTTGGTTTTCTGTTCTTGTGTTAGTTTGCTTAGGATATTAGCCTCAAGCTCCATCCATGTTGCAGCAAAGGACATGATCTCATTCTTTTTTTTGTGGCTGCATCATATTCCATTGTGTATACATACTACATTTTTAAAATCCTGTCTACCAACAATGGCATTTAAGTTGGCTCCATGTCTTTGCTATTGTGAATAGTGCAATGAACATACACATACCTGTATCATTCTGATAGAACAATTTATATTCCTTTGAGTGTATACCCAATTGTAGGATTGCTGGGTTGAATGGTTAATTCCATTTTAAGTTATTTGAGAAATTTCTAAACTGCTTTCCCTGATGGCCGAATGAATTTACATTCCCACCAGCAGTGTATAAGCATTCTCTTTTCTCCACAACCTTGCCAGCAACTATTATTTTTTGAAATTTTTTCTTTTGAGACAGAGTCTCACGCTGTTGCCCAGGCCAGAGTGCAGTGGCACAATCATGGCTCACTGCAGCCTCAACCTCCTGGGCTCATGTGATCCTATGACCTCAGCCTCTCAAGTAGCTGGGACTACAGGAATGTGCTACCATGCCCAGCTAATTTATTTTTTGTAGAGATGGGGTCTTGCCATGTTGCCCAGGCTGGTCTCCAACTCCTGGGCTCAAGGGGTCCTTCCACCTTGGCTTCCCAAAGTGCTGAGATTACAGGAGTGAGCCACCACACCTGGTCTTTTTGACTTTTTAATAATAGGCATTCTGACAGATGTGAGATGGTATATCCTTGTGGTTTTGATTTGCATTTCTCTAATGATTAGTGATGTTCAGCCTTTTTTTCCATATGCTTGCTGGCCACATATAGGTCTTCTTTTGAAAAGTGTCTGTTCTTGTCCTTTGCCCACTTTTTAATGGGGTTGTTTTTTGCTTCTAAATTTGTTTATGTTCCTTATAGATTCTGGACATTAGACCTTTTTTAGATGTATAGTTTGCAAATATTTTCTCTTATCCTGTAGGTTATCTGTTTACTCTGTTGATAGTTTCTTCTAAGGAAACAACTTACCTTTTCTTGCTATGCAGAAGCTCTTTAGTTTAATTAGGACCCTTTTATCAATCTTTGTTTTTGTTGCACTTGCGTTTGGCATCTTCTTCATGAAATTTTTGCCAGGTCCTATGTCCAGAATGGTATTTCATATGTTATCTTCCAGGGTTTTTATGATTTTAGGTTTTATATTTAAGTATTTAATCCATCTTGAGTTGATTTTTGTATATCGTGTAAGGAAGGGGTCCAGTTTCAATCTTCTGCATATGGCTAGCCAGTTATCCCACCACCATTTATTGAGTAAGGAGCCTTTTCCCCATTGCTTGTTTTTGTCAGCTTTCTTGAAGATCAGATGGTTGTGGGTGTGCAACATTACTCCTAGGCTCTCTATTCTGTTCCACTGGTCTATGTGCCTGTTTTGTACCAGTACCATGCTGTTTTGGTTACTGTAGCCCTGTAGTATAGTTTGAAGTCAGGTAATGTAATACCTCCAGCTTTGTTCTTTTAGCTTAGGATTGCCTTGGCTATTTGGGTTCTTTTTTGTTCCATATGAATTTTAAAATAGCTAATTCTGTGAAGAATTTCATTGGTAGTTTGATAGGAATAGCATTGAAGGTATAAATTGCTTTGTGCAGTATGGCCATTTTAATAATATTGATTCTTCCTATCCATGAGCATGGAAAGTTTTTCCATTTGTTTGTGTCATCTCTGATTTCTTTGAGCAGTCTTTTGGAGTTCTCATTGTAGAGATGTTTCACCTCCCTGGTTAGCTGTATTCCTAGGTATTTTATTCTTTTTTGTGACTATTCTGAGTGGGATTGCATTCTTGATTTGGCTCTCAGATTGAATATTGTTAGGGTGTAGGAATGCTACTGATTTTTGTACATTGATTTTGTATCATGAAACTTTGTTGAAGTTGTTTATCAGATCAAGGAGCTTTTGGGAAGAGACTGTGGTGTTTTGTAGGTATAGAATTACATTGTCTGCAAACAGGAATAGTTTGACTTCCTCTCTTCCTATTTGGATGCATTTTATTTCTTTCTGTTGCCCGATTGCTCTGATGAGAACTTCCAGAACTATGTTGAATAGGAGTGGTGAGAGAGGGCATCCTTGTCTTATGCTGGTTTTCTAGGGGAATGCTTCCAGCCTGTGCCCATTCAGTATGAGTTGGCTGTGGGTTTTTCATAGATGGCTCTTTTTTTGAGGTATGCTCCTTCAATGCCTAGTTTGTTGAGGGTTTTTAACATGAAGTAATGTTGAATTTTATTGAAAGTCTTTTCTGCATCTATTGAGGTGATCATGTGTTTTTTTTTGCGTTTTTTTTTTTTTTTTTTTTTGGACAGAGTGTCACTTTGTCACCCAGGCTGGAATGCAGCGGCGAGACCTTGGCTCACTGCATCCTCCACCTCTTGGGTTCAAATAGTTCTCCTGCCTCAGCCTCCTGAATAGCTGTGAATACAGGCACGTGCCACCATGCCCAGCTTATTTTGTATTTTTAGTAGAGACAGGGTTTCACCATTTTGGCCAGGCTGGTCTCGAACTCCTAACCTCAAGTGATCCACCTGCCTCAGCTTCCCAAAGTGCTGGGATTACAGGCATGAGCCACTGCACCTGACCCTTGTGGTAGATTAGCTTTTTAATGTGCTACTGGATTCAGTTTGCTAGTATTTTGTCAAGTATTTTTGCATCTATGTTTATCAAGGATATTGACCTGAAGTTTTCTTTTTTTGTTGTGTCTCTGCCAGGTTTTCATATCAGGATGATGCTGGCCTCACATAATGAGTTAGGGAGTCCCTAGGTGATATATCTTAGAGGTGTATCCCTGCCCAAATATCATGTTGAAAGGTAATCCCCAGTGTTGGAGATGGGGCCTGGTGAGAGGTAACTGGATCATTAGGGTGAATTTCTCATGAATAGTTTAGCACTATCCTCTTGGTGTTGTCCTCATTGTAGTGAGTGAGTTCTCATGAGATCTGGTCATTTAAAAGTGTGTGCCACCTCTTCCCTCTCTCTCTTCCTCCTGCTTTCACCATGTGACATGCCTGCTCCCTGTTCCCCTTCTGCCATGATTGGAAGCTTCCTGAGGCCTCCTCAGAAGCAGATGCCACTATGTTTCCTGTACATCTTGCAGAACCATGAGCCAACTAAACATTTTTCTTTATAAATTACTCGGTCCCCAATACTTCTTTATAGCAATGGGAGAATGGCCTAATACACTCTGTGTCCATTTTTTGGAATAGTTTCAGTAGGAATTGTATCAGTTCTTCCTTATACGTCTGGTAGAATTCAGCTGTGAATCTATCTGGTCCTGGGCTTTTTCTGGTTGGTAGGCTTTTCATTACTAAATCAATTTCAGCACTCATTATTGCTCTGTTCAAGAATTCAATCTCTTCCTGGTTCAATCTGAAGAGGTTGTATGTTTCTAGGAATTTATCAATTTCTTATGGGTTTTCTAGATGGTGTGCATATAGATGTTCATAATAGTTTCTTCTGTGAGGTCACTGGTAATATCTCCTTCATCATTACTGATTGTGTTTTTTGGATCTTCTATATATCTTTTTTTCTTTATTACTTTAGCTAGTGGTCTATCTATCTTATTTGTTCTTTCAAAGAACCAGCTCCTGGGTCCATTTTTTTGTATGTTTTTTTCTGTCTCAATTTACTTCAGTTCAGCTCTCATTTTTGTTATGTCTTGTTTTCTGCTAGCCTTAAGGTTGATTTGCTCTTGTTTCTCTTGTTCCTCTAATTGTGATGTTAGGTTGTTAATTTGAGATCTTTTTAACTTTTTGACATGGTCATTCATTGCCTTGAACTTACCTCGTAGCACTGCTTTAGCAGCATCCCCAGAGATTCTGGTATAATGTAGCTTTGTTCTCACTGGTTTCAAATAATTTCTTGATTTCTGCCTTAATTTCACTATTTACCCAAAAGTCATTCAGGATCAGGTTGTTTACTTGCCATGTAATTGTATGGTTTTGAATGATTATCTTAACATTGGTTTCTTTTTCTTATTATTATTTCTTGGAGATAGAGTCTAGCTCTGTCACTCAGGCTGAAGTGCAGTGGCATGATGTCAGCTCACTGCAACCTCCGCCTCTCAGGTTCAAGTGATTCTCTTGCCTCAGCCTCCTGAGTAGCTGGCATTACAGGCATGTGCCACCATGCCCACCTAATTTTTTGTGTTTTTAGTAGAGATAGGGTTTCACTACGTTGGCCAGGCTGGTCTCAAACTCCTGGCCTCAAGTGATCCATCTGACTGGGCCTCCTAGAGTGCTGGGATTACAGGTGTGATCCACCATGCCCGGCCAGCATTGGTTTCTATTTTTATTGCACTGTGGTCTGAGAGCATGGTTGGCATAATTTTGGTTTTTGAAAAATTTGCTGAGGATTGTTTTATGCCTAATTGTGTGATCGATTTTAGAGTACATGCCACATGCAGATGAGAAGAAAGTATATTTTGCTGTTTTGGGGTGGAGAGTTCTATAGATGTATGTTAGGTCCATTTAGTCAAGTGTTCGTTCAGGTCCCAGATATCTTTGGTAGTTTTCTGCCTTGGCGATATGTCTAATACTATCAGTGGTATGTAAAATTTACCACTATTACTGTGTGGTTATCTAAGTCTCTTCATGGGTCTCTATGAACTTGCTTTATGAATCTGGGTACTCCTGTGTTGGGTGCATATATATTTAGGATAGTTAGGTCATCTTGTTGAATTGAGCCATTTGCCATTATATAATGCCTTTCTTTGTCTTTTTTTATCTTTGTTGGTTTAAAGTCTGTTTTGTCTGAAATTAGAGTAACAATCCCTGCCTTTCATGTTTTCCATTTGTTTGGTAAACTTTTCTCCATTTTTTTTTTCTTTGAGCCTATGTGTGTCATTGCACGCGAGATGGGTCTCTTGAAGACAGCATACCATTGGGTTTTACTTCTTTATCCGATTTGTGACTCTGTGCCTTTTAATTGGGGCATTTAGCCCATTTACATTCAAGGTTAGTATTGATATGTGTGTGGATTTGATCTTGTCATTGTGTTGTTAGCTGGTTATTATGCAGACTTGTTTGTCTGGCTGCTTTGTGGTGTCGCTGGTCTATGTACTAAAGGGTGTTTTTGTAGTGGCTGGTAATGGTCTTTCCATATTTAACACTCCCTTCAGGACGTGTTATAAAGCAGGTCTGGTGGTAATGAATTCCCTTAGCATTTGCTTGTCTGTAAAGGATCTTATTTCTCCTTCGCTTATGAAGCTTAATTTAACTGAATATGAAATTGTTGGTTGGAATTTCTTTTCTTTATGAATGCTGAATATAGACTCCCAATCTCTTCTGGTTTGTAGGGTTTTTAATGACAGGTCTGCTGTTAGCCTGATGGGGTTCCCTTTGTAGGTGAACTGCCCCTTATCTCTAGCTGCATTTAACATTTTTTTCTTTCATTTCAACCTTGGAAAATTTGATGACTCTGTCTTGGGGATGGTCTTCTTGTGTAGAATTTTACAGGATTTCTCTGCATTTCCCAAATTTGAATGTGAGCCTCTCTAGTGAGGTTGGCAAAATTTTCATGGGTGATATCCTAAAATATGTTTTCCAAGTTGCTTGGTTTCTCTCCCTCTCTTTTGGGGACACTATTGAGTCATAGATTTGGTCTCTTTACAGAATCCCATATTTCTTTGAGGTTTTGTTCATTCTTCTTTATTGTTTGTTCTTTATTTTTATCTGACTGAGTTATTACAGAGAGCCGGTCTTCAAGTTCTGAGATTCTTTCCTCAGCTTGGTCAACTCTGTGGTTAATATTTGTGATTGCATTATACAATTCTTCTAGTGTTCTTTTCAGCTCTATCAGATCAGTTTGTTTCTTTCTTATAGAGGCCATTGGTCTATTACCTCCTGTATTGTTTTATTGTAATCCCCAGATTTCTCAGACTGGGTTTTGACTGTCTCCTGTATGTTGATGATCTTTGTTTCTATCCATATTCTGAATTCTATTTCTGACATTTCAGCCATTTCAGACTAGTTAAGAACTATTGCTGGGGAACTGGTTTGGTTGTTTGGAGGCAAGAAGAAGATACTCTGGCTTTTTGAGTTGCCTGAGTTCTTGCCCTGGTTCTTTCTCATTTTTGTGGGCAGATGTTCCTTCAATTTTTTTTTTTTTTTTGAGATGGAGGCTCACTGTGTTCTGAGGTTGGAGTGCAGTGGCACCGTGTTGGCTCACTGTCTCCTGGGTTCAAGCAATTCTCCTGCCTCAGCCTCCCAAGTAGCTAGGATTACAGGCACCCACCACCATGCCCAGCTAGTTTTTATATTTTTAGTAGAGACGGGTTTCACCATGTTGGCCAGGCTGGTCTCGAACTCCTGACCTCAGGTGATCCACCTGCCTTGGCCTCCCAAAGTGTTGGGATTACAGGCGTGAGTCACTGTGCCTGGCCTCCTTCAATCTTTGAAGCTGCTGTCCTTTGGATGATTTTTTTTGTTGTTGTTGCTTTTTTCTTCTTTGATGCCCTTGGGGGTTTAATTATGGTATAAGGTGGTTCAGTTGACTGGCTTCAATTCTAGTTTGCTCTTGCATCTTGGAAGTGCCCCCACAGCTTATTGTCTTCTTGCCTGCATTTCTTTTGTTGGGTGTTCTGGTCCATAAGTCTCCCTCAGGCAGGGGCAGCAATTGGCAGAAAAGCCATACTCTTGCCAGGTTGGCCCCAGTCTGCTGCCTGTGTGCTTCCTGGAGAAACACAGGGTTGTGTGTGCCTGCAGAATTCGAGTGGAAGTAGGACCTCTTGGTTGGAAGCTCTAGTGGGCATGGCCCATCTGGCTATGAGAAGTGGGGGTGAGTGGAGTTACTCACTCTGCCATCCAGGTGTTTCCCAGGACAATAAGAAGCTGTGCCCCTCAGCAAATTCAGGCAGAAACAGGACTTCTGGGTCAGAAGTTCTAGCAGGTGTGGCTTGCCTGGCTACTGGTGGTGGGGACAGGTAGGGTTGTACGCTCTGCCATCTGGTTGTTTCCTGAGACAACAGGAAGCTGTGCCCTCCATCTGAGTTCACAAAGAAGCAGGACTTCTGGGAGGGAAGCTCTAGTTGGTGTTGCCCACCTGGCTATCAGTGGTGAGGGCAGGTAGGGTCATGTGCTCTGCCATTTTCCTGGGGCAACAGGAACTGCGCCCTTCAGCTGAGTTCATGCAGTAGTGGGACTGCTGGGCCAGAAGCTCTAGCAAGTTTTGTCCACCTGGCTGTCAGTGGCAGGGGTGGGTAGGGTTGCATGCTCTGCCATCTGGGTGTTTCTGGGACAACAGGAAGCTGCCCCCTCCAGCTATCACATTAAAGTGGGACTGCTAGGCTAGAAGCTCTAGCAAGCATTGCTTGCTTTGATGGTAGTGGTAGTGGTGGGTGGAGTGGCTGGCTCACCGAGTTCAGACCAAAGCAGGAATACTGGGCTGGGAGCTGGAGCCGAGCCCCATTAGGCAAGTGGGGTGGAGCAATCGTACTGCTCCTAGGCACCACGACTGCAGACTCTATTGGAGCTATGGCGTTGATGCTGGTCTGCTCTGTGACCCAAGTCTTGTAGAGGTCCCCTTAAAGCTACTTTTTTTTTAAAGGCATATATATCACTTTTACAATAAGGAAAAAAAGTTTACCAAAATTGAAACCAAATCCAATCATATCCTGCATGTGATTTTTGCTTAAATAATGCCACGTATTGAACACTTACTTTGTGTTACTGTTCTAAATGTTTTACAAATATTATCCCATTTATTACATGCAACAATTCTGAGGTAGGCATTGTAATGCTTCCCATTTTACTGATTAAAAAACTGAGGCACAGAGAGGATAAATGACTTGCCTATGGTAACTGGCAAAACCAGAATTTGAACCCAGGTACTCATGGCCCCAGAGCCTGTGCTCTTGGACACTACTTTATGTTACCCTTCATAAGAGTGCATACATAGCTATCAGTGCATCTTTTTTAGGCCTCAAAGTCTTTCCTATCCTAAAAACAAACACAAAATATGCCTTCTCTGCTGCCTTCTCAAGCCATGACCCTATCTTCCCTTTGTCTGCCAAACTTCTTGAAAGCCTGGTCTTTACTTGAGGCCTGCAGTTCCCTCTACCCTCTTGTTTACCCCTTAGGCCCAGCAACATGCCTTCTGCTCATACTCCTCTACAGAAGGTACTTTCTTGATCGGAACCAGTGATATCGAATCATCAAATCCTATGACTTTTTCTTAAAAGGACAAATCCCACAACCGTGTGGGCTGGAGCATGGTGGTGAGCGCCTGTAATCCCAGCTACTTAGGAGGCTGAGGCAGGAGAATCACTTGAACCCAGGAGGCAGAGGTGGCAGTGAGCTGAGATCGTGCCACAGCACTCCAGCCTGAGCGACAGAGTGAGACTCCATCTCAATAAATATATAAATAAATAAACACAAAAAAAATTTTAAAAAGTATAGCAATACAATTAAGTACAGAACATAATACTTGATAATGATAAATGAATATGTTACTGGTTTATGTATTTACTATATTGTACTTTTTATCATTATAGTTTACTCCTACTTATACAAAATGTTAACTGTAAAATAGCCACAGGCAGGTCCTTTAGGAAATATTCAGGAAGAAGGCATTGTTGTCATAGTAGATGACAGCTCCATGCGTGTTATTGCCCTCGAAGACCTTCTAGTAGGACAAAATATGGAGGAAGACAGTGATATTGATGGTCCCGACCCTCTGTAGGCCTAGGTTAATGAATGTGTTTATGTCTTCATTTTTTTTTTTTTGAGATGGAGTCTAGCTCTGTTGCCCAGGCTGGAGTGCAGTGGCACGATCTTGGCTCACTGCAACCTCCGCCTCCCAGGTTCAAGCGATTCTCCTGCCTCAGCCTCCTGAGTAGCTGGGATTACAGGTGCCCACCACTACGCCCAGCTAATTTTTGTATTTTTAGTAGAGACAAGGTTTCACTGTGTTGGCCAGGCTGGTCTCGAACTCCTGATCTTGTGATCCGCCCGCCTTGGCCTCCCAAAGTGCTGGGATCATAAGCGTGAGCCACCACGCCCCGCCTATGTCTTCATTTCTAACAAAAGTGTTTAAAAAGTAAAACAAATTAAAAAAGAGGAAAAAGCTTATAGGATAAGGATATAAAGAAAATGTTTTTGTATAGCTATACAATGTGTTTGTGTTTAAAGCTAAGTGTTATTACAAAAGAGTAAAAAAGTTAAAAAAAACTAAAAAGTGTATGAAGTAAAAAAGTTATGGTATGTTAATTTTATTATTGGAGAAAGAAAAAATGTATATATTTTCATCTCAGTCAAAATTATTTCTTCAAAGGCAAAGGAAAATAATTTTTATAAATTTAATGTAGCCTATGTATACAGTGTTTATAAAGTCTACAGTAGTGTACAGTAATATCTTTGGCCCTCACATTCATTCACCATTCATTCATTGACTCTCCCAGAGCAATTTCTGTGCCTGCAAGCTCCATTTATGGTAAGTGCCCTATACAAGTGAACCGTTTTAAAAATCTTTTGTATCACATTTTTACTGTGCCTTTGCTATGTTTAGATACACAAATACCATTGTGTTCCAATTGCCTACAGTATTCAGGACAGTAACATGCTGTACAGATTTGTAGCCTAGGGACAATAGGCTATACCATATAGCCTAGGTGTGTACTAGGATATACTATTTAGGTTTGTGTAAGTACATTCTATGATGTTCACACAATGACAAAATTGCTTAATGATGCATTTCTCAGAACATAGTGCATTGTTAAGTGATGCATGTCTGTGTGTGTGGTATACTTGAGTAATTAAAACCATAGTGTAATATTCCATATTCTGCTTTTCTGAGAGAATTCGTTGGTTAAGATATTTATCAACCTCATTTTAAGTTGGCTGCATATTAATTGATTATAGTGAGGTACCATAACTTATAGCTATTTTTCTATTGTTGAAAGTTAGGTGTTTTCTTTTTGCTTTTATAGATAATGCTACAATGAGCATCCTTATGAATACATCCTTAGAAGTGGATTCAATAGTTTTTTTGGTTGTTGTTGTTATTGTTGTTTAGAAACAAGGTCTCACTCTTTTGCCCAGGCTAGGGTGCACTGGCATGACCATAGCTCACTGCAGCCTTGGACTCTTGGCCTCAAGTGATCCTTTCACTTCAGCCTCCTGAGTAGCTGGGACGACAGGTGCACACAACCATGCTCAGATAGTTTTTAAATTTTTTGTAGAGATGGGAGTCTCACTATATTGCCCAGGCTCTTCTCAAATCCCTGGTCTCAAGTGATCCTCCCTCCTCAACCTCCCAAAGCACTGGGATTATAGGTATGAGAGACTATGCCCAGCCCCTCATTGGTTTTGAGTATTATTATTTTTTAAAAAAACTTTGTTAACTTGATGAAAATGTATTTCATAATTTTGGATTTTATTAATTACTTTAAAGGTGGAAATATGTTGCTTATGTTTTTTACAAGTTATATATCTTCTTTTGTGAGTTGTCTGTTTACGTTCATTGCCCATATTGTATTGGAAGCTTGCTGGTTTCATTATATTTATATGATTCCTATATTTAGTTAAAGGTAATAACGTTTTTCTTTTGTGGCAAATACTTAATCAGGTTTTAAAATCTTTTAAGTTTGCTTTTTTATGTTTAGGAGTTTACAAACTTTTTGATATTTTCCTTGATGGATTCATCCCTTAATTGTATATTTAGGAAGCTCTTCAAGAACCAGATAAACCTGAACATGTTGAAAATACAAGGGCTGTTGTAGAGGAGTTGAAATCAAGGGCGCTATGAAAGAACATAGCTTTCAGAGCTGCAGGAAGGCTCTCTGAGAGTAGAAAGGAAGAATCAGGTTTTTTTTTTTTTGTTTGTTTGTTTTGTTTTCTGAGACGGAGTTTCGCTCTTGTTGCCCAGGCTGGAGTGCAATGGTGCAATCTCGGCTCACTGCAACCTCCGCCTCCCAGGTTCAAGCTATTCTCCTGCCTCAGCCTCCCGAGTAGCTGGGATTACAGGCATGCGCCACCACACCAGGCTAATTTTGTATTTTTAGTAGAGATGGGGTTTCTCCATGTTGGTCAAGCTGGTCTCGAACTCCTGACCTAAGGTGATCCACCCACCTCGGCCTCCCAAAGTGCTGGGATTACAGGCATGAACCACCACGCCCGTCTGGAAGAATGAGTCTTAAAGACTGCTTTAAAGAAATTTTTTTTGGCTGGGAGCAGTGGCTCGTGCCTGTAATCCCATCAGTTTGGGAGGCCGAGGCAGGCGGATCACCTGAGGCCAGAATTTCAAGACCAGCCTGGCCAACCTGGCGAAACCCTGTCTCTACTAAAAAAATACAAAAATTAGCTGGGCGTGGTGACGCCTGCCTGTAGTCCCAGCTACTCAGTGCTGATGCATAAGAATAGCTTGAACCCGGAGGCAGATTGTGGCTTTTCTAGCTCTTTAAGATGCATCTTTAGATGTTTAATTGAAGGCTTTCCTCTTTCTCTATTTTTTTTTGTTTTGAGACGGAGTCTCACTCTGTCACCCATGCTGGAGTAAAGTGGAACGAACTCGGCTCACTGCAACCTCTGCCTCCCAGGTTCAAGCAATTCTCCTGCCTCATCCTTCTGAGTAGCTGGGATTTCAGGTGCCTGCCACCATGTCTGGCTAATTTTTTATTTTTTAGTAGAGACGGGGTTTCACCATATTGGCCAGGCTGGTCTTGAACTCTTGACCTAAGGTAATCTGTCCACCTCGGCCTCCCAAAGTGCTGGGATTACAGGTGTGAGCCACCACACCTGGCCTGAATGCCTTCCTCTTTTTTGATGTAGGCACTGATAGCTATAAACTTTCCTCTGAGTACTGCTTTTGCTATATCTCATAGGTTTTTGTACATTGTGTTTCCATTATTTGTTTCAATAAATTTTTCAATTTCCTTCTTAATTTCTTCATTGGCCCATTGGCCATTCAGGAGCATATTGTTTAAATTCCATGTATTTATGTAGTTTCCAAAATTCTACTTGTTATTGATTTCTAATTTTATTTCATCGTGGTCAGAGAAAATTCTTGATATTATTACAGTTTTTCTTTTGAATCTCTTAAGGCTTGTTTTGTGACCTAACATGTGGTCTATCCTTGAGAAAGATCCATGTGCTGAGGAAAAGAATGTGTATTCTGAAGCCATTGGAAGAAATGTTCCATAAATAACTATTAGATCTATTTGGTCTATAGTGCAGGTTAAGTCCAATGTTCCTTTGTTGATTTTATGTCTGGAAGACCTGTCTGATGCTGAAAATGGGGTTTTAAAGTCTCCAGATATTATTGCATTGGGGCCTATCTCTCTCTCTACTCTAATAATATTTCCTTTATATATCTGGGTGCTCAAGTGTTGGGTGCCTATATATTTAAAATTATTATATCCTCTTGCTGAATTGACCCATTTATCATTATATAGTGAACTTCCTTGTCTCTTCTTATAGTTTTTGTCTTTTTTTCATATATTTTTTAAATTATACTTTAAGTTCTAGGGTACACGTGCACAATGTGCAGGTTATTTACATATGTATACGTGTGCCATGTTGGTGTGCTGCACCCATTAACTCGTCCTTTACATTAGGTATATCTCCTAATGCTATCCCTCCCCCCTCCCCCTACCCAACAACAGGCCCCAGTGTGTGATGTTCCCCTTCCTGTGTCCAAGTGTTCTCATTGTTCAATTCCCACCTATGAGTGAGAACATGCGGTGTTTGGTTTTTTATCCTTGCGATAGTTTGCTGAGAATGATGCTTTCCAGCTTCATCCATGTCCCTGCAAAGGACATGAACTCATCATTTTTTATGGCTGCATAGTATTCCATGGGGTATATGTGCCACATTTTCTTAATCCAGTCTATCATTGTTGGACATTTGGGTTGGTTCCAAGTCTTTGCTATTGTGAATAGTGCCGCAATAAACATACGTGTGCATGTGTCTTTATAGCAGCATGATTTATAATCCTTTGGGTATATACCCAGTAATGGGATGGCTGGGTCAAATGGTATTTCTAGTTCTAGATCCCTGAGGAATCACCACACTGTCTTCCACAATGGTTGAACTAGTTTACAGTGCCACAAACATTGTAAAAGTGTTCCTATTTCTCCACATCCTCTCCAGCACCTGTTGTTTCCTGACTTTTTAATGATTGCCATTCTAACTGGTGTGAGATGGTATCTCATTGTGGTTTTGATTTGCGTTTGTCTGATGGCCAGTGATGATGAGCATTTTTTCATGTGTCTGTTGGCTGCATAAATGTCTTCTTTTGAGAAGTGTCTGTTCATATCCCTCGCCCACTTTTTGATGGGGTTTTTTGTTTTTTTCTTGTAAATTTGAGTTCATTGTAGATTCTGGATATTAGCCCTTTGTCAGATGAGTAGATTGCAAAAATTTTCTCCCATTCTGTAGGTTGCCTGTTCACTCTGATGGTAGTTTCTTTTGCTGTGCAGAAGCTCTTTAGTTGAATTAGATCCCATTTGTCAATTTTGGCCTTTGTTGCCATTGCTTTTGGTGTTTTAGACATGAAGTCCTTGTCCATGCGTATGTCCTGAATGGTAATGCCTAGGTTTTCTTCTAGGGTTTTTATGGCTTTAGGTCTAACGTTTAAGTCTTTAATCCATCTTGAATTAATTTTTGTATAATTTGTAAGGAAGGGATCCAGTTTCAGCTTTCTCCATATGGCTAGCCAGTTTTCCCAGCACCATTTATTAAAAAGGGAATCCTTTCCCCATTTCTTGTTTTTGTCAGGTTTGTCAAAGATCAGATGGTTGTAGATATGCAGCATTATTTCTGAGGGCTCTGTTCTGTTCCATTGGTCTATATCTCTGTTTTTGTACCAGTACCATGCTGTTTTGGTTACTGTAGCCTTGTAGTATAGTTTGAAGTCAGGTAGCGTGATGCCTCCAGCTTTGTTCTTTTGGCTTAGGATTGACTTGGCAATGCGGGGTCTTTTTTGGTTCCATATGAACTTTAAAGTAGATTTTTCCAATTCTGTGAAGAAAGTCATTGGTAGCTTGATGGGGATGGCACTGAATTTATAAATTACCTTGGGCAGTATGGCCATTTTCACGATATTGATTCTTCCTACCCATGAGCATGGAATGTTCTTCCATTTGTTTGTATCCTCTTTGATTTCCTTGAGCAGTGGTTTGTAGTTCTCCTTGAAGAGGTCCTTCACATCCCTTGTAAGTTGGATTCCTAGGTATTTTATTCTCTTTGAAGCAATTGTGAATGGGAGTTCACTCATGATTTGGCTCTCTGTTTGTCTGTTATTGGTGTATAAGAATGCTTGTGATTTTTGCACATTGATTTTGTATCCTGAGACTTTGCTGAAGTTGCCTATCAGCTTAAGGAGATTTTGGGCTGAGACGATGGGATTTTCTTGATATACAGTCATGTCATCTGCAAACAGGGACAATTTGACTTCCTCTTTTCCTAATTGAATACCCTTTATTTCCTTCTCCTGCCTGATTGCCCTGATCAGAACTTCCAACACTATGTTGAATAGGAGTGGTGAGAGAGGGCATCCCTGTCTTGTGCCAGTTTTCAAAGGGAATACTTCCAGTTTTTGCCCATTCAGCATGATCTTGGCTGTGGGTTTGTCATAAATAGTTGTTATTATTTTGAAATACGTCCCATCAGTACCTAATTTATTGAGGGTTTTTAGCATGAAGGTTGTTGAATTTTGTCAAAGGCCTTTTCTGCATCTATTGAGATAATCATGTGGTTTTTGTCGTTGATTCTGTTTATATGCTGGATTATGTTTATTGATTTGCATATGTTGAACCAGCCTTGCATCCCAGGGATGAAGCCCACTTGATCATGGTGGATAAGCTTTTTGATGTGCTGCTGGATTCGGTTTGCCAGTATTTTATTGAGGATTTTTGCATTGATGTTCATCAGGGATATTGGTCTAAAATTCTCTTTTTTTGTTGTGTCTCTGCCAGGCTTTGGTATCAGAATGATGCTGGCCTCATAAAATGAGTTAGGGAGGATTCCCTCTTTTTCTACTGATTGGAATAGTTTCAGAAGGAATGGTACCAGCTCCTCCTTGTACCTCTGGTAGAATTTGGCTGTGAATCCATCTGGTCCTGGACTTTTTTTGGTTGGTAAGCTATTAATTATTGCCTCAATTTCAGAGCCTGTTATTGATGTATTCAGAGATTCAACTTCTTCATGGTTTAGTATTGGGAGGGTGTATGTGTCAAGGAATTTATCCATTTCTTCTAGATTTTCTAGTTTATTTGCATAGAGGTGTTTATAGTATTCTCTGATGGTAGTTTGCATTTCTGTGGGATTGGTGGTGATATCCCCTTTATCATTTTTTATTGCATCTATTTGATTCTTCTCTCTTTTCTTCTTTATTAGTCTTGCTAGCAGTCTATCAATTTTCTTGATCTTTTGAAAAAAGCAGCTCCTGGATTCACTGATTTTTTGAAGGGTTTTTTGTGTCTCTATTTCCTTCAGTTCTGTTCTGATCTTAGTTATTTCATGTCTTCTGCTAGCTTTTGAATGTGTTTGCTTTTGTTTCTCTAGTTCTTTTAATTGTGATGTTAGGGTGTCAATTTTAGATCTTTCCTGCTTTCTCTTGTGGGCATTTAGTGCTATAACTTTCCCTCTACACACTGCTTTAAATGTGTCTCAGAGATTCTGGTATGTGGTCTGTTTGTTCTCGTTGGTTTCAAAGAACATCTTTATTTCTGCCTTCATTTCGTTATGTACCCAGTAGTCATTCAGGAGCAGGTTTTTCAGTTTCCGTGTACTTGAGCAGCTTTGAGTGAGTTTCTTAATCCTGAGTTCTAGTTTGACTGCACTATGGTCTGAGAGACAGTTTGTTATAATTTCTGTTCTTTTACATTTGCTGAGGAGTGCTTTACTTCCAACTATGTGGTCAATTTTGGAATAAGTGCTGTGTGGTGCTGCGAAGAATGTACATTCTGTTGATTTGGGGTGGAGAGTTCTGTAGATATCTACTAGATCCACTTGGTGCAGAGCTGAGTTCAATTCCTGGATATCCTTGTTACCTTTCTGTCTCATTGATCTGTCTAATGTTGACAGTGGGGTGTTAAAGTCTCCCATTATTAATGTGTGGGAGTCTAAGTCTCTTTGTAGGTTTCTAAGGACTTGCTTTATGAATCTGGGTGCTGCTGTATTGGGTGCATATATATTTAGGATAGTTAGCTCTTCTTGTTTAACCGATCCCTTTACCATTATGTAATGGCCTTTGTCTCTTTTGATCTTTGTTGGTTTAAAGTCTGTTTTATCAGAGACTAGATTTGCAACCCCTGCCTTTTTTTGTTTTCCATTTGCTTGGTAGATCTTCCTCCATCCCTTTATTTTGAGCCTATGTGTGTCTCTGCACGTGAGATGGGTTTCCTGAATACAGCATACTGATGGGTCTTGACTCTTATTCCAATTTGCCAGTCTGTGTCTTTTAATTGGAACATTTAGCCCATTTACATTTAAGGTTAATATTGTTATGTGTGAATTTGATCCTGTCATTCTGATGTTAGCTGGTTATTTTGCTCGTTAGTTGATGCAGTTTCTTCCTAGCCTTGATGATCTTTACAATTTGGGATGTTTTTGCAGTGGCTGGTACCAGTTGTTCCTTTCCATGTTTAGTGCTTCCTTCAGGACCTCTTTTAGGGCAGGCCTGGTGGTGACAAAATCTCTCCACATTTGCTTTCCTGTAAAGGATTTTATTTCTCCTTCACTTATGAAGCTTAGTTTGGTTGGATATGAAATTCTGGGTTGAAAGTTCTTTTCTTTAGGAATGTTGAATATTGGCCCCCACTGTCTTCTGGCTTGTAGAGTTTCTGCTGAGAGATCAGCTGTTAGTCTGATGGGCCTCCCTTTGTGGGTAACCCGACCTTTCTCTCTGGCTGCCCTTAACATTTTTTCCTGCATTTCAACTTTGGTGAATCTGACAATTATGTGTCTGGGAGTTGCTCTTCTCGAGGAGTATCTTTGTAGCATTCTCTGTATTTCCTGAATTTGAATGTTGCCCTGCCTTGATAGATTGGGGAAGTTCTCCTGTATAGTATCCTGCAGAGTGTTTTCCAACTTGGTTCCACTCTCCCCATCACTTTGAGGTATACCAATCAGACATAGATTTGGTCTTTTCACATAGTCCCATATTTCTTGGAGGCTTTGTTCATTTCTTTTTATTCTTTTTTCTCTAAACTTCTTTTCTCGCTTCATTTCATTCTTTTGATTTTCAATCACTGATACCTTTTCCTCCAGTTGATCGAATTGGCTACTGAAGCTTGTGCATGTGTCATGTAGTTCTTGTGCCATGGTTTTCAGCTCCATCAGGTCCTTTAAGGACTTCTCTGCATTGGTTATTCTAGTTAGCCATTCATCTAATCTTTTTTCAAGGTTTTTAACTTCTTTGCGATGGTTTTGACCTTCTTCCTTTAGCTCAGAGAAGTTTGATCGTCTGAAGGCTTCTTCTCTCAGCTCGTCAAAGTCATTCTCCATCCAGTTTTGTTCCATTGCTGGTGAGGAGCTGTGTTCCTTTGGACAAGGAGAGGTGCTCTGATTTGTAGAATTTTCACTTTTTCTGCTCTGTTTCTTCCCCATCTTTTTGGTTTTATCTACCTTTGGTCTTTGATGATGGTGACGTACAGATGGGGTTTTGGTGTGGATGTCCTTTCTGTTTGTAATTTTCCTTCTGACAGTGAGGACCCTCAGCTGCAGGTCTGTTGGAGTTTGCTGGAGGTCCACTCCAGACCCTGTTTGCCTGGGTATCAGCAGCAGAGGCTGCAGAACAGCGAATATTGCTGAACAGCAAATGTTGCTGCCTGATCGTTCCTCTGGAGGTTTCATCTCAGAGAGGTACCCGGCCGTGTGAGGTGTCAGTCTGCCCCTACTGGGGAGTGCCTCCCAGTTAGGCTACTCGGGGGTCAGGGACCCACTTGAGGAGGCAGTCTCTCTGTTCTCGGATCTCAAACTCTGTGCTGGGAGAACCACTACTCTCTTCAAAGCTGTCAGACAGGGACATTTAAATCTGCACAGGTTTCTGCTGCCTTTTATTCGGCTATACCCTGCCCCCAGAGGTGAAGTCTACAGAGGCAGGCAGGCCTCCTTGAGCTGCAGTGGGCTCCACCCAGTTCAAGCTTCCTGGCCGCTTTGTTTACCTACTCAATTCTCAGCAATGGTGGGCGCCCCTCCCCCAGCCTCACTGCCGCCTTGCAGTTCGATCTCAGACTGCTGTGCTAGCAATGAGTGAGGCTCTGTGGGCATGACACCCTCTGAGCCAGGCGTGGGATATAATCTCCTAGTGTGCCGTTTGCTAAGACCATTGGAAGAGCGTAGTATTAGGGTGGGAGTGACCCGATTTTCCAGGTGCCTTCTGTCACAGCTTTTCTTGGCTAGGAAAGGGAATTCCCTGACCCATTGCATTTCCTGGGTGAGGTGATGTCTCTCCCTGCTTCGGCTCATGCTCAGTGCGCTGTACCCACTGTCTTGCACCCACTGTCTGACAATCCCCAGTGAGATGAACCCAGTACCTGAGTTGGAAATGCAGAAATCACCCATCTTCTGCGTTGCTCATGCTGGGAGCTGTAGACTGGAGCTGTTACTATTTGGCCATCTTGGAACTGCCATAGTTTTTGTCTTGAACTTTATTTTGTCTAATACAAGTAGAGCTACTCAAGCTCTTTTTTGGTTTCCATTAGCATGGAATATATTTTTCCATCCCTTTATTTTCAGTCTATATCTGTATTTATAGGTGAAGTGTGTTTCTTGTAGGCAACAGATCAATGGCTCTGGTTTTTTCATCCATTCAGCCACTCTATGTCTTTTCATGGGAGAGTTGAGTCCATTTACATTCAATATTACATTCATTACATTACATTATATTCATTACATGCATTACATTCAATATTATTATTGATACGTAAGGTCTTACTCCTGCCATTTTGTTATTTGTGTTCTGGTTGTTTTTTCTGGTCTTCTCTTCCTTCTGTCTTTTCTTCCTCTCTTCTTTTATCGGAAGTGATTTTCTCTGGTGATATGTTTTAGTTTCTTGCTTTTTATTTTTTGTGTATCCGTTGTATATTTTTTAATTTAAGGTTACCGTGAGGCTTACAAATACTATCTTATTTGTAAGCCTCATTATTTTAACCTGATAACAACTTTAACGCTGTTTGCATAAACAAACAAGCAAAAATAAAACTAATAGACTCTATTCCTTAACTTAATTTTTCTGCATTTTAACTTCTCATTGTTTCTATTTATATATTATTATTGTACTGACTATATCTTGAAAAGTTGTTCTAGTTATAATATTTGATTGGTTTATTGTTTAGTCTTTATATTTAGGCTAAGAGTAGTTTGCACACCACTGTTACAGTGTTACAATATTGTTTTTCTGTGTACTTACTATTATTGGAGCTCCATTGTATGTTATTCGCTTCTTTTCTCTTGCCACTTTTAGGATCCTTTCTTTATCCTTGACCTTTGGGAGTTTGATTATTAAGTGCCTTGAGGTAGTACTCTTTGGGTTAAATCTGCTTGGTGTTCTGTAATCTTTACCTTGAATATTGCTATCTTTCTCTAGGTTTGGGAAGTTCTCTGTTATTATCCCTTTGAATAAACTTTCTACCCCTATCTCTTTCTCTACCTCCTGTTTAAGGCCAATAATTCTTAGATTTGCCCATTTGAGGCCATTTTCTAGATCCTGTTGCTGTGTTTCATCATTTATTCTTCTTTTTTTGTCTCCTTTGACTGTGTATTTCAAATAAACTGTCTTCAGGCTCACTAATTCTGTCTTCTACTTGATCAGTTCCACTATTAAAGGACTCTGATGCATTTTTTAGTACGCCTATTGCATTTTTCACTCAGGCATTTCTGATTGAGTCTTTTTACTTATTATAATCTCTTTGTTAAATTTATCTGATAGAATTCTGAATTCCTTCTCTGTGTTACCTTGAATTTCTTTGAGTTTCCTGAACACAGCTATTTTGTATTCTCTGTCTGAAAGATCATGTATCTCTATTTCTCCAGGGTTGATCCCTGGTGGCTTGTTTAGTTTATTTGGTGAGGTCATGTTTTCCTGGATGGTGTTGATGCCTGTAGATATTTGTTGGTGTCTGGCCATTGAAGAATTAAGTATTTATTGTAGTCTTCACTGTCTGGGTTTATTTGTACCCCTTCATCTTCGGAGGGCTTTTTAGATATTTGAAAGGACTTGAGTATTGTAACCTCAGCTGTATCTGCTTTAGGGGGCACCCCAAGCCCAGTAACACTGTGGTTCTTGCAGACTCATAGAGGTACTGCCTTGATGGTCTTGGACAAGATCCAGAAGAACTCTCTGGATTACCAGGCAGAGACTCCTGTTCTCTTTTCTTACTCTCTCCCAAACAATCAGAGTCTCTCTCTTTTTGTTCTGAGCCACCTAAAGGTGGGGGTGGAATGACATAAGCATCCCTGTGGCCACCACTACTATAACTGTGCTGGGTTAGACCTAAAGCCAGCACAGCACTGGGCCTCACCCAAAGCCTGCTGTAACTACTCCCTAGCTACTGCCTATGTTCTCTCTAGGCCCTGGGGCTCTACGCTCAGCCCAGGGGCAAAGCCTGCTAGGCCTGCATCCTTCCCGTCAGGGTGGCGAGGTCTCCCAGGCCCTGGGTTGGTCCAGAGGTGCTGTCCAGGAATTAGGGAATAGAGTCAAAACCTTAGACCTCTACCTGGTGTTCTAGTGTACTGTGGCTGAGCTGGCAATCATGCCACAAGATGCAGTCTTTCTCAGTCTTGCCTCACCTTTCCAAAGGCAGAGGAGCACTCACCTTATAGCCACCACCACCCCAGACCATGAGAACTGCCAGACTACTGCAAATGTTCCCTTAATGCCCAATACCTCTTAAGTCAGCTTGTGGTAAATGCTGCTTGGCCTGGGACTCACCCTTCAGGGAAATGGGCTCCTCTTTGGTCCAGGTCAGGTCCAGAAATGCCATCCAAGAGTCAAGTCACAGAATTTGTGACCCCAGGAACCCACTTGGTGCTCTATCCCCCTGTGGCCATGATGGTTGGTACCTAAGTTGCAACACAAAGTCCCCTTTACTTTTCCTTCTGCTTTTCTCAAGCAGAAGGGGTTTTGCCTAGTAGCCACCACAGCTGGTAATGTGCTGAGTCTCACCTGAATCCAGCGAGTTTCACAGGCTCATTGAAGGCCCTCAATGTAGTACCTGGGTATCACTTCTGGTTATTCAGGGCTCAAGGGCTCTTCAGTTAACAGGTGATGAAGGCTGACAGGACTGAGTCCTTTCTTTCAAGTCAGCAGGTTCATTTCTGGCCAGGGTGTGTCTAGAAATGTTATCTTGGAGGTAGGGCCTGGAAGAGAGGCCTCACAACACTGGCCAGTGCCCTAGCCTGCTGTGGCTGAGCTGGTATCCAAGATGCAAGACAAAGTCCTTCCCATTCTTCTGTCTCCTCTCTTCAAGCAGAAGGAAGAGGTCTCTTTTGGAGCCATGAGCTGTGCAGCCTGTGGTTAAGGCAGGGTTGATGCCAGCACTCCCTTGGCTGCTCCAGCTGGTATCTCAGTATGTCACATGCCCCTGCACCCCCAAAAGTCCACTGTTTCTGGGCCTAGTTCAATACTAGGACTCGCCTAAGAGTTGCAGTCCTTATGGCCTAGACTGCCTTTCAAGTTTACTTGGAGATACAGAACATTGCAGCCCTTGGTGGCAAGGTCTACAGGAACTCAAGTTCTGACTGCTGGGATCAGCAAGTCCCCTCTGGCTAGGGCAGATTCAAATACTCCCTTCATGGGTGGTCATCGGCTGAGTTTGGTTTAGTTTTCCTTTCTGCTCTAACAGAACAGCATTGAGTTAACTGCTTCACAATACTGTGTTATCCCTCCCCCAGCACCCAGGGACACTCTGTACCATGCTGCCATTGCCAGGGGTGATTCAGGACTTTTTTTTTTAATACTTCTTCTGTGCCTCTTTCAGCAATATGAAGTTAAAAGCAGGTACTATGAGTGTTCACCTAACTTTTGGTTCTTATAAAGGTGTCTTTTCTGTGTAGATAGTTGTTAAATTGGCGTCCTTGTGGGTGGGGGACCATCAGTGGAGCCTTCTATTCTGCCATCTTGCTCTGGTTCTCCTATTTTTATTTTTATTTTTTTTGTAAAGATGGAGTCTTCCTATGTTGCCCAGGCTGATCTTGAAATCTGAGGCTCTTGTGATCCTCCCACCTTGGTTTCCCAAAGTGCTAGGATTACAGGCATAAGCTACCATGCCTGGCCTACATGATTTACATGTAGAAAACCTTAAGGGCTCCACCAAAAAACTGTTAGAACTGATAACTAAATTTAGTAAAGTTGCAGGATACAAAAATTAAGAAAGCAATCCCATTTACAATAGCAGCAACAACAGTAAAAATGCTTAGGAGTAAATTTAACTAAGGAGGTAATAGAATTGCATACTACAAAGTATAAAAAACTAGTGAAATAAATAGAAGAAAATATGAATAAATAAAAATGTATCCCATGTTCATGGATCAGAAGAATTAATATTCTTAAAATGGCCATACTACCCAAAGCAATAGACAGATTCAATGCAACCACTATCAAAATTCCAATATTAGTTTTCACAGAAATAGAAAAAAAAATCCTTAAATTCATATGGAACCACAAAATACCCCCAAAAACCAAAACAATCTTGAGCAAAATGAACAAAGTTGGAGGCATAACACTCCCTGATTTCAAACTATATTATAAGGTGATGGTGATTAAAACAGCATGGTACTGGCATAAAAAAGACACATCAACCAACGGAACAGGATAGAAAGCCCAGAAATAAACTAATGAATTTATAGTCAATTGCTTTTCAACAAAGGTGCCAAGGACACACAATGAGGAAATTAAAAGTAAATGATGTTGGGAAAATTGAATAGCCACATGCAGAAGAATGAAATTTGATCCTTATTTCACCCCATGTACAAAAACCAACCCGAAATTATTTGAAGACTTAAATATAAGACCTGAAACTATAAAACTACTAGAAGAAAACATAAGGGAAACATTCAACAATACTGGTCTGAGCAATGATTTTTTTTTTTTATATGATCCTGAAAACACAGGCAGCAAGAGAAAAAATAGGCAAAGGGAATTACATCAAACTTAAAGGTTTTTGCACAACAAAGGAAACAATTAACAAAGAGACAACCATGGAGTGGGAGAATCTGATAAAGGATTAATATACAAAATATATAGAAAACTCAATAGCAAGAAAACAAACAACCTGATTAAAAGATGGGTAAAGTGGGTGATGGGATCAACTATAACCCAAACCTTAGCATCCTGTAGTGTTCCTAGGTGACAGACCTGCACATGCACCCCCAGGATCTAAAATAAAAGGTGAAATTATTTTTTTAAATTATAAAAATGGGCAAAGGACCTGAACAGGTTTTTTGTTTTTTTTTTTTTTGAGATGGAGTCTTGCTCTGTCACCCAGTCTGGAGTGCAGTGGCGTGATCTCGGCTTGCTGCAAGCTCCACCTCCCCCGGGTTCATGCCATTCTCCTGCCTCAGCCTCCCAGGTAGCTGGGACTACAGGCACCCACCACCACGCCTGGCTAATTTTTTGTATTTTTAGTAGAGATGGGGTTTCACCATGTTAGCCAGGATGGTCTCTGTCTCCTGAGCTCGTGATCTGCCTGTCTCAGCCTCCCAAAATGCTGTGATTACAGCCGTGAGCCACTGCGCCCAGCCTCTGAATAGGTATTTCTTTCTTTCTTTCTTTTTTTTTTTTTGAGACGGAAGTCTCGCTCTGTTGCCCAGGCTGGAGTGCAGTGGCGCTATCTCCGCTCACTGCAAGCTCCGCCTCCTGGGTTCACGCCATTCTCCTGCCTCAGCCCCCCCGAGTAGCTGGGACTACAGGCGCCTGCCACCACGCCCTGCTAATTTTTTGTATTTTTAGTAGAGACAGGGTTTCACCGTGTTAGCCAGGATGGTCTCGATCTCCTGACCTTGTGATCCACTTGCCTCAGCCTCCCAAAGTGCTGGGATTACAGGAATGAGCCACTGTGCCCGGCCCTGTACAGGTATTTCTTAAAGGAAGACATACAAATAGCCAACCGGCTCATGAAAAATTGTTTAGTATCACTAATCATAGGGAAATGCAAATTAAAATCACCATGAGCTATCATCTCACACCTGTTAGAATGGCTTTTATTTTTAATTTCAATAGCTTTTTGGGGAACATTTGGTGTTTAGTTATATTAGTAAGTTCTTTAGTGGTGATTTCTGAGATTTTGTGCATCCATTACCAGAGCAGTGTACACTGTACCCAATGTGTAGTCTTTTAACCCTCTTCCCCCTCCCACCCTTTCCCCTCAGTCCCCAAAGTCCATGGTATTATTCTTATGCCTTTGTGTCCTCATAGCTTAGCTCCCACTTATGAGTGAGAACATATGATGTTTGGTTTTCCATTCCTGAGTTACTTCACTTAGAATAATGGTCTCCAAATTCCATTCAAGTTGCTGCAAATGCCATTATTTCATTCATTTTTATGGCTGAGTAGTGTTCCATGGTGTATATATATATCACATTTTCTTTATCCACTCATTGATTGATGGGCATTTGGGCTGGTTCCATATTTTTGCAATTGCGAATTGTGCTGCTATAAACATGCATGTGCAAGTATCTTTTTCATATGGATGACTTATTTTCCTCTGGGTAAATACCCAGGAGTGGGATTGCTGGATCAAATGGTAGATCTATTTTTAGTTCTTTAAGGAATCTCCAAACTATTTTCCACAGTGGTTGTACCAGTCTACATTCCCACCAGCAGTGTAATAGTTTTCCCTTTTCACCACATCCACACCAACACCCATTATTTTTTGATTATGGCCATAACAAATTTTATCAAAAAGAGGAAAGACAATGAGTATTGGTGAGGATGTGAAGAAAAGGGAACCCTTGCACAGTGTTGGTGGCAATGCAAATGAATACTTCATAATGGAAGACAATATAGAGGTTCCTCAAAAAACTAAAAATAGAAATATCATATGATCTGGCAACCCCACTTCTGGATATATATCCAAAGGAATTGAAATCAGTATATTAAAGGAATATCTGCACTCTCATCTTCATTGCAGCATATTTCACAATAGACAAGATATATCAACCTAAGTGTCCATCAGCAGATGAATGAATAAAGAAAATTTGGTATATCTACGTAATGCAATACTATTCAGCCATACAAAAGAAGGAAATTCCAACATTTGTAACAGTGGAAGATATTACACCACATGAAATAAGCAGACACAGAAAGACAAATACAGCATGATCTCACATGTGGAATCGAAAAGAGTTAACTCATAGAAGTAGAGAATGGAATAGTGTTTACCAGAGGCTGAGGGGTAGAGAAAGGGTCTGGAGGGAAGGAATAGGGAGTTATTGGTCAAAGGATACAAAGTTTCAGTTAGACAGGAGGAATAAATTTTGAGATTTATTGCACAGTAGGGTGGCTATAGGCAATAGTAATATATTGCATATTTCTTTCTTTTTTTTTTTTTTTTTGAGACAGAGTCTCGCTCTGTTGCCCAGGCTGGAGTGGTGCAGTGGTGTGATCTTGGCTCACTGCAACCTCCACCTCCCAGGTTCAAGTGATTCTCCTGCCTCAGTCTCCTGAGTAGCTGGGATTACAGGCATGTACCACAATGGCCGGCTAATTTTTTGTATTTTTAGTGGAGATGGGGTTTCACCATGTTGGCCAGGCTGGTCTCAAACTCCTGACCTCAAATGATCCGCCTGCCTCAGCCTCCCAAAGTGCTTGGATTAAAAGCGTGAGGCACCACACCCGGCCTATTGTATATTTCAAAAGCCAGGAGAGGCTGGGTGCAGTGGCTCACATCTGTAATCCCAGCACTTTGGGAGGCCAAGGCAGGAGGATCACTTGGGCCCAGGAGTTCAAGACCAGCCTGGGCCACATGATGAGATCCTGTCTCTACAAAAAATACAAAACATTTGCTAGTGAGGTGGTGTGTGCCTGTAGTCCCAGCTACTGGGGAGGCTGAGATGGGAGGATCACCAGAGCCCGAGAGGTCAAGACTGCAGTACCATATATTATTGGTGGGAATGCAAAATGGTGCAGCCTCTTTGAAAAACTGTTAGCAGATCCTCATCTGGTTGACCATAGAGGTAGCGTATAACCCAGCAATTCCACTGCTAGATATATACCCAGGAGATATGAAAACATGTATTTATATAAACTTGTACATGAATGTTCATAGCATTATTCATAATACCTGAAAAGTGGAAACAACCCAAATGTCTAGCAACTGATAAATGAAATGAAATGTGGTATATTAATACAATGGAATACTATTCAGCCATAAAAAGGAATGCAGTATCACTACATGCTACAATGTAGATGAACCTTCAAAACATCATGCTACATGGAAGAAGTCAGTCACAAAAGACCGTGTATTGTGTGATTCCATTTATATGAAATGTTCGGAATAGGAAAATCCACAGAAACAGAAAGTAGATTAGAGCTCACCAGGGACTAGGAGGAGGGGGTAATAAGGAGATATTGCTTAATGGTTTCAGAGGTTTGGTTTGGAGCGATGAAAAAGTTTTGGAAATATGGTGGTGAGGCTGCACAACACTGTAAATACAATTAATACCCTTGAGTTGTACACTTAAAAATGGTAAAATGGCAAATTTTGTTATATATATTTTACCACAATAAAACATTCAAAAAAATGTTTTCTTTAAAAGAGAAAAGCAAAACTAAAGAACCCCCCAAAATGATTGCTAGGAAGCCACTATTGGATGGCTTGGGTCTTCTTAGTAAAACATGAGAGGGGTGCATCTACACAGCTAGACCAAAGAGTGCCTGATCCAGAACAGACTGGAGCTGAGAACTTGAGACAAAGGAGATGTGTTATGTCTCACATGAACAAATGCAGTGTTTGTTACCTATTCTTATGATAAGAATCACTTGAGGGTTTGTTGAATCTGTAGATCAGTGATTCTCAAAGTGTGGCCCAAGGACTCCTAGGGGTCCGTGAAGTCTTCTCTTTTGCAATTACATATTTATTAGAGGCCAGATTTTCTCCCGATACTTCAGGCAAAACAACATATAACAACAGATTGAATGCAAAAGCAGATATGAGAATCCAGCTGTCTTCTATCAAGGCAGACATCAAAGAGGTTTGGAAAAATATATAACAATAGCACGCTTCTAACTGAGTTTTTGAGAATATAGTTATTTTTCATAAAAATGTTATTTATGTTAATGTGTAACAGCTTTATTGTTATTTTTAATGAATTATTAAATAAAAAATTCTGAGGTTTTTTTTTGTTTGTTTGTTTTCAGAGCCAGTGTCTCGCTCTGTCTCCTAGGCTGGAGTGCAGTGGTGCAATTATGGCTCACCGTAGCCTTGACCTCCTGAGCTCAAGCAATCCCCATACCTCAGCCTCCCAAGTAGCTGGGACTACAAGCATGCACCACCATGCCCAGCTAATTGTTTTAAAATTTTTTGTAGATGAGGTCTTGCTATATTGACAGGGCTGATCGGTCTCAAACTCCTGGGCTCAAGCAATCCTCCCAACTCTGACCCCTGAAGTGCTGGGATTACAGGTGTGAGCCACTGGGCCTGGTGGTTCTTCCATTTTCTGTTGCGTACAAGGGAGCTCTAGAAATGACAAACTAAATTATGCTCTGATCCTCCTGTTGAGCTAGGGAGTTAGATGGCTGATGGTGAATACATCTTTCCAAGAGAGAGGATCTCTCCTCTCTGGTCCACTTCTCCCTATTTCCTGGTTCTTCCTTGACATATGCCAGCTGGTGAAGTGCAGCTTGAGAAGTGCAGAAAAGGCAGTGTAGCCCCAGCTACTCCAGAGAGAAGGAAAGCAGTCCCCAGTGGCCAGCCTTTTCAGGAGGAGGAAGGCTGGGGCTGCACTCCAGGCAAATTGGACAGAGCCCACGTGACCTGCAGCCCCGCTAAAGCCCTGGACATGATGTCTTTCTGACTACATAGCCAGGAGTTCAGTGGCTGAGCACTGCAGTGACTTGAAGGTAAGATAAGATAAATTATATTTATTATTTCAAGCCTTTGATTATATTCCTTTTGGGAAGGCACCTGCCCGGATGGCTCTGACAAGCTCCTTGTGCCCGGGCCTAGTGGGCTCAGTCACTGCTTATTTTTTGAGCATGAGCAACGTTTGGCAGTGGCAGTGGGAATGAAAAGAGTGTGTAGGGAGGGGAAGGAGAGTCGTGCTGCCAGGGACTACTCTTCAGACTGGCTTGGGGTTGAACTTTGTTCAGAACCACTGAGCAGTGCAGTCATGCCAGCTTGCCCCTCCCTTCACTCCCACCTCTTCATTACCAAACTTGAAACTATCTCTTAGAGAACAGAAGTCAAAAGTTTCATGCATAAAATCCACATCTTTGAAGGAAAAACACCTAATGAGTCTGTCAAGGTTTTCACATAGGATCACAGTGGCCACCAAATCTTATGCCAAATGCTTAGAAACTCCTAAGATAGTAGCTCCTAACATTTTGTGGGGCCTTTTCAAGATCAATGAAATGCCAAATGTACATCTACGTAAAATTTTGCATACTATTCTAGGGAGTTTGGGTCCAGAGAGTTCAGGCTTTCCATGTACCTTTAATAACCCTGTGACTCCCAAGTTTGGAACCTCTGGTCTACAGTGTCTTTCTTGGTCTGGGACAGCAGTTGGATAGCACTTTTAGGTCTGATGTATTCTTTCTTGGAACACTATTGGTGCTCAGGAAAATTCTGGGGGTCCCATAGAATATATGGTTAGTAAACTAATGCTACATTCTGCCATCTTTATCTAGTATTCACCCTGTCCCCTCTAAATGATGCAATATCCTTGTCAAGTGGTTGTCTAGCATCTGCTGAAACACTTCTAGTAACAGGGACCTATATTTCCTGACACATATTCTAGTTTGTCATTGTGTCTATTTAAACGTACTAAGAACTTAACATTTCTGATGATTCTGTTCTGTAACATATTTGCTCTCTCTAGCCCAGCGTTTATATCATAGATAGAGATATAGATAGATAGATGATAGATAGATAGATAGATAGATAGATAGATAGATATAGATAGATAGATATTCGCTAAATAAGGCATCTATTTCTGGGAAGGGATGTAAACATGAATAAGAAATGGTCGTTGCACATGTTTTTATCTCAAACCAGAGCCCCAGAGCTTACTATTCCCTTTAGGTCGGCATGAAATCCATTAGCCTAGCACTTTGGGGATATGGTGTAAATCAGCTGTTGATCGATCTAGTGATACTAGGTCATCCATCTCACATTTCCCATTTCCGGAGTTTATCTTTCCCCTCCTTTTGAAAATGGGAACAGTTGCCCATTGCCATTTTCTGTCCACATGCTCCATTCGTTGCTATCCCTCAAAGTTCAACACCAAGAGTGAGCTCCTCCTGTGTCCTGGGACCCTACACCATTTTCCAAGTCGTCTCTTCTCTGCTTCCACCTAGAGGAAAAAATAAGGCCTGACTCTAGGATTTGAAGTCTTTTCCCTTTTCATTACAGTGTGATTTTTCTTGCAAATTCTGCCCTGCAGCATGGTGCTTGTGGTCTTGCCAGGCTCATAGCAAGTGCCCCGCTAGAGTAACCCTGGCAGTTATAGCAGAGCTCATGTATCTTGCAAGTCCTCAGAAGTTGTAGCTGTGTTTCAAAAGTTCTAGGTAGCCGAACATCTCTACATAGATAAGTACAATTTGTTTGAAAATAAAAGCGTACTTCCTATTTAAAATGTGATTTAGGCTGAGCATGGTGGCTCATGCCTGTAATCCCTGCACTTTGGGAGGCCGAAGCAGGTGGATCACTTGAGGTCAGTAGTTCGAGACCAGCCGGGCCAACATGGTGAAACCCCATCTCTACTAAAAATACAAAAAATTAGCCAGGCGTGGTGGCAGGCGCCTATAATCCCAGCTAGTTGGGAGGCTGAGGCAGGAGAATTGCTTGAACCCAGGAGGTAGAGGTTGCAGTGAGCTGAGATCATGCCACTGCACTCCAGCCTGGGTGACAGAATGAAACTATATCTCAAAAAAAAAAAAAAGAATAAAAGAAAAAATGTTATTTAAAAAATGTCACATAGCTGATTTTTACTCTTCTGCCAGAGACCACTAAAGGTGGTGTCTCTTCCCTACGGCCCAACATGAACATCATGATCAGCCAGCCTCTTTTCCTCACCAAATCCTGTTTGTTCTTCACAGCAGGCATTGCCCCTTTCATGAAACTCACCCTAATCACACTAGCCCACTCAGATCTCCACGTTAGTAGTTCCACTGATGAGCATTCCAGTCTATGATCACACAAGCCACACAATTTAGCACTTTTTATTTTATAGTCTTATTTGCTATTTCATGTATGTGCAGCTTCTCTGTTGGGTACTCAGATTTGGGTGAGCTTTGGGTTTTGTTTTTTAAGTGAACTGATACCTAAGCTATTTGTTTCACCCATACAATTAGAAAAATAGTGGATGCCTACAGGGTATGATTCAGGAGCACTAGGGAGAACTATCTCAAACCCAAACACCTCTCCTACTAGGCCTTCGTAGTGCCTGTGTACTCAATGTCAATGAGACTTTTATCCTTTTGGTTGTTGTCTCCTGACAACACTCACTATAAAAATGCAAATAACTCTATTCTCCTACCTTGGTAAATATCAGTAAAGAGGCTAACGACTTTTTTAAGTGAAAGCAAGTTTATCAGAAAGGTAAAGGAATAAAGAATGGCTACTCCATAGGCACAGCAGCAAGGCTAGGGATATTTAACCAAGATACCTCAGGGGCTGCTCTGGGGAAGAGGGAGCTCCAAGAAATGCCATCCCCACTTCAACTAGAGCCACTCTACTTTTGTTTTCTGGACTGAAGTTACCCTAAAACTTTATTTATAAACCATTCAGATGCAAAAATAATTAAAAAAAATATTCCTTTAGGGCAGTAATTCCCAAACTTTAGTATGCGCAAGAATACCCCTGCAAGGCTTGTTAACATGTAAACTGCTGGACCTTGCCTCCAGAATTTCTGATAATTTGCATCTCTAACAAGTTTCCAGGTGATGCTGCTGGTCAAGAGACCATATACAGTACGCTAAGCACTACTTCTGTAGATGAGTGTGTTTACAGCCTCCCAAATTCCCTAGGAGAAGCACTGGCAGGAGGTGAGGGTGGGGGTAAAGAGAATGGGGAAATCTCCAGAATGGAAGTTGACTGGTTCAAAAAAATCAGTCTCTCTGTTGATTTGTGTTTATTTATTTATTTTATTTTTTGGAATTAGAATCTTGCTCTGTCACCCAGGCTGGAGTGCAGCGGTGTGATCTCGGCTCACTGCAACCTCTGCCTCCAGGATTCAAGTGATTCTCCTGCCTCAGCCTCCCGAGTAGCTGGGGTTACAGGCACCTGCCACCATGCCTGGCTAATTTTTGTATTTTTAGTAGAGACGGGGTTTCACCATGTTGGCCAGGCTGTTCTCGAACTCCTGGCCTCAAGTGATCCACCTGCCTTGGCCTCCCAAAATGCTGGGATTACAGGTGTGAGCTACTGCACCAGCCGATTTGTGTTTATTTTGAATCCCTTCATCTTCATATCTGAAGTAAGAAGCCCCCAATTAGTGTTTTGACCTTAGGGCTTTGGACCCTAACCAAGTCCCAAAGGAGAGTTTCTCTATGCATAGTCCTAAGCACAAATGGGAGCTTCAGTAATAGCTGTTGGTCTAGGCCTTCCTGAAGCTTTGATTCACCTGTATGTTTAAAGTCATAGAACTGGAAAGGACCACTAGGACTTCACATAAGGCCTCTAGATAATGCTAACATATTGGCTGATGGAGTCATCTAGCATAGGCAGTGTGATGCCAATATCAGAAAATTCTAATGAGTTGGAGAGAAAGAAGCTGGCCAACCTTCTAACCCTACTAAATGTACAAATCAATAGAATTAGACAGAATCTTACAATATAAAGACAAATTTTATTGTCAGTAAAAGCCTTTAATAACTCATTTTATCCTGTTTCAGTAGGACCTTATTCTTTCTGATGAAAATCCAGCCATCGCATCTCTCATTAAAAATAAAATTATTATTTTGAAATAAATAAATATATAAAATAAATAGCATATACATTTTATAAATAGTTTGTCCTTATGCACAGTATCCATGCTTACATTTTAATATCATTTTCTTACAACCTACCCCATCTCCCACTTCCAATGACAGGAAAACTGCATGTCAGGACAGATGAGAAATCTGCAGAGCCAATGCAGGGAAGGCTTGCAGCAAGGCTGTAGCCCCAAGGATTTTCTTAATGAGACTTTTCCAAAGCTCTGTAGGTAGCATCTGTGGCAGATTCCTTGGCCTTTCATTTATACCCATTGTCAAGGTATTTGAGTAAATTGTGGGGTAAGACACCCCTGGCCCTTAGCAGGGGCTCCCATTCTTTGTTATGCTACCTCAGGGGAAGGAACATGAGTAAAGAAAAAAGTATATACAAGATTCCCTCGAGCCCAGCCCCCCATCCCTCCCCAAAATAACCCAACCTTGATATACACTTTGAACAACAAGGGAACAGCTGGGTTGAGTTCAACAGTAAGTGCTTTTCTGTTATCTAAAATGATAGGAAGGAAGGATTGAAAAGCTATGAATATAGTGCTTGCAGAGACAACCGTGGCCCCAGGGTACATGGGTCACAGAGGGCACACCAGAGGTTCATTACCTATAGTGAAAGAGGTCTCTGGACATGGAGGGCAACTTAGAAGGATCTACAGGCCTGGGTAAAAAGTGAGTGAATTTCTGGTGTCGTTTAGTCCTGTATCCCTCCCGGGGTGAGCCATCTTTGTTCAGGGCCACGTAATACTGTCTCTCTGAGTCCGAATGTTTGTACAAGGTTGAGGCATAGGTGTTGTACCAGTTTTCTTCAAACTGTTCCCGGAAAACACATTCACGTGTGAGTTTCTTCTGTGAGGGTGAGAAAATAAAGCAGAACCCATTATATGACTATTTCTCCTATCCCAGCTTGCTAGTAGAGAAACCCTGAAATAGCAATAGCACATTGATGTTAGAAAATTCCAGTCCTATCTCTCTGTATTACTGGAGGTAACTTTCTTCCAAATAGCACAAAACACTCTTGTCTGTATCTCCTTCATTCTCTTTCATGAGTTACACAGAAATGTTTTAGTTGAAATCTTTCCTGAAGGGAGGAGATTGGAGGAGATGGCATCACCTGGCTCTCTGAGCCTGAGAATTGCTGCTATGGCCTCCCAATGCCCTGCTGGTACCCACTGAGCTTTCTCCCTACTTAGAGCTAATGATGTTCAAATTCATTGAGATTACAGTCAACCATGTCAACTAACAGGCAAAGGCCTCGGATCTATATAAAGCTCCATGGGAGGTGAGCTGTGATCTCTCCTAATGAAGGGTCTCAGGCCTGTCAGTCTGAAAGCTCAGAAAAGATCTCCTTGAAAAGCTCTTCCAATCTGGCTACTTCAGGCTGGCAGTTCCTGGGTCTCTTGCCTCTGTCCCTTCTCACACTTGATCCAACCGCCATACTACTTGCTGGAGTTGCCAATACTGAGTGCTGGGGACAGGCCTATCTCTTAGGTGTCATGGAAAAATGTGTTCTGATTTCATGGGGTGCAGGCAGCCAGAAAGTATGCTATGTGACTTAAAAGCCAGAGCCAGGAGTTGGGATCCCCTGGAAGGGTTAAGGTCAGTAAATCACTCACCATTCCTCAGTGCTAGGCTAGCTTCCAGAATAGAGAAAATGCACTGCCGCTAGCCTAGTCCTAGCTGAGGGCTTAAGGCTGTCACCAGACCCTGGAACCCTCATTCTTCATTTGTTTGTTTCATTTGGCCTTTGGGACTCAGCTGAAGCAATCTGGAAATCAGGGACTGTGTTGTTAACCTCAGAATCCTCAATTTGAAAGCCAGCTCTTCCACTGCCTATTTTTGTTCCTGCTAGTCTGCTACTCCTCTGGGTACACATTCAAATTCAGATGTACTCCCCTGGAGGGTTAATGCCCCAAACCCTGACCATCTACTGCCAAACCAGCACAGGTTACTGTTATCATCAGACTAGCTGGCCTTCTAATGAAAAAGGCAAAATCACATGTATCAGAGAAAAGCTTATGTTTTGGGGCCGGGTGCAGTGGCTCATGCCTGTAATCCCAGCACTTTGGGAGGCCAAGGCGGGTGGATCACTTGAGGTCAGGAGTTCGAGACCAGCCTGGCCAACATGGTGAAACCCAGTCTTTACCAAAAAATACAAAAAATTAGCCTGGCATGGTGGTGCATGCCTGTAGTCCCAGCTACTCGGGAGGCTGAGGCAAGAGAATCACTTGAACAGGGGAGGTGGAGGTTGCAGTGAGCTGAGGTTGCGCCACTGCACTCCAGCCTGGGCAACAGTGTAAGACTCCATCTCAAAGCAAAAAAAAAAAAAAAAAAAGCTTGTTTTGGTGGGGGCCAAATGAGTGAAGGTGTTATGTAGCAAGACCCTGAGCAGCCAAGAAGTAACTAGAAGACACTACTCCTTTACAGCTAAAAAAGGGCTTTCAAGTGCTAGATAAATTTCTTTTTTTTTTGAGATGGAGTCTCACTCTGTTGCCCAGGCTGGAGTGCAGTGGCGCAATCTCGGCTCACTGCAACCTCTGCCTCCCAGGTTCAAGTGATTCTCCTGCCTCAGCCTCCTGAGTAGCTGGGATTACAGGTGCATGCCAGCATGCCCGGCTAATTTTTTATTTTTTATTTTTAGTAGAGATGGAGTTTCACCATGTTGGCCAGGCTGGTCTTGAACTCCTCACCTTGTGATCCGCCCACCTCAGCCTCCCAAAGTGCTGGGATTACAGGCGTGAGCCACCATGCCTGGTCCCCAGATAAATATTTTTATACTTTTGCTTTACATTGTCCAAACACTGGTTGTAATAACCTCTGACCAAAAAAAAAAAAAAAAAAAAAAAAAAAAAACCTTAAACTTACCGACCCATAGAGTTCTCCTCGCTCATTCATTCCTAGGTACAGGCCAGAGTCCACTCCCCGGATGCTGATCAGCCCCACAGCCAGGCTGATAAACTCCAGGATTCCTAGGGCAAAAAGTGAACACTATTCCCATTACCAGCATCAAACTAAGAGAAAGCTGTTCAGGTGACATGAGCTACCAGTCATTTGTCCCCAACTGGAGGCCAGCCCTGTGTGCCTTTGATAAAATGCCTGATGAAACCATCTTTTGCGGCAAGAATGGAACCTCAGAGAAGGTACTTAGTCTCTTTGGGCCTCAGTTTTTCCATATGTAAAACGGGGGACACCATCTCTGCTTCTACTCAACACTCTTAGGCATATTATGAGGAAGAGACCATGAGAAGGCTTTGGCTACAAAAGCTCCATAATTGCAAGGTGCTATTGCTCTCAAATTCAAGAAACGGGAAGTTTTCTAAATGCAAGAAGGACAGGTTTCTGTATCTTTCCCTGTAACCTCCCTCTTCCTTAGAGCACGCAGCATTACCTTGCTGTCCTCTAGGCTGAACTTGTTTTGTGCCCTGTCAGCCCCCATGTCCTTAAAGCCACATGAGGCCGTCAACTGCCTGTAGCTGACTCTAACAAAGGTCACACAGGCCACTCACTGTTTGTTCCCCCTGCTTATGGCAGGAGGCAAAACTTGGCCACATGAGAGCTTTCTCCTAAAAAGCATTCTCAGCTAGTACAGCCCCAAGCTGACAAGCCTATCATTCTCTTTTGAGAATTTTAAGTTTATCCACAGCAAAGAGTTGGCAGGTGGTATTGGACTCAATACTGATTTGAGATGTTGTAACTTTAAGGCCAAAGAGAAGAAATTCAGAAATGTCCTCCTAGCGGACAATATTAGAGGTGAAGATTTGAAAATGCTTTCATTTACCCAGCAGCAGTCCTAAGTGAGAAAAAGGACCCAGAACTGAAATCCTGGTGGTACTGAAGACTACAATTTTGTCCCAAGATAGTACGTCTATTATCTAGATACAGACATAATAGTCAACTAGATTCCTCTTTGATATTCCTGCCTGTAATCACATTTCTCAACATACAGACCAAAAACTTGTTTAAGTCATCCAAGGTATGAAATGAGCTCATATCTGGCTGTCTTTCTTATCCAAAATTGCAATTCTGTTTTTTTGTTTGTTTGTTTTTTGAGACAGGATCTCACTTTGGCACCCAGGTTGGAGTGCAGTGGTGTGATCATGGCTCACTGCAGCCTCAACCTCCCCAGGCTCAGGTGGTCATCCCACCTCAGCCTCCCTCGTAGCTGGGACTACATGCACGCATCACCACACCCAGCTAATTTTTTATTTTTTCTAGAGACAAGGTTTCACCATGTTGCTAAGGCTGTTCTCAAACTCCTGGGCTCAAGCAATCTGCACACCTTGGCCTCCCAAAGTGTTGGGATTACAGGCATGCACCACTGTGCCTGGCCCAAAAATGCAATTCTTAAGGGTAATAATATTCTATGTAATCTATATAGGGAGTAGAGCTGATTTTCCAAGATCAAGAATTTTAAGCGGCTAATTTTAAAATCAGGTTAAAACTCTACTGGGAAGTCTCCTGAGGAACCCCAGTGACTCAAGTTGGTGGGCTGCTGTTCAGGTATGGCAGCTTTGGGGGCATGTGCTTCCACAACCCACCCAGATCTTTTGGAAGGATGTAAGGTTATTCTGCTGCAATTCTATAGAACACTCAGGGTTTGGCCTTTGGCCTCTCACACTGAAATCCTCCAAGTTTTATTCTCAGTCTGGTTGCTATTAAATTTTACAGTACAAAGAAAGGAGTCTCGGGAAATGAGATTGAGACAAGACGGTAGGAGGGGAAGAGAAAATACCCAGTGCCAAGTAAGGGTTAATCAGACACTGATTTAATGCAACCAAATCTTCAGCTGCACTGCACAACGTTTTGCATTTGGTTCTGCTCCGTTTGATATTTCAATAAATGACTTGTAAGAGAACATATGAGGACCGCTTATCCTAGTTCTAGAAGACGTACAGCTGAGAGGGATGACACAATCAATATCCAAAGAGATTTCAAGAGGATGGAAAAATGGAGTGGCTCCAGCAAACTATGCTTAATTAGAATCAATGTGAAGTCCTGCACTTTGGTCTCCCAAATTTACCAAAGTGTTTTGTGTTTGGGGTTTGGTTGGGGGAGGGTGAGCCTCAAGTGCAGACAGTTGAGTTAGCTGTACTGCTTAGATCATGTCCTATTAACATAGTTGGTCTGTGCAAGGGCTTTATAATTATCTATTTATTTCTTTCTTTTTCTCTTCATACCCTGCTCCCATCTGCCCCTCCACTTCAGGCAACCATGTATATTTTCTTGAAAATGTGTATTGTTATTTTGTGTTCTTGTGCATTTTAATTACACGCAAGTCTACCCATCTCTGCAATGGGGAAATGTGGCTTAGTAAAACACAACAATGGCTAAGAGACTTAATTGAACAAGGCAAACTCAGTATGATGGGTGATTAGCAGGATTATTAAAAAGCTAATGTACAATTGGTCATGTAAAATTAAAAATTAGAAAGCTAGTGGAAAAAATAGAAAAAAAGCTAGTGTGATCTAAGGCCTCACTGATACAGGTCTGGTAACTAACAAAAGGGAGGGAGGATTGTCCCACTCTGCTCTGCCATGGTTAGACCACACTGAGAATGGTGTGTTTAGTTCTACTGTGCTTAGAGAAGAAAATGGAAAAACAGAGCATGTTCAAAGGAGAGTGCCCAGTATGGAAAGGAAACTAGAAACCAGGTCATGATTCAGTTCTGGGTCCTAAACTCTGAGGGACACTAACGTGGGAGCCTTTAGTTCTTTGCTTTGCTCAGGCAGGTTACTCCTGAGCTTCAAGTCTGAGTTCCCTCATTCTGTAAGTATCTCATGTCTCTGACAACCCTGAGCTCATTAAGTAGCAGAGCACAGCTTGTGATCTCACTGCCCAAGACATAGTGTGAGAACAAATCATGAAACCCAAGAGGTGTGGCCATTTGAGTCACCACAGTTTTTCTCCAACTCTCTGTTAACCCTGATGCCAAAGGACAGATCATACAGGAAGTCACTTGGGTTGTGTCCAGTAACAGGGGTCTCCAACAGCTGGAATTATCCCTGCCCAGCTGTCTTTGGGCATCATTTTCCCTCGCCAACTTTCCTATTAGCTGGTTTCAAACTGTGGGAACCCAGTGGCACATGATGATGGAAGAGATATTCCTAAACCTTCTCCTGAATCCCAGCCAGCATGAAGGGGGAGAGAAAATAAGCCATTTTCATATTTTCCCAGCTACAGCTGGACAGGGGTGTTAACAGCAAAGTGTTGAGGTGAAGTATTAAGTAGACAAAGTTTGTCCTCAGTACTCTTACCCCTTCAAGGCCCAGGACCTCTCTCTACTCTGCCTCATCTTGACCTGCCCACATCAGGCTCTGCCCTTTTCTTGACAATTTCCAGACACTTCTTATACCTCTCTCCCCAGGCCCTCAGTCAAAACTGATCTGTTCTGGGCCCCACTGCTTCAGAACCTAGCTAGATGACTGTCTAATGTGTCATTTAATCTAGTTCCATAACTTGCCTGAATCCTTCAGCCATCCTGTCAGACCTTTGGGGCCGAGACAGTGCTGCTTTGGCATCTTGCCAAATGAGAACCAGATCACTCAAGAACCAAGGCAGCTGCATGAGCCCACTCCATCCCACCTGGTGGGAGGACTCTCCTTCAGTTTGGCTCCCAAGCTCTGCTCTGCCAGTCCACAGGTGCCCCTCGGAATGTCAGTATCCTTGTGAACTTCATATAAATGCTACCAGCCAGGCGGTGATTGAAATACTCCTGGCTACTGATTGCAGATGGAGAGCGGAGAGCATATGCTGTGCCAACAGGTTATTATTTGGAGTCGGGACTGCTCTTGGGCTTAGCCTGACTTGTTCTGAACACATGGATTCCAGGGTAATCCTTGGGGGCCCTGCTCTCCAATTACAACAAATAGCTATTTACTTCACATGGCTTTTGGAGACTACCTCTTCCCCCCTAGCAGAAATCTATAATATTTTATATCTTAAGTCTGGCCTACTTTACCCTGCTGGAATGTTGACTGCTAAAGCACTTATGGAATGTTAAAGTTTCAATTTATTGAATACCCTGGCTGATTAACTCAAATGTGGAGGGAGGAAAGAGTTAGCAAACTTGAACGCCACCTCTTTCTGTGCCAAAAGCTAAACTGAGAAAGAGTATGTGTTTTAAAGTTGGCAGGGAAGGTTACAAAGAGACAGCTTTGGCCAGTTATCATTTTCTTTACAGGAAGTGCAGGAAAGTGACAGGAAGTCAGGGAAGGAGGAAAAGGAAAAGGTGATGCAGAGGTGCTCTTAGCCAGTGTTGTTTTCTTTTTCAAAGGCAAAACCAAAAATGAAGCAGTCAGTTAAGCAGCAGTGAAAATGTCCCTTCCTCCTGCCAATCTTATTTCCTTTGGTTTCTCCTTAAACTTAACACCCTTAGCAGACCTGGGAAATGAAAAGAAATCAAGATGTGTCTTTAGGGAGGTAATTAAAGACCACTTATCCCAAGAGCCTATTACTGATTTATGTTGACCTTGTAGGTTACTGGGCTCAGCTTAGGCACAAAATCAGAAAAATATTTGGAGCTGCTGGGAGGTGTGCTCATAATTTTTCCACTTTCGCTACCCCCACCCCACATCTCTCCATCATTTCATGATCTTTTTTTTTGGTTACATATCGGCAATGAGTTACTCTGGTATCTTTATGCCATTTCAGGAAGCCTCTGAGGCCAGTGTGGGAGTCCTATTCCTTAAGAAGAGGAACAAAAGGGGACTGCAAAATCACAAGCAATGAAAGGGAAAGGAGCCAAGTTAACACTCCCTCTCCTCCCACTCCACCTTATCACCCTTTTGAGGACCTGCTGCAAGTTTATACAGACACCTGCACCCCTCCATTACCCCTCCCAACCTACTGTACTCTAGCTATGTTTGAGTGCATTTTTCCAAGATACCATAGACCTCATTAGGGTTTCTGCCTGTTCCCAGCAAGGAAGACCAACCCTGCCCCTAAGTTGTTTGCTAGGCTTGGCCTTACCCCGCACTGGCCCCTATGTTCCCCTTTTTGCTGTGCACTCCAGATGCAGCTCTAGCAAGGCATGGAGAATAGGAGGATGGAGAGGTTTGGGGGGTTTGGGGCAGATGTTGGCAAGAAGGAGGGTGGGAAAAAGAAGGGAAGGGTGTCATGTCTGAGTGTAGGCAGAACATCTTACTGGCTTGGGGAAAAGGTGTCTTTCTTGGATTATAGGGTCCTTGGGAGGAAGCAGAGGACATTGGAGGATGCGGAGGGGCAAAGGTAGCTGTCACAGAACCCCCCATGATGTCTTAGTATAGAATTGGAAATTGAAAATAAAAATGGCAAATTACCGAGGAGCGAACACATTTGCTTAGAAACCTAATGATCTTTGTCTCAGATCAAGGCTTATATTAATTGTGTAATTAGTTCTATATGTGAGACAGGCAGCTGTGTTGAACAGTTTGTATAGTGGCAGGCAAACAGACAATCCTGGATGGAGGTTGAACGTTTCCTGCTTTGGGCCCAAGAGACAACTGTTTCTGGGACTGGGAGTGGGCCCAGGACGGTTTCCTCACTGAGGCAAGGAGTCCAGAGGTAGTTTCCGGCAAAAGCTGCCCCAGGACTTGTGCCCTTACACGGTGGACACCGCGAGGTTTTCCTAGATTCCCAATTCGTGCCAGGCTGCCTGGATTGTCTCCTACCCTGGACAGAGCGACCCCAAGGCAGGCGGAGGCCACAGCTGCCTGGTACCCACGGGCCAAAAGCGATTTGTGTGCCGGCCGACCGCCTCACATGCCCACGGCCCATGCAGGATCCTGTTCCAGGAAATCAGCTGCCACAGCCCTGCTGCCTTCGAGGCTCGGCCCGCGCTGCAGCCACGGTCCCGGCCTCCTAGGCGAGAGCTCCCACCCCTGTCTCAGCTCCACCTGCTTTCATTCAAGGCTTAGAGTCCAGCTCCCAGAACTACCCCCTTGCTCCCTGGGGAGATACTGTGGAGCGGCGAAAGGAGAGGCCCCACCGCAAGGCGCCCCCGCCCCCACCTGAAAGTGTCCGAGGGTGCAGGGCCCCCTGATGTCGAGAGGCCCACGACCGCGCCGTCGTGTCTCGCCTCGACTGGCCCGGACGACACCAAGCCCGGGGGCGGTCTGCGGGCCCTACGCCTGAGCCCGGAGCTGTGGGCTCCCCAGTGCGCCGTCCGCCCGCCTCCCGTTCCCCCGACCGCGTCCTCACCGAAGCGGCTGTGGTCGTGGCGGGTCCCGTGCACCGTGCCGTTGGGGAAGATCTCCAGGTGGAAGCCGGTGCGGCAGTAGAGCTGGCGGCGCCGCAGGATCCCCTTTAGGTGGGCGAAGTCTGTGGGTGAGCCACGCTGCAGCTTCCCCTCGATTTGGCCCAGGCGCTCGTTCAGGAAACCTGGGGAGTCAGCTAAGGGCACGTTCCCCAGAGACGAGGAGAAGCCGTGTAGATCCCAGTCCAAGGAGGCGAAGACGCCCCCCACCTCTGCCATGGCTGGGCCGATTGCGGCGCTGGTTGTGCTGGGCGCGCGCGGGCCGAGCCGGGGCCACGGGGCGCGAACTGCCTCTCCCCGCAGCGGGCGCGGGCGGTTCGGCGGCGCTCCCTCGCTAGCTCGCTTGCTCCGCGCTCTGCCGAGCTGCAGTCGACGTCTGTTCGCGTCCAAGGAACTTCTCAGTGGCGGGGAGCGCGGGGCAGCGTGCTCCTGACCTTGCTCTCAGTCAAAGTGCCTCTTCCCCTCCGCATCCATCTCCCCCGGCCTCTCATAGCTGGCTTCGTCCAGCTATCAGATGCAAACGGCACTTTATATACATACCCACTCCCCTTACATTGACATATTGGATATTTAAATACAAGCCACACCTCATTGGCATCCCCTCGGAGATTGGTGTGTGGGTTCTTTTTTTTTTTTTTTTCTTGCATCCATTTGGCTCTTTTTGGGAGAGGGGGGTGGAGGGAGAGAGCGAGCGAGCTTCACTCCCTCTTTTATTATGAAAAAATGGCAGGAAAAAGCTACACATTGCAGTGAGGCATAACTGCTTTTGGCAGGTTCTTCTGAAACTGCTGATGAAATAACAGAGCCCAGTGCGTGGAGGCCGCTGGCGCGCACGGCCACTCAAGGCCTGTTCCGTGGGGGTCTGTCTGTCTGCTGCCCGGGGGCTGTCCCCACCTCCCACGCGTCCTCGGGCTGCTGTGCTAGCCTTTGGAAAGTGCCATGAGACGGGAGTTGGGGGGTTCACATGCTCCTGATCTCCTCTTGTTCCCCAGTTGGTCGGAGGCTGCGGAAAGGGCATCTGACCCGGGACAGGGACTCCCTGGTTTCTTTGTTCCACGGCCCCCAAGTCCTAATTCCTACCTGTATAGGTTGGCGGGGTACCGAGGAAGTGAAAAACCTGGAAGCCAATGCAGTTGCAAAATTTGGGGTTGGGGGTGGTGGTCCTTGCAGATTCCAAGGGGAGGGCCTTACGGGGTCTGAGAGGAGCGGGAAACCCCTCAGAGGAAAGATGAATTTTTATTTTTTTAAAGAAAGAGACGTTACAGCTTAGGCTTAGGAAAAGGAGAGGGGGAGTAAGAAATAGAAAGCGATCTTTTTGAAAAATGATCTCCGCTGGCTTTCTGGGCGCGCTTTTAAGAGGCTCTCGAGAGCAAGCTCAATGAGAGGCCATTGGAAGCCTGGTGGGGGCTTCCCCCCTACCTCGTTTCTTGTTGGAAACAGGTGTTTCCTCGTTCTGTCCAGTGCCTTGCTCCGAGATATTCTATCAGGAAGAGCGGCAGTTGGGACAGGAACCGGCGGCAGCCAGGTCAACGGGCAGCGTCCAGAAGTCCTGGGGAGCAGGTGCCAGACCTGCCCTGCACCCCTGCACCTGTGCCCCGAACCTGAATCCTGGGGCACCTATTGGGCCCTGGCACTCGGCGTCCCGATCGCCTGTGAAAGGGTGTTGTTACTTGGTTTTCACCCGCAGCCGGCGATGGCTGCCTTCCCAGGCTCCCTCAGGAGAAACTGAACACAGGGAGCCCCGCGCCATCCCCTCTCTTTGCAGCGCCTCCTGCTGGCGACCCCTAGTCTCGTGGCAACTTTGAACTCAGGGTCACCATGAGATGAGAAAACCGATTCCGCTCAATTCACTTAGTGCAATTCAGGGTCCTACTCCTGGGCTCCCACGTGCACCCTGAGCTCACTCCCCTGGAACCGTAGCAATTCTCGTTTGGGAGTATTGTGGCTTGGTACTGTTGTGCCTCTGCAGCTCAGACAGAACCTCTGAAGCCAAGCACAAGATGCGGCACATAATAGGCACACTCAGAAATAATCTGAGGTGCTCCCAGTAGCAGCGGACATAGATGCAAGTCATCTTCCAATTGTAGGGGACACAGAAATGCAGAAAGTGTCATTCATATTGAAGTATTTATGGATGAAATCATACGCTGTCTGGGATTTGCTATTAAATTATTCAAAGTAAGAAGGCAGAAGGAGTGGAGGTATAGATGCGATTATTGTCCTTGTGTCGCTAATTGTTAAGCTGGGTGAGGGGTATATTGGTGTTTAATTATACTTTATATATATATATGAAATTACATATGAAAATTTCCATAATTAAAAGCTTTATAAAATGAGACTGACATAAAGCAACTATTAGGTTGGTGAAATACAAAGAAATCAATCTTTCTTCTTTCTTCCTTCTTCAAAGAGTTTTTGAATTTAGTGGGAAGGTGGAAAAGGAAGGGAAGAGGTTAAGACAAGTACATAAATGACTGGAGTACAAGACAGTGTCAAGTGCACAGTGCTGTGTGGATTCAGAAAGACTCATCTGGAGGTTTAGGGCCTGGTTCTGGACTAAGGTGTCCTTTGTAATGAATGGGCCCCAAAGGGAAGATGGGAAGGATTTTGCAAATTCAGATGAACCACTTGCGGGAAGAGGAAAGTTGTAACGAAGCAAGTGGAACAATTTTAATTTAATCTCAAATGTGTTAAGTGTCTTCCATGTGGTGGACACAATGCTGGGCACTTTCCATCAGTGCTCAGTACCTCAAATGAGTATTGAGTGCCACATGAAATAGTATAAATGAAACTGCTTTGAGAAGCATGTTATATAAAAGATTTAGATGTCTCCATGATGATATAGATTACACACTGATTATGGCAAAGATCATTTCCTCAACAGCCACTTCAGGGTATTTCTGCATTCTCTGTCCCCCAACATTCCCAAAGTCGCCAACCGCAGTTGGCAAATCTGGAGTCCTACTTGATCGAAGGTCAGAGATACAGGTATTCCATTGCCCATCTGGGGCTCTTTTGAGATTAAGCGATCTGATGGTTCTGTTTTAAATAATGTTTCCATGTCAAGCATCTCAGTTGACAGAGCACTTTCAAGGAAGTTATTTTATTTTCACAACCTCATGGAGCAGAAGTTGTCATTATCCCCATATTAGAAATGAGGAAATAGAGGGGGAGGTTAAGTGACTAGTACAGAATCCTAACAAGTAAATAGCAGAGTCATAAATTGATCTCAGCTCCACTGGTGGCAAATTATTCTCAACTCATGGGATTTAGGATTATGCAAAGATTGGCATGTTGAGGACAGTGAAATTTCCCTATAGTTTAGTTTACGGAAAATCCTCAGCAGGATGCAACCTCAGACCAGAGTAGTATTGAATATATCGGATGAGAGGAAAATGTACGTTAATAAAGAAAGCAAACCTTCCCTGGATTCAGGACATCATTTATAAAGTGAGGATAAGTGCATCCCTTCACAGTGGTATTGTGAGGTATTGGGCACTGATGGAAAGTGCCAGCATTGTGTCCACCACATGGAAGACATTTAACACATTTGAGATTACTTCCTCCTTTCCCAATACCTCACAGGGTTGATGTGAAAAGGATGTGGAAAAACAAAACTGAAGGAAAAAAAGAGTTCTGACTCAGTCTATAAGCAACCAAAGGCTGGGGGATAATCTGGCAGGCTCTGTTCCTTGAGAAAGGAGACAGTGATGCTAATAATGCTGGTGCTCGCTAACCACCCCCCACCCCATGCCCACACATACCCCTGAGAGATGGGAAAGGATGTCTAGAACTGTTACTCTGCCCAGTTCTTCATTTTCTGGACAATTTACAATTTTTTTCCTTCCTAATTGGTATTCCCTGGGAACGGGCAGGGGGAGCTGTATAGCTAGGCAAATCCTGAAGGTGGAATAACCAATGACATTAGTTGCTCTTACTGAGTACTTATGTAGGTGTGTTAAGTACTGCCCTTGGCATGTTATGTGCATTATCTTCTGTAAACCTTATCACAACTCTAAGAAATACTAGTTAGTTTTTAATTATTTTATTTTATTTTTATTTATTTACTTTTTTAGAGACAGGATCTCACTTTGTCACTCAGGCTAGAGTGCTGTGGCACAATCATGGCTCCCTGTATAGCCTTGAACTCCTGGTCTCTAGAGATCCTCTCACCTCAGCCTCCTGAGTATCTAGGACTACAAGCAGGTACCGCCACGCCCAGTTAATTAAAAAACAATTGTTTTTTGTAGAGATGAGGTCTCACTATGTTGCCCAGGCTGGTCTCAAACTCCTGGCCTCAAGCAATCCTCCTGCCTTGGCCTCCCAAAGTGCTGGGATTACAGATGTGAACCATCACGCCTGGCCTATGAAATCCATTTTACAGATGAGGAAGCTAAGGTCCAAAGAAAATCAATAACTAGTAGCAGAGGCAAGCCTTAAACCCAGTTACTTTTTAAACCTTGGTCTTAAATTAGTGCTTAACCAAAACACTAGACTGCCTCAATCAACTTACTTCAAAAAGAACTTGTATCGCTCCATTGTCTTTTGTTCCTGCCTCCTCTCTCCTTCTGTTTTCTTTGCTTTATGTGGAAAGCAGTATAGTGTAGTGGTTGAACACTCCATCTCTGGTGTTAGACTGCCTGGGTTCATAACCCCAGCTTTAAGCCATTCTAGGTGTTGGAGCCTCAGTTTTCTCTTAGGTATGATGCAGGTGATGATGGTAGTTATCAATTCATAGGGTTGCTGTGAGGTTTGAATAAAATACACAGAAAGTACTTAAAGCTGTGCCTGGCACATATTAAGTTGTCATTGTTCTTAATATTATTTACATCCTGCCTGGCCCCAGCCATATTTCCTCCCAAGGTTTCCTCTAACTATGCTCATTTTTTCCTAAGGAGGAGATGAAGTAGATAAGAACACTGGCCACTGGCCTGCTGAGTCACCCCAAAGCAATCAATTCCAATCCTATTAATCTTTCTGTGTGATATTGGGCCAGTCTTGTTCTCTCTGGGCTCTAGAAGGCGTGACTCAGAAACAGGGTGACCACATTGTCAGCTGTGGGTGGGCAAGCAGGTAGTGAGGTAGTGAAGGCCTGGGAAAAACAGGAAATTACTCCTTTGTATAATTCCATTTATTGAGCCTCTTAAGGGCCAGGCACTTTTCTAAGAGCTTTAAATTTAAATCACATCATACCACCACGAGGAAGATGCTATTATTATCCCGATTTTTAACAGATCTGTGAAACTGAGGGCTAAAGAGGTTAAATAACTTGCTCAAGGTCATACAACTAGTATGTGATGGGGCTGAAATTCAGACCTGTCATCCGGCTCTAGAGACCATGCTGTTGATCACTACACTTTTCTGAAGTAGTTGGGGTCTTATTCAAAAGAAAAAGTAGCATAACATGACCCAATCATCTTCTGGAAAAAAAAAAAAAATCCATGTTAAAAGAGGAGTCTTACCAGGGCCTACTTGAAGGTGGAGGGTGGAGGGTGGAGGGTGGGAGGAGGGTGAGGACTAAAAAACTACCTATCGGGTACTATGCTTATTACCTGGGTGATGAAATAATCTGTACACCAAACCCCCATGACATGCAATTTGCCTATGTAACAAGCCCGCACGTGTACCCTCTGAAACTAAAATAAAAGTTGGAAAAAAATAAAAATAAAGAAAGGAGCAGTCTTTTTCTTATTTTTTTTTTAACCTAGGTGATCTGTATCTAGAGTTTGAGAAGTCTGCGAAAAGTCAGACTACTTTCCCACCCCCAATTCTAGGGCCCAGAGAGGAAAGGAAACCTCTTTGGCTGGGACAAGCCCCCCATCTTACCTGTCTGGTCAGTCTCCTGCAGTGACACTGAGCCACAAATCTCTTTTGTCTCTGGTGTCATTCTCCTGTGAGCCTACCTGTAATGGGGGTGGGTAATGTACCATTAATTCTGGCTGTAACTTGACATTAGTTGGCAGGTGATGATATTTTTGTGAAATGATCTGTTAGTTCTTTGAGAGGAATGGAACACCATGGAATGTGGCTCTAACCCTGGCAACTGGGATCACTGCTCAACCTGATGTGTGTGATATGAATGTGGGTCTCAATGGTGTATATCTAGGGCTGGGTGTTGGGGGAGGAGAAGTGTGGGTAGAGACAGACTATCATAATGTTGGTTTTCTCAACACAGATGTGTGCTTATGTTTGTATTTGTGACAGTGTGCAGAAGAATTTCCATATGTCTGTGTAACAGTGAGAGTTGTGGGTTTAAGGTGTGAATAAATGTATGTAAATATGAAAATCTATAGGCAGCCCCTGCTAATAAGAATATACATGACAGTGAAGTTCAGTTCTTTTGAATTCAGAGTCACTTCCTGTTTTTACCTGAAGTGATTATTTTATTCCCTTAGTCTGAAGGAGACAGGGAAGCCAGGTGGGGTCACCTCCAAGGAAACTGAGGCCCCGGTTTCCTTGGAGGCTTGCTGAGGTGGTCTTACACAAAAGAAGGGAAAAAGCAAGATCTTGAAATCAGCTCTTTGCTTTCTGGCTATGGCCTCTGATTAGCAGGACCTCTTCCCTTTTTTGCCTCTCTCACCCTGATATTATTGGCTTTCATCCTATTTCTGGGAGGGGTATGAATTTCATCAGTTACATGCATTTCATGCATCATTATTCACTGCATTTGAAGCTGTAGCGAGGGAAGGGTGTGGCCTGCTCTCAGTGCTGCTGGTGCTACACATTTCCCTAAGGATAGGATGTATAACCCTTGGAAAGAAAAAAAATCCTGAAAGGTACAAGCTGTGGAACAGAGTTAGCAAGGAAGTGTAGTCAGCAGTCAGTAGTCACCTGAGCAAGTCACTGGGAAGAAATGTACATTCTGATGGAGGCAGACTGTGGTCCTAGCTCTCGCTGAACTCAATGTAATTATTTCTCACCTGTGGGACTCAGTTATCCTAACTGCGAAAAAGGGGTTGGACTACATCAATCTGTCTCAAACTTTTATTTATTTAGTTTTCACTAAAATAACCCTAATGACAGAGGAAAGTGAAAATGAAATCCTCAGCGTGGGTAAGGGAGAGGGGTGGATGGGGTAACCCAAAGCAGCCTACTGCAAACTCCAAGTGTCTTTGAGATCTTGTGTTCTATCCTAAAAATGAGAGCAGTGTTCGCATTCTCCTCCATGATATAGCTATATTTGTTTTAATATAGAAATTTTTAAAATTTCTTATACTCAAGTAAAATTGATACTCCAGAAAAGCATGCCATGTTTATTCTGTGGCTTTGTGGACCCCTTTGGCACACTGCCATGGACCCCCAGGGGTATTCATACACCCGTTTAAAAGTTTGGGAATAGATGATTGAGATTCCTTTCCGCTCTAACACTCTGTGGTTCAATGACCTGGAAATACCTGTGGTGTCTTTGGTAGCTGCTCCCCAGGATGCTGAATGTTTTTTTTTTTTTTTTTGATGGCTGTGTTTGAACACTCCATTTTCTAACCATTTATACTAAAAGAATGGAAACCCCTGATTTTTTTCGAGAACGAGTATCTTCAATATGTCTTTGCTGAGCCCCAACTACAGGCTCAGACTTTTGCTAAGTGCCCCTGGGAGAGATCAAGAAGGATGTTTATGGTATTAATTGTGGAGTCTAAACTAGTTTACATTAAACATTAGGAGTTAAGAGTTGACTGAGTCAAGTGCTAAATTGTGTGGGGTAGATTTTAACAGCGGCAGGTGGTTGAGAAGTAGGAGAACGGTGTGCTTCCTGGAAGAGGTGATACTAGATTGGCGTTTTGAAGAATAAGTATGGTTCAGATAAATGGAGTGAAGGGGGAGTGGCATTCAGCTTGTAGGAGGGCATGAGTAAGGTCTGGAGGCTGTAAGGATTGTGACATGCTTAGGCCTAGGCCAAAGCCCTGCTCAATGGCAAGAGGCATGGAAAGGTGAAATGGGGTCTTTTTCCCTTTGGGCATGAACTATTAGCTACTTATCAGTCCACTGTCATTTTAAAAGAAATTGTATTATTATTTTTTATTTACTGTCTTTTTAAAAATTTTATTTGAATAGAAATGGGGTCTCACTATGTTGTCCAGGCTGGCCTCAAACTCCTGGGCTCAAGCGATCCTCCCATCTTGGCCTCCCAAAGTGCCGAGATTACAGGCATGAATGAACCACCATGTCTGGCCTCTTTTTTTTTTTTTTTTTAATAGGAGGCTGTGACAGTGCTGAATCCCTCATTTCCTGGGACAAAACAAAACAACCTTTAAAAAGGGATTGGGGGCTGGGTGTGGTGGCTAACGCCTGTAATCCCAGCCCTTCGGGAGGCTGAGGCAGGAGGATCGCTTGAGCTCAGGAGTTTGATGCCAGTCTGAGCAACATAACAAGACCTAGTCTCTATGAAAAAAAATTTTTTTAAATTAGCTGGGTATGATGGTGCATGCCTGTAGTCTCAGATATTTGGGAGGCTGAGGTGGGAGAATTGCTTGAGCCCACAAGGTCAAGTCTGCAGTGAGCCATGATCACACCACTGCACTCTAGTCTGGGTAACAGAGCGAGACTCTGTCTCTAAAAATAAATAAATGAAATGGGATTTGGGGGAAAGAGTAGAGGAAAGAAAATATCTAAATGGCCTGATACACTGTCATCCAATCTAATCTGTGATTACATGCACATTTATTCTGTAAACCATTAAATTTCTGGTCTTTTGGGCGCATGTTATTCCCCCTACTGTAACTTATTGGTGAAAGTACATTTCAAAAAACTCTAATTTTGGCCGGGCGCAGTGGCTCACTCCTGTAATCCCAGACTTTGGGAGGTCAGGAGTTCAAGACCAGCCTGGCCAACATGGTGAAACCCCATCTCTACTAAAACTACAAAAATTAGCTGGTCTCTACTAAAAATACAAAAATTAGATGGCATGCGCCTGTAGTCCCAGTTACTCAGTAGGCTGAGGCAGGAGAATTGCCTGAACCCAGGAGATGGAGGTTGCAGTGAGCCGAGTTTGTGCCACTGCACTCCAGCCTGGGCGACCCAGTGAGACTTGGTCTCAAACAAACAAAAACTCTAATGTTGTCTCAGTTAAAACTGGAAAAAAAAAAGAATTTTCTCCATATTATTTAAAAATATTGGAAATAGGGTTGGCTAAGAGTGCCATTGTGTCCCTTGGCAGCTGGGGATGGTCATGCCAGAAACTCCTTAGAGTAGAATCTAGGGAGAAAGGCACACCCAAGGGGAACAGAGTTGGTGGCAAGAGGAGGTTTCAGCAACGGGCCCAGAGTAGATTTTAGGCCCAATAGTCAGGGCCAAGGAGGCCTGGCAGCAGGCAAGAGATAGGTGCCCCCACAGGGAGACAGAGACAGCATCCAGGGAGTTTGGCAGCAGGCTGTAGACAAAGGTCTAGGTAGGGATCTGGCATCAAGAAGGACCGGCTGCAAGTAGCAGGGGAACATTACCAATGTGTTAAAAATCCAGATAAAGTAAAAATATTAATATGACTAACAGAAATAAGGAAGAGACAGGAGAGAAAATAGGCAGAAATGGATGAATGCTTGTTCATTCATCTGTCCTACCAGGGAGCCAACTGATAACATTTAAAATTTAAATGTGTGAATTTATTTGAAGGAATCCAATTGCTGGAGAGGACCCAGGTTGGGCAGGGATTGAAAGGATTGGCCAGGAAGCCCCCTTCTCCCCACACACCCTTTCCCATGCTGGAATAATTTGGGTACCTAGGGAACTACAGGGCCTCAGATATTGAGGGAATAAAACAGAAGCCCCATCACAGGAACTGAGTACAAGGCCGGTACCTGTACATAAGGGAAGGGACAAGAGCCCAGTTACTGGACTGCAATTTTGAGATCATAGCTGAGCCAGAAGCCACTTGCTTGAGCCTCAGCTGGTGAGGTATGGATGGAGTTATGTTTTTCACTGATTCAGGGCAGGATGAATCCCAGAATCTGGGTTTGGTAGAGATGGGGGAACAAACCTATAAGTGGGGGTTAGATGGCCTTAGATAGGGTATGGAACTGGAAAATCATCACAGTACTGAAACCACTTTTGCAAAAATTGTATCAGTGAGAAAATAGTGGCAGAGGGGAGATCTGATCTAGCCAATGCCCCCTTTCTTTTAACCTTCAAGCTGCCAAGCTAACTTTGAGAGATATTTAGCTTCCAGTTTCAATGATAATAGCCCTCTCCCAAAACTCAACCACCTTTGTAAAACTAATCAAAGATCACCAGGCTAGGAGGAGGATAGAAGCCTAAATTCTGTTAAGGTGTAGACATAAACAATTGCCAGCCATTATTCTGAAGGTCACAAGACATGCAACTTCCCCAATTACTCCTGCAGATGACATCACTATTGTAGAACCTAATATTGGCATTTTGACATATCTGTTCAGGTTTTTTTTTTTTGCGTGTCTGATACCAGGCTTCATCTGGATCCTTTGCCAACTGCTCCAGTGGCCCCACCAAGAATCTATTCAGCACATAAGAGGATCATTTGCCATGCCCCTATGATTGCACCCCCCAGCCAAATTAGCAGCGAGCATCCATTGGCTAGCCACCCCACCTTTTCCCCCTGAGTACCTTTGAAAAAAACCTCTAACCTTTGAGCCTTCAAGGAGATAGATTTGAGTAATAACTCTGTTTTCCACAGGGTGTGGCTGGCCTCATGTCAATTAAACTCTTTTTCTACTGCAATGCCGTAAATTGGTTTTGTTTGTGCAGTGAGCAGAAAGAACCCATTGGGTGGTTACAATGCCACCCAGACAAGCTTGCATAGCCATACTACCACCTAAAATCTCTGCAGCAGAGTTCAGCAACATATGCTTCCTCAGTTCCCTCAGTTGCTTCTTCCTCCTCACCACCCCAGGAAGGAAGGACAAAACTGTGCTTTCCGGATGTTGGCATCACTGACTCTTGACTGTCTGGACCTCCCCAAGTCTAGGCCTTTCTTGATTAGCATCTCAGGCCCACAGTGGAGGATGAGGTCATCATAATGTGAGATAAGATGACAGTATCATGACTTGGCTGGCCATAAAGCAACTGCTTTTAAAGTTAAATTTTGTAATCTCATAGTTTACCCAAGGGATTGTGGTAATTCAAAGCAATGACCATGAAGCTATTTGTAAAACCATGACTTTCTCCTGAACCAAGTGTGAATTTAGGGGATGGTTGAGGGAGCAGGGGAGGAACAGCTAAGAGCTAGGGGAGGCAAGCAAGACCCAGATGCCTGAGGGGTAGAACCAGCACTCATTGTTTCTCTTAATGTGACAGGGGTCTCCTTTTCTGCAGATATAAAAAGCTTTGTCTTTTCAAGTGCCTTGAAGATTTCCAAAGCAGAGGGTGCTTAACCTACTGACCTCATCATGGAAAAAAAAAAAAAATAGAAAGAGAGAAAGAAAATCCAAACAAGAGTTGCTCAGCCTTCTAAACCATAACTGGGGCCAGCTGGCTGCTTGATGGGGCAGGATGACTTGCCCTCCAGCAAGGGTTTGGGGCTTGGCCATCCAAGAGCCTGACAGTCTTGGAATTAGATACATACCATAACTAGTGGATCTTAGGCTCTCTTGGAGTACAAGAGTGAATTAATAGAAGGTATGAAATATCAGGTAAAGAGGTGATAAGTACTGGATGTGGAATCACACAGATCTGGGTTTTACTCCTGTCTTTATAATGATATAAAGTGGCTATGTGACATTGGGCAAGTCATTTAATCCTCTCCAATTCCATCTCTTTGGCTGTAAAACTGAAAAAAATAATTGCAGCTGTCTCTTAGGTGACTGTGAAACTAAAATGTGATAATATGTGAAATACAGTAGTTTCCCCTTATCCATGGTTTTATTTTCCATGGTTTTAGTTACCCATGGTCAACTACAGTCCACAATGTTAAATGAAAAATTCCAGAAACTAAGGGCCAAAACTCAGAACACTAATGACAAGAAATACTGGCAAAGATGTGGAGGAACAGGAACTCTCATTTCCTGCTGGTGGGAATGCTACATTTTGGGACACTTTGCAATACAATTTGGCAGTTTCTTAAAAAACGAAGCATAATCTTACCATATGATTCAGTAATGGAGCTTCTTGGTTTCTACCCAAAGGAGTTGAAAACTTATAGTCACACATAAATCTGCACATATTTGTTTATTAGCTTTATTCATAATTGCCAAAGCTTGGAAGTAACCAAGATGTGTCCTTCAGCATATAAACTGATAAGTAAAGAACAAACAAATAAAAAAACTGTGGTGCATGCAGAGAATAGAATATCATTCAGTGCAAGAAAGAAATGAGTTACTAAGCCATGAAAAGACATGGAAGAAACTTAAATGCATATTACTAAGTGAAGGGAGCCAATCTGAAAAGGTTATATGCTGTATGATTCCAACTAGATGACATTCTGGAAAAGACAAGATTATGGAGACAGTGAAAAGATCAGTGGTCGCCAGGGGCTGGGGGGTGGAGGTGAAGGGGTGGAGCATAGATGATTTTGGGGGCAGTAAAACTACTCTGTATAATACTATAATAGTGGATACATGTCATTATACATTTCTTTAAACCCATGGAATATAACACCAAAAGTAAACCCTAAAGTAAACTATGAACTTCTAGTAAAAAAAAAAAAGAAAAAAAGAAAAAAGAAAAAGAAAAATTCCAGAAACAAATAATTCATAAATTTGAAATCGTATGCCTTTTGTGGGAGCATGATGAAATCTCACGCTGTTGTACTGCATCCTGCCTGGGATGTGAATCATCTCTTTGTCCAGTGTATTCACCTTGTCTATGTCACTTAGTAGCCATCTCGTTTATCAGATTGACTGTTGCAGTATTGCAGTGCTCATGTTCAGGTTACTCTTTTTATTAAAATTTATTATTTTAATTTTTGTGGGTACATAGAAAGTGTATATATTTTTGAGGTACATGAGATATTTTGATACAGGCATGCAATGTGAAATTATCACATCATGGAAAATGGGGTATACAACCACTCAAGCATTTAGCCTTTGTGTTACAAAACAATTCAGTTATACTCTTTTAGTTATTTAAAAATACACAATTAAATTATTATCAACCATAGTCACCCTATTGTGCTATCAAATGCTGTCTTATTCATTCTTTATATTTTATTTTGTACCCATTAAATATCCCCACACCTTCCCACCCCCAAGAAGTTACTCTTATTTTAATTAATAATGACCCCAAAGCACAAGAGCAGTGATGCTGGCAGTTTGGATATGCCAAAGAGAACCTGTAAACTGCTTCCTTTAAATGAAAAGGTCAAAGTTCTCAACTTAATAAGGAAAGAGGCTGGGTGCAGTGGCTCATGCCTGTAATCCCAGCACTTTGGGAGGCCGAGGCAGGCGGATCATGAGGTCAGGAGATCGAGACTATCCTGGCCCACATGGAGAAACCCCGTCTCTACTAAAAATACAAAAATTAGGTGGGTGTGGTGGTGTGTGCTTGTAATCCCAGCTACTCGGGAGGCTGAGGCAGGAGAATCATTTGAACCAGGGAGTCGGAGGTGGCAGTGAGCCGAGATCGCGCCACTGCACTCCAGCCTGGGGACAGAGCGAGACTCTGTCTCAAAAATAAATAAATAAATAAATAAATAAATAAATAAATAAATAAATAAAATAAGGAAAGAAAAAAATCATACGGTGGTGTTGCTAAGATCTACAGTAAGAATGAATCTTCTATACATGAAATTGTGAAGAAGGAAAAATAAATTTTGTGCTAGTTTTGCTATCATGCCTCAAACTGCAAAAGTTACAGCTATAGTGTGTGATAAGTGCTTAGTTAGGAAGCAAAAAGCATTAAATTTGTGGAAGACAACAGAAACGTGCTCCTATTGATAGCATTCAGGTCCAGTACTATCTGAGGTTTCAGGCATACACTGGGGATCTTAGAACACATCCTTGCAGGTAAGAGAGGTACTACTGTATATGATATGTAAGCTATATGGCCTACATATGTAGTCTGAAGGTTTCACAGTGAGTTAGTAACACACAGTGTTATGTATGCCAGGGACCCTGTGGTTTGACATTATTGGGTCTTTTGATTCTTTTATATTCCCATAGTTGCTCATGATAGCAAAGTTTATGAGGAGTGGAATGAGGTAGGTTAGAGTTACTTTGCAATAGAGGAATGTTTTGTGAATGCTGCTCTGCTCTTGCCTGACTTTTCCCCTTCTATCCACACATTATCTTTTCAAAGGATGAGAAGCAGCATGGTATGGAGCAGAAAGAGTCAGAGAAATGGGGTCCTATGGTCTATGTTCCCTAGAAGTCAAATGTTGAAACATATTCACTAATGTGGTAGCATTGAGAGGTGAGGTATTTAGGAGGTAATCAAGTCATGAAGGCAGAGCCCTCATGAATGGGACTAGTGACCTGATAAAAGAGGTTGAAGGAAACACCCTAGGACCCTCTTGCCCTTCACCATGTGAGAACACAGCATTCAAAGCACCATTTTGGAAGCAGACGCTGGGCCCTCACTAGACACTGAACCTGGTGGCACCTTGATCTTGGAATTGCCAGCTTCCAAGACTGAGAAATAAGTTTTATAACATATAAATTACCCAGTTTGTGGTATTTTGTAATAGCAGCAGGAATGGACTAAGACATAGAGCTTGAACCCCAGCTGTGTCACTTATAGGCCATGGAACCCTGGATGAGTCAGGTAACTTCTCTGAGCTTTACTTTCCTTGAAGGGACTTTTTTTCTTTAATAATTGAAAGAGATGTGTGTAACATGCCTGGCTCTTAAATATACAGAGAGGATTTTTTCCTATTAATCATTGTCCAGAGATTTTAGATTTTTAAAGATGTGTGGGTTAACTAAGACAGTGAAAGGCTTATCAATACTCCATGATTTCAAGGATTTGAGATGTAAATTTTTTCAAGATCCGCCTTGAGAGATCATGCCACAGAAAATCCTTCTCAATGTGGATTCTACAAATCCACAAGTTGTAGATCTCCTCGTCTGACATCCAGATATCCTGTTTGCCTACATGACAAAGACTGCTGTTTGCTACTGAATTGAGTATTTTCCCTTCAGAATTTTTGTGGCTCCTGGGATTTTTCAGAGATTTATGGAGATTCTAACATTAGAGCTCCTCTTTTGCATTCTTAAGGTACTGTGGTGAACTGACCTAAACTGATTTGGTTATGTACAACTATTAAGTTTAATGGGTAGGTCTCAGTAGTCACTAATAATTGGAGGAAAGCAAGGGGGTTAGCTACCTTCCCACAACCTTGCTGCCAGTTTTGAATAAAAGCAAATGTCAGACCAAAATCTGCCACACATATAAACATTTATTAGCAAGAAGGCACAAAACAGTTTATAAAACCTGTTGTAGAAGCTTGATGATGTTTCAGATCTCAGGGTTTTTTTTTTTCTTGCATGAAAGGCTCACCTGAAGAAAATGTGATAATATTCCAGCCACAGATTCAATTAACCACTTATTGAGGTCAAGGGACTGAAAATTATCTGGATACAGCAGTAGGACCCAGAACCTTTTAGGGATTGGGTTGAGAGTGCCATCCCTGAAAGTAGGAGCTATTAGATTTTTATACCCTGTTCAAGCTAAAATATTCTAGTCTGACTACATAGTTTGAATACCATTAACGTCACCAATAAGAACCCATTTTAACAACCATTGCATACATTAACAAGCCACGGTTCTCACCAATGAAAACTTATTTCTAACATTTATTATGCTAATTATTATAGCCTTCAGCATTAATAGCAAATAGTTATAGCTAGCCATCTCTGGAGTGTGGTTTTGGAGTGAGAGGTCTTGAGGTCTTTTTTTTTTTTTTTTTTAAGAGATAGATAGGGTCTCATTCTGTGAGTGCAGTGGTGTGATCATAGCTCACTATGGACTTGAACTCATGGACTCAAGTGATCCTCCTGCCTCATTCTTTCTAGTAGCTGGGACTACAGGTGCATGCCACCACACCCGATTTAGAAGTCTTGATCAAGGTAACTGACTACTCAAAGAGTGTATATTTAAACTAATCATGTGGAATATCACACTGTCTCTGCTTCAGTATTTTAAAGTAAATTATAGACATCATAACAGGCACCCCATTCTGATGATTGGGAGATCAATAGAAACTGAAGAAGCAGAAAATCTTTAGGTTTTCAATATGAGTGAAAAAAAAGAAATGTGAAATCAGTACCACCAGGGCTACTGGAGTATAGCCTCCTTAAGATAACTCTACTCTAAAAATCAAGCAAGAGCCTCTGGCTTTCCTAAGGCTCCTTGGCTTCTGCCATGGTTTTTCTTTCCCCAAAGGCAATTGTTGCTCAGTCTGTGGACAGTTTCTGGAATGCTAAACGCTCGATGGTTGGGCTCTGCTAGGATTAATGATTTCTCCCCTCTGAGGCTTCTCCTCTAGAGAGTGGTGTCTGATATGGGTGGAGCTCCCCATATGCCAGATGTCCTGTGGTGACAACTGCTGGCAGCTGATTGCTCAAGAACTAAGCTGTGCACTTTTCAACTAAAAGAAAGAGCCACGTGCTTCAGTGCAATTCAAGACTCCAGGCCCGTCTTTAAGGCTGGAAGAGCTCTACTGAGGCCTGCGCCCTCTGCTTCTGCAGTTCCTTCAATGTGCTGCAATGCCTCCTACAGGCCCTCTCAATCAATTTATTAAGTCACTGGCAAATTTCCCTAAATTAAAAGTGGGTGCAAGATAAAAAGGAGCAAGCTACTGAAACATGTAACAATTTGGATGACCCTCAAGGGAATCATGCTGAGGGAAAACAGCCAATCCCCAAAGGTTGCTATGATGTATTATTCCACTTCTATGATATTCTTGAAATGACAAAATTACAAAGACAGAGAACAGATTAGTGGTTGCCAGGGATTAGGGAAGAGAAGAGAAGTGAGGCAGGTGTGGTTATATTATAATAGGGCAACATAAAAGATCCTTGTGGTGACAAAACTTTTCAGCATCTTTACTGTAGTGGTGGATACATGAACCTACACAGGTGATAAAATAGCATAGAATGAAACACATGAAACACACATGCACACACACACATGCACACAAATAAGTACAAGTAAAACTGGATAATTTGTTACAAGATGGGTGAGTTATATCAATATCCTGGTTGTGATAATGTACCACAGTTTTGCAAGATGTTACCATTGGGAGAAACTAAAGTATACAAGAGATCTCTCTGCATTATTTCTTACAAGTTATCAAATAAGATCTCAAAATAAACATTTTAGGCTGGGAGCTGTGGCTCACGCCTATAATCCCAGCACTTTGGGAGGCCCAGGTGGGCGGATCATTTGAGGTGAGTAGTTCGAGACCAGCCTGACCAACATGATGAAACCCCGTCTCTACTAAAAATACAAAAAAATTAGCCGGGCATGGTGGATCATGCCTGTAGTCCCAGCTACTCAGGAGGCTGAGGCAGGAGAGTCCCTTGAACCCAGGAGGCAGAGGTTGCAGTGAGCCGAGATAGTGCCACTGCACTCCAGTCTGGGCAACAGAGTGAGACTCTGTCTCAAAAAACATTTTTTTTTTTAATTAAAAATAGGTGATTGTGGTGATGATTATACAACCCTATATGTATACTAAAAAATATTGAAGGACTGGGCGCGGTGGCTCACGCCTGTAATCCCAGCACTTTGGGAGGCCGAGGTGGGCGGATTGCCTGAGCTCGGGAGTTCAAGACCAGCCTGGGCAACATGGTGAAATCCCGTCTCTACTAAAATACAAAAAGTTGGCTGCGCGTGGCAGCGTGCGCCTGTAATCCCAGCTACTAGGGAGGCTGAGGCAGGAGAATGGCGTGAACCTGGGAGGCGGAGATTGCAGTGAGCTGAGATCGCACCACTGCACTACAGCCTGGGCGACAGAGCGAGACTCCATCTCGAAAAAAAAAAAAAGAAAAAGAAATATTGAATTCTACACTTGTAAATGGATGAATTGTGTGGCATGTAAAATATATTTCAATAAAACTGTTTATCAAAAGTGAGTACAAATATTTTCAGAGAGGCTAAGGAATCAGGGTGAATTCCTGGCCCATAAAGGACAACCCTGGAGGTAGAATTGTTCTTTTGTTCAAGGGGACTGCAATCCTCTGCCTTCCTCAACCTTTCCCTTTTCCCATTCTGAGCCAATCCTAAATGAGGTATGGGACAACTCAGCTGCTTCAGCCCACTGGTGACAGGAGTGAGCCACAAGAAAGACTCAGGTACCTTGCAGCCCTCAAGTTGCAGCCCTTTTCTCTTCCCCACTGCATGACCCAGTTCACCTGCCTGAGTGTCTTCTCTCTGCTTGGAATAAGGTGTATTTGATTGGGGCCCTGGTTCCCGGCCTAGCTCTTGCTAAGTTCCTCCTCTGGAGGCTGAGTGCTTTTCCCTGTCCTCCCCTACCACCTCTGGGCTGGTTAGTTATGATGCACAGGTGGCCACACTCAGCCATTTCTGACAAGAGGTCTGGGTTTACCTCACCTGGGCTTAAGGAGATTTTTTGTTTTTAGGAAGGAGGCTTAGTTTAGCTGTCACCATCATAACCCATCAAATGGTCAGGCAACTAACAATGTGCTAAAGAAGATAGGTAGACAAGATTGGCCAGTGATATTTGCCAACTTTCTCATCGCTCAGCAAGTTGCTCCATGTTTGACAACAGGAGTCAGTCTTGCTGTATTATTATTATTATTGAGACAGGGTCTCACTCGTTCACCCAGGTTGGAGCACAGTAGCACGATCTTGGCTCACTGCAACCTCTGCCTCCTGGGCTCAACAAATCTTCCCACCTCAGCCTCCTGGGTAGCTGAGACTACAGGTACGTACCACCATGACTGGCAAATTTGCTGTATTATTAAAAAGACAAAATCTCAGGACATTGATTCGCTGTCTACATCTATATTCAACTGTCACTTCTGCTGCTATCAGTATTTCTGCCTCCTCATAATTTGCTGTTTCTCATTTTCTGTGGCTACAGAAACAATAAACACACTTGTAAGGATTTAGCCTGAAGTAAAGAAATTGGCTCTCAGGAAGATTCTTTTATGAGTAAAGCTGGCAAACTTTATTGTATGTATGCTGACATCTTTTTGACTTCCTGGAGGCCCACTCCCTCTTATTTTTCCCTTCTTACTTCTTTATTCTCAGCTTTGTTCCAGATATGTGAGATTGCCAGAGAAGTGACCTCTGGATGATGAGGTGTTAGTTGGGTTCTGGAGAGTGGCTCTCACTTTGCTTCAGCAGTTTTCTTGTTGGCTCAGGCCTCCTTCTCCTTTGGGGCCAGCGAAGCCCACTGCTCTAGGTTAAAGACAGGAGGTGGGAGGTGGGAGTTGAGTAGCAGAGGTGTAGACATAGTCTTAGCCCAGTCTAGGAGACATTGAGAAGAGGCCAGTGATGGATGGTGGGGCGGGAAATGTGACATTTTCCTCTTTGAATATAATGAGACCATTTGGAATAGATATTTTTCTGCCAAACTATCTGCTTAAGCCCCCCAGGGAATGGCAGAGGGAACTAACATCTGCCAAATATACAGGTCAAACAGCATATAGACGGGGCTGGCCCAGCAATTCCTTCAAACCAGTGGAAGTCCAGAGGTTCCAGAGCCTGGGCCAGGTATCTGGGGAGAAAAGAAGGGTAGGCCCAAGGGAGACTAATGAGACAGAGAGAGACTGTGTGTGTGTGTGTGTGTGTGTGTGTGTGTGTGTGTGTCTGAGACAGGGCAGAAGGTCGAGGTGCGGGGGAGAGAGAAGAGAGGGAACCAACTTGTACTGTAACTTATGGTGACAACGCATCCTGGGATGGAACATTGTTCTTTTTCAAACATTGACTCAGCCATCTTTTGTTTTTTCTTCCAAATCTTTTCCTTACTTTTTCTCTCCCACTTCTTCCTCTCCTTCCCTTCCCTCCTCCAGGATAGTGGAGAACATCTGGGAAGATGGAGTGGCCCATTGCTGGAGCAGTATCTTTGAAAACAGAAGAGACTATCATCTTGCTGCCCCTCCTGTTTTGCAATTCTAACATCCATTCAGGACCTGTTTGTGTCTCTCCTTCCTGTTCATTTTAGGAGGTTGAATAAAAGCACATGAACTGCAAATCTCTCCTCTGATAACCCTGTTTCTCTGTGTTTTTCTCTGAGTCACTGGGGAGAATCACACATCTTTTTGGATGGAGCACTTGGCTGGAGGTGGAGGACCTGGCTCATGTTCCTAAGCTCTACTATATATTTTTGATGTGACCTTCGGCAAGTTCCTGTCCTCTTTGGGGCCTTAGCTTCTTTTTCAATAAGTATGATAAAAGAAATGGAAAACTTTTGGAGCTGGCACTCAAAAGTAATGTTAATTAGAATACTTGGGCTTCTGAGATCTTCCTAGCTCTTGCCACCCCGCTTCTTACCTCTGTTCGTCCCAGGCATCAGTTAGTTAACCGAAAAGCCACACCCAAGAATATGGTCCCAGTAGAGGAGTTGATTTATTTTTTCACTTCTTAGTGTAAAAGATATAATCACAAAGAGTCCTCAAGTAAGAAGAGGGCAGGAGTAGGGTTCTGGAAGCATAGGCATTTTGTGGATAAAGGCAAATACTTATCCCTCTGAACTTTCCCGACCCCTTCCATTCAAAGGTTCAGGATGAAGTGTTTGAATTGCTGTTAAACAGGGAATTTGGCCCAGAAGCAGCCCATTTCCCGAGTGGTAGTTGGGGGTGGGGAAACTGTTGGTCTGAATAGGATGTACAGTTGGCTATACTGGGTGGGGTGGGGATCTGTGGGCCCAGTCCTCCTTCCCTTATGACTGGGCACCTAGCAGCAGGGTTGTGGGTCCGCTTTGTCTTGTCCAACTGTGAAAGTAGCAAGAATGGGAGCCTCTGCAAGGGGCTGCAGCTGCCTTCCAAGGAATTTCAGTGATATCTGGGAGTACAGAGGCTGAGTCATATTTTGGGATAGGATTGTGTTTTTATACCCGCAATGCAGGGTGTTGCCATAATATTAATCATTATTATGGTTAAAAACAAATAAACTCATCCTGCAGTTATGACAAATCTGTGTCTTGGCTCTTTCTTGCCCTTACATTGTCTTTCTTTTAGCTTCTGCCTTAAGAAACCAGAGTTTAACCCCATATAGCCAGAATAAGCAACTGTCTTTCTAACATCATTTCAGGAATACATGTTAAGTATCTAATTTTTAAAAATCTTCCATATTTATGTACTAAGACCTACAATACCATCCTGTCAAAATGCAAATGCTGCTTAAGCTTCATTAGTTACTTTGATCTTAATATTACTGGGCCATTAATATTGTTTCCTGAGAGAAGGAGATTGGGTGAAAGGAGAGACCACAAGGGTCCTGGACATCTGACCAGGGAGAGAGAGGCCACAGAAAGGATATAGAGGCACCAAAGACAAATCACCAACCTGTCAATTTTTCCATGGACCAGTTGTAGACACAGGTCATGGCTACAGCAGCAGGGGGTCTGTGATTGTGGAGAAAGGTAAGGAGGGAGGAGTAAAAGGAAGATTCACTGAAGTTTGAGGAGCCATTCCCTCAGCGTTGGCCTCAGGTTCTGGCTCTAGAGCAATAGACTCTGACCTTACAAAAGGAGAAAGATGCCTGCTTGTGTGTGTGGGCTGTTTCAGGTGGATCCCATGGGCCTTGGACAGTTTCTGTGGGTCAGGCCTTGGCTTCAGAGCCTTGAGTTCCTACAAAGTTGACAGAGGCTGAACCAGCTGGGGAACTGCTAGGTATCTGGCAGGAGCGGGAAGAGCCCATCAGGACTTGGGCTCAGTGAGAGACCTGAATACTGGGGCAAAGAGTGCCTTCAGAATGTAGCCCACTCTGTTAGCCTAGGTCCCCAACCTAATCTTACCTAGTGACCAAGAAATGCACTTTGCTCTTTTCTGGACCCCATTCTATCTTGACCAAATCAGAAAACAGGCTCATTGCTGCCCTACATATCTTTCACCCGGGCTTCGATGAAAGCAGATAAGCTAGGGTGGAGAGTCTCCAGTTATGGTCTCAGCAACCATCTTCCTGTCATTTTCTCCACCGCTTTCCTGCATGTACTGTCATTTGGGTTGTGGCAAAAATGGCATCTCCTCAGAGACTGTCTCTCACTCTCCTAGTTAGATAGCTTCTCCCATCTCCAGCCATATCACTTCACTCTGGTTATTGTCTTCATAGCACCTATCACCATCTCAAATTGTCATTTGGTTTGTTTTGTTGTTCATTATCTCTCCCATCTCCCTGTGCCATGCTGTGTGTGATTCATGAAGCAGGGGCTGACTGCATTTTGGTCCCCCAGTCTATCCCCTAAATCTGGCAGAATTGGGTAGGCCTCTTCTCTGCTCTGTATCCTGAGTACAACCTACATGTCCTCACTTTGTACCTTTGCTCAAAGTATTTTTCCTCTCTGGAATGTCCTCTTCCCTATCCACTGAATCCTTCTTGTCCTGAAATGCTGGATTTAAATCCCACCCCCTCCAGAAAGGCCTCCCTGATTACCTCAACTGACAGAGAGCTTTTCCTTCTCTGACTGCTACAGCCTTGACTGGGTTTGCTACATATTTTGCTATTTCTGTTTTCACTGTCTTATAGTCCTTTCCAATTTTTTCCCTTGCATTCGTCTTTTCTCTCCAGATTGATTGTGTCCACAATACTTTTGTCCTTCTGAAGAGGTCTAGCTCTTCTGTCTCACCTCAAGATAAAAATGGGGTTGTGGCCAGGTGCAGTGGCTCACACCTGTAATCTCAGCATTTTGGGAGACCGAGGCAGGCAGACAACTTGAGGTCAGGAGTTCGAGACCAGCCTGGCCAACATGGTGAAACCGCATCTCTACCAAAAAATACAAAAAATAGCTGGGTGTGGTGGCGTAAGCCTGTTGTCCCAGCTACTAGGGAGGCTGAGGTGGGAGAATCGCTTGAACCCAGGAGGCGGAGGTTGCAGTGAGCTGAGATGATGCCACTGGACTCTGGCTTGGGAGTGTAAAAACAAAATGAGTTTGGTTGTGTCCATCCAGTGGTACAGATGACATAGCAGGACACAGGAAATAGTTTCTCCTTGTGTGATCCAAGGGTCCTGAAGCAGCTCTCATTTAAATACAGATTCCCAGGCACCACCTCCGCAGCTTCAGAATGTGTTATCTAGGGTGGGGCTCTGAAATCTGCATTTTCTTTAAAATACACAAAGTTTGAGAACCAGCAATTTAGGGAGACCCGGTTTCATCCTGGGTCAACCACTAACCAGGTATGTGACTTTGCGTGGCTCACTTGTCTTCTCTGGGCTTCTGTTTTTTCATATCTAGGATGACGGGGTTGGGCAATGTGACCCCTCAATTCTAAAATTCAGCAAGTTTATGTTCTGTAAACTTCTGGAAGGTAAATTCCTTGGCCTACATGTCTTAGAATCTCTAGCATATTCAAGTATAGTACCTTAAATACAATAGGTGCTTAACAAACACCGGATGAATGAATGGATGGAATGAGTAGCTGGGAGGCAGGGTAAGGGGTGCTCACAGCAATTCAGAGACAATACTGCAGTGGAGCACAGTACAAAGGCCTGGGTTAGAATCCCAGTCTTTGCCAAGTTGTGTGGTCTCTTGAACTCTCCATTTTCCCATCTGTAAATTGGAGGTGTTACCTATTGCATCAGGCTGTTGCAGGACGAAATGAGTTAATGTCTACAAAAAGCTTAGCACAATGTCTGACACATAGTAAATACTTAATACCTTTATTTCTAATTAAGTCGCCCCAATGAGGAACAAATAATTGGCTTTCAATGAGGGAGAACTTGATTTTCAACCATATTCCAGACCTCCTGTCTTCCTCCCTTTCCCACTGGCCCATGGAGACCCTGACTATAAGGTTGGGCCTGGAAGACTGGCTGACCTGACAGCCAAAGCTGTAAGGACCTAAGATGTTCTATTATCTTACAGCATGGTGTAACTTATCCATGAACTGAGAGAAACAAATTGTCAAGGCATCATGAAGTTTATCATCAGGAGTATGGAAAGAGTACGAGGTTTGACGTGAGAATATCTGGGTTCAAGTGTTAGTTCTTGCAGAAAAACTTCCGTGACCTTACTGTACCTCCACCACCTGATTTGAGTCAGATGTCCCTTCTCTATGTTCTCACAGTGCCGACTATTTCCTTTATCATGATATTTGCCTTTTGTTCTTACTACCTGTGACTGTCACCTACAGTAGACTAAGCTTTTTGAGAGTGGGGACAATGTCTTGACCATCTCTGTATCCTGGACAAAGAACATATTGCCTGAGTGGAGCAGATGTTCAGGAAATGTTTGTAGAGCTCAATTCAAATGATGAACTGATATACTACTGAGCTCAGCAATTAACCTCTTTAGGCACTGTAAGAGGGAGACAAGAAACCCTTCTCTGATGTCTCGCCAATGTTATTGTGAGGCTCAAGCACTTTGTAACCAGTAAAAGAATCACTGTTATTGCCTTTCAGGCCTCTTCCCCTCCACCCCGGACCACCCCACCCCCACCCCCACCCCCACCCCACAGCCTTGCTGACCTTTACCTAAACCTATTTACCATCCCATTAGGACTCTACTTTCTGTTCTGTAGGCTATTTTATCAGCCAATCTGGAAAAGGAATCCATGCTAATGTGTTAATGGGTGTTAATTGGACGATATGTTTATATTTCAACAGGGAGTTTTTGAGCTTTAGGAGGAATGAGTAATAGTGGATTCCAGGTGCTTGGGCTTGGGAGAGCTCGGTTTTTGTTTTTGTTGTTGTTGTTAGGGAATCTCTTAAGCCATTTCTCAAGCTGCCCTGGTAGGGGGCCACCTACTTTTTGTCCACATTAGGCTTGTCATGCAGCACACACAGTGTATTTGCATGCAGGAAGTGCCTGAGGCCTCTAGGACCACATTGGGGGGTTCTGTCTTGCAAGAGATCCAATAGCACAAGGAAGCAGTCTGTAGCAATTTACCTGCTTCCTTCCTGAGTTTTGAGTCAGGGCCTGATGAGCTCTGTTCCAGGCTTGGAGATCAGACCTGGGGCCCAGAAAAGCCATTAGCCTGGAAAGATTATTTCTGTTAATCCTTCTAAGCAGCTCCTGAGGCTTTTCACATGCTCACAGAACAGCCTGGGGCCTTTGCTGGGGTCCAGTGTTAAACTACTTTGGAAAGAGTTGTAATTCCCAGTTAAAAGTTCCTCTGGTGCTATTAATGTTGAACAGAAATAAGTTTTGTGCCTGAAATATCAATGCCAAGGATTTTGCGTGTGTTGAGAATGAGGAGGGGAAGGTGAAGGGTTTACTGGCTGAGGCTGGTTTGAGTTTGCAGGTGTGGGCAGAGGTGGGGGTGGGAGGTGAGGGGAGTGCCTGCGTGGTCTGTGAGCATGAGTGTGTATTTTAAGCATGCATGCCCTGTATGCATGCTCTGTGACTTTGTCCCTTGGCTCTTTTCTGAATTGTCTGGTGTAGGAGCTGGTTATGAAAATAAATTGTTCTTTCTTACTGCCTTATGTGTAAAGCCACTGCCTAAGCTTCTCAGAACATTGTTCTTGATTGTGTTGAGGCCTGACAAACCTAGGGCATGATAGAATGCCATTCTTGTCTCAGTGTTCTCCCATCAGAATGTGGGGTCCTTGGATAAATTTTGGGAAAGTGACCTGAGAGAGGTTGGACCAGTGGATCTGAACTTGCTAGAGGCTGGTTGTCTTGTGGCTGGTAGATTACCATGGGGCTTGCCTGCCATTTTTATTCCTCTGCTTCTTGCCCACATCTCCAGAGGAAGGGTAAAAGAGGGAAAGAATTGAACCTCACCTACCTTAGTGAGAAAATGCCTTGTTTCCCAGCTTTTGTGTGGTCAGTGGCAGCCTCTGCCACCAGGTTCCCCTGTATTTCAGTCCCTGACAGGTAGCTGATGAAGCCTCCACTCTTGAGTATTAGAATTTAACTCTTTCTCTGTAATAGACTCAGATGGGCCTATTCTCTGAATGAGGCTGGTTTGCTCATTCAGAGAATTTTTCAGAGAATTCAGAGAACATTGTAGGTACCAGTGTTGCTCACGGGGCAAAAGGTGATTGATTGATGACTTGCTGAGCACTGCTGGCAGCTGGGGTGGGGTGGAGAGCAGGCTGACAGGTCCAGGATCTCTTTAGGATGAAAATAGAAGTTGCCAAGTGAGAATCTGTAGGCTAAATTCAGCACTCACACCCTATGTGACCTGAACAATATTTTAAAACATTTTGACTTGGTTGCCCACATTTAAAAATCCAGAAAGTTGAAAATGGTAGGATGAGAAAACACTGGGTAAGTTGCCGGCTTGGCAACAATTAGTTATGCTGAGTAGTGGCTGCCACACTGGGGCAGGATCTGTGCCCAGGGATACTCTCCGGCTTGCCACAGTCCCTCACCATTGCCTGTTGTATTATACACTGCACGCTTTCCTTGTTTAGAGTATCTGTCTGCCTCCTGTAGGCCACTTTGTGATCCCCAGACTATCAATACTCATCATGGTGGCATAGGCCCTAGGGAGAGATTTTGCTGTAAGGGATGGGACACGAGCTGAGCAGCAGGGTCTGAAAAAAGCAGGAAGCCTGAGAGAGGAAGCCCGGGGTCCCCACTGGGCAGCCTGTCATGCAGAGACATCATAGCAATAAGGGAGCCTGAAATTCAGCAGCCTGTGAAAACCCAGCCAGGAAGCACTGAAGGCAGTGAGCTAAGTTAGTAGGAGGATACAGCCAGGCTATCTCAGGCCAAGTGACCACGCCATAGTCTTCCTTAAACCCTCAATGACTTCCCGTTGTTCTTAGGATAAAGAGCAAACAGCCTTACCATGGTCAATAAGGTGCTGCATGGTTTGGCCTGACGAGATTGAGCTTTATTTTGAGCTCTGTGCTCTTGGAAAAGTAGCAACAGTCAAGAAAACCCCCTACTGTTTTGTGATGCTTTTGTGTTCCAAGAAGCTAACTGCAAAGGACCATCCCACCCTCATAAATGGCAAGACAAAACCCACCTCCACCCTTTTTCAATGACTCAGATAAGATCCACCCTAAGTTTTCTCCCTCTTAATGAACATTCTCCCTCCCTGTTACAATAGCTCAAATAAAATCATCTCCTTGGTTGTCTGTTGCATTTTATTCTTCACAGTTTTGGTGCCATGACTTAGAAGGAATTGGACCTCACCTTCAGATCACATCACCCAGGTAACAAGATCTGTCAGAGCCCTTTGTGTTCCTCTCCTGACTAGTGATCTGGGGACCCAATGGTGAGTCCAGTTCTTGCTCCTGTGGTTTGGGCTCTTGTTTATTGGTAGATCCATAAAGATTTGATTTTGATTCTTTTTGAATACTTGCTTGATTTCTGGTGCTGGCTTGTTTTGGTTGCATGATCTGACCATTCAGTGATCTCTGTCTTTCCCAACAGAGACAAGGTTTATAGAGACCTTGTCTCTGTTGGGTGAAAGATGACAGTATCTGGTTTGTTAGTCTACTTATCTCTTTTGAGCTTAAATCAATTAAGAATTCCATGATCTGCTGGGCACGGTGGCTCATGCCTGTAATCCTAGCACTTTGGGAGGCTGGGGCGGGAGGATCACCTGAGGTCAGGAGTTTGAGACTAGCCTGGCCAACATGGTGAAACTCTGTCTCTACTAAAAATGCAAAAATTAGCTGGGCGTGGTGGCATGTACCTGTAGTCCCAACTACATGGGAGGCTGAGGCAGGAGAATCCCTTGAACCCAGGAGTCGGAGGTTGCAGTGAGCCGAGATTGTACCACTGCACTCTAGCCCTGGGTGACAGAGCGAGACTTCATCTAAAAAAAAAAAAAAAAGAATTCCATGACCATCAGGAAGAGAACAGCTCTTTGATACAGATAAATGGGTTTTGTAATTCTATGTTTCCATTTGACCCTTGGCTGAAATTTTAGAATTAAAGCTATAAGCTATCCATTTGTATGCTTATACACAATTCAGAAAGAACTTTACCTTTCATTGTGTGAGTGTGGGATTTTTTTATTACTATTATTATACTTTAAGTTTTAGGGTACATGTGCAAAATGTGCAGGTTTGTTACATATGTATACATGTGCCATGTTGGTGTGCTGCACCCATTAACTCGTCATTTAGCATTAGGTATATCTCCTAATGCTATCCCTCCCCCCACCCCCCGCCCCACAACAGTCCCCGGTGTGTGATGTTCCCCTTCCTGTGTCCATGTGTTCTCATTGTTCAATTCCCACCTATGAGTGAGAACATGCGGTGTTTGGTTTTTTGTCCTTGCGATAGTTTGCTGAAAATGATGGTTTCCAGTTTCATCCATGTCCCTACAAAGGACATGAGCTCATCATTTTTTATGGCTGCATAGTATTCCATGGTGTATATGTACCACATTTTCTTAATCCAGTCTATCATTGTTGGACATTTAGGTTGGTTCCAAGTCTTTGCTATTGTGAATGGTGCCGCTATAAACATACGTGTGCATGTGTCTTTATAGCAGCATGATTTATAATCCTTTGGGTGTATACCCTGTAATGGGATGGCTGGGTCAAATGGTATTTCTAGTTCTAGATCCCTGAGGAATTGGAGTGTGGGATATTTACCTACCTTTGGATGGTATTACCAAATTAGATTTTAAAATCTCTTACAGGAGCTTTATTCGGATTAGCTTAGAGATAAATAACTGCTGTATAAATTGAATGTTCCTACAATTCCCAGAAATTAAGGAAATGATATTGTATTGAATACAATAAATGTTCTTAAAAAGTGTTCTTATAGAAATTAACTCAAATGTTTTTAAAAAATTCAAGTTCATATAAATTAGGTAAATCTGGCAAATGAGAGTAGTTCAGTGTTTTTGTTTCAATGAAAAGCTATGTTTTTCTGATTTATCAGTGTTAAATATGAGTGGACATTTTTATTTTACTTAGGTATGTTCTTCCCAAATTTAGAAAAATCTACTGATTAAATAAGCTGGCATTGCCTCTACTAGGTGTTTAAGATTATGACACCAGAGCAGTGAAAATTTTGAATTGTCTGAGACATATGTCCCAGCTGAAGCTGAACGAGGTGATGCTCTGCTTTGCTTCAGTTCTCATACTCTAAACAAGAGTCCTTCTTGTGGTCTATTTAGTGCTGTGTCTTTTGCAATTTTTGTGCTTTTTATTGGTGATTTCCTTGTTTAAAATCGCCCTCATGCATAGTGCTGAAGTGCTGTCTATGGTTCCTAAGCACAAGAAGGCTGTGATGTGCCTTACGGAGAAACTATGTATGTTAGACAAGCAGCTTAATTCATGCATGAATTATAGCGCTGCTGGCTGTGAGTTCAATGTTAATGAATTAACAATATATATTAAAGTGTCTTTAAACAGAAACACACACAAAACAAGGTTATGTATTGGTTGGTTGGTAAAAATGTTGTGACTACAGGCTTGCAGAAACTTAACACTGTATTTCCCAGGAACAATGATTCAGGATTTGCTAATTTAGTGTTTGTGAAAACTTTATGGAGCGTAGTTGCTGCGAATAATGAGAATCAGGTGTACTTTGGTCTTTTCTTTCACAGCATTGATCACAGGTTATAAGTATATGTTTATTTGTGCAATTAAAAAATGTCTGTCTCCTCCACTAGAATGTAAGCCCCAGGAGGAGAGGGACTAGGATTATTTCATTTGATTGAATTCCCAGTAGCTGATACCCAGTGCCTGGTTCATAACTGGTGCTTATTGAAGAATTGTTGAATGAATAATTGGATGAATGATTGAATGAACAAAATATCTATTAGCTGTGTGGCACAGAGGAATACCTAAGAAGGGAGCCAGACAGGTCATTACTGAGGGAGGTTGCAGGCTGTGGTAGGAGAGACCATTGGTCTACTCCTGTTTTTCATTACAGTATCTCTTGTCCTACAGTGTTGGCTATATTTAATGTATAATAGGAGGATTTTCCATTGAGAGTAAGATGTGTTTCAGATACCAAATACTACCTTCCTTTAAGTAGTTAATGTCCTTTCATTGTGCTTCCAGTGAAAACAATAAAAACCACCTCCTGCAACCTGGTGGCTGCAAATATCAGACAGATTTAGAAAGGTGCATTGGGTTTTCTTCTCCCTTCCTACTGGTGGCCCCAAGCTAGCTCTCAGATATGGCTACAACTCCTTTTGGGGTTTATATCTGTCAACATATCCCAGGCAGAAGGCCTAGGACACATCTTTACATGATGTTTATTGAAATTAAATCACTCAGGCCTTTCTAGGTATCCTGACATAACATGGCTAGATGGGTACTTATTCATTTAGTAACCCCAGATTGTGGGTGATGGAACATAATCCACCCATCAGAAACCCATCTTGAGGAGCCAGCCAGTTGGATCACTGTGGAAAGGATGTCAAAGTAAATCCAGGGCCAAGCCAGGGGGCAGAAAAGGCTTTTATTGAACTTAGTAAAGAGGTGTTTGAAAGCTGACCTTAGATATAGGCAGAAATGGTAAGTAACCTATTCACCCATGTGGAATGATCTGAGGGGCATCAAGAATGGTCCTTACACTCCCATTCCTTAATGAGATCTTTTTACACGCAAACTATGCTCTTGATTGTTCTCTTCTCCTGGACAGAACTTCCTTTTTTTCTTTCAGCCTTGTTGAATTTCACCTATACTTCAAAGCCCAGCGTCTCTAAGAAGTATCTCTGGACATTAGGTCTCAGTGACCTTTCTGAAGCCCATTGACGGACTGTCTAGGCACCCTTGGTCTTCTTTGCACACTGCCTTTATCAGTGATCCAAGGAACATTGTATGGCACTGTTGATATGCTTCTTGAAATATGTTATACGAAATTTGAAGACAGGGACAATGTCCAGTATTTTCTTTGTATTGCCAATGTTTCCTATCACAATCTTCTACACACTTTGGGTCTTGGTAAATATTTGTTTAATAAATGAAGTCAGCCAATTAACTTTTATGAAGCCTTCTCTGCCCACCTTACCTGGAAAGGACCTCAGAGCACTATATTACCCTTAGAGCTGACTATATCCCAGAGACAAGTCTGGGTAAAGAAAGTTTGGGTGGTAAGGTCTGATACAAATATTGTCATTAGCTGGGTCTTGCCATCTCCACCAACCAAGCAAGAGTAGTTTTTGGGACTCAGGGCCAGTCCAAACACATTTGAAATGCAGGTGGAGATAGTCTTTAATATCCTAGATTCCCTTTTTGATTCTTTGTCCCCCTGAGAATTCAGTACCCTCTTGCCCTTGATCCCTGTACCCCCAGCCCTAACCAGCCAGCTCAATTCTCTTTAGCTGTGTCTACATAGTCAAAATAGCTGCAGGCTGCTACCATTTCCCTCCTCAGGTTTTCTCCACTCCAGATTTAGTTTCTTTTATCTGGCTTCATCAGTCACTGGCTGATTCTCCAGGATCATATTTCTTTCTTTTTTGAGACAGAGTTTCACTCTTGTTGCCCAAGCTGGAGTTCAATGGTGCGATCTTGGCTCACTGCAACCTTGGCGTCCTGGGTTCAAGCGATTCTCCTGCCTCAGCCTCCCGAGTAGCTGGGATTACAGGCATGGGTCACCATGCCCGCCTATTTTTTTTGTATTTTTAGTAGAAACGGGGTTTCACCATGTTAGCCAGGCTGGTCTTGAACTCCTGACCTCAGGTGATCCACCCGCCTCAGCCTCCCAAAGTGCTGGGATTACAGACATGAGCCACTGCACCTGGCCCAAGATCATATTTCAAGGTCTTCTCTAGGCTTCCCAATCTACCCAGCTCTGAGTATTTTTTCCTAATGACTAGGTCCCTGGATAGAGGGTCAGATCTCTCTTGTGCCCCAGTTAGACCTTGGGACTATCCAGGCAGCCCCAAAATAAACTCTGCAACTGACCACAGCTTAAGGCCAACTCTTGGCTCATTGTTCAAATATCTCTTGGCCCTGATGTTCTTCAGCTTCCTCTTACCTCAGAAACATTTGTTTTTTAGATTAATTTTTCCCAATTACATTATTTATTTTGTGACTATCCAAGTGGAATCTCTTTGGCTATTTCCTGTGTATATTCTGATGCTTGCGCTGTCTGCATTCAGCCTATGTCTCTGTTTCTCTACCTTTCTCTCCATGTCCCTCTCTGCTGAGTCTTCTTTGTTTGTGAGAGCAAATTACTCTTACCCAGACTATTCTGGGCAATGTTTCTAGAACTATGATGGGAACTGTGGTTCAAAAGTCCCTTTTCAAAAGTTCCAGGCAAGGGGAGAAATGGAGCATTGCTTTTAGGGCTATTAAGCAAAAAACCTTCATGATTTATCTGAGACCTCTTTGGGCAGGGCCTGGACATTGTGGTGCCTGGTCTCTGGCATTCCTCCCTTGCTCTATTTTTTACCTCATTCTCTCTTTATAGCTAAAATAAACTTATTTCCTCATTTTCAGTCAATTTCCAACACTGTAGGTTAAACTTTCTCAACCTCAGCACTCTTGACATTTTGGGCCAGATAGTATTTTGGGGTGTGTATGTTGGGGGGTGTGGTGGTAATGGTGGAGCTGTTTTGAGCACTGTGAGATGTTTAGTAGCATCTCTGCCCTTTATCCACTAGATGCCAGTAGCATCCCCTGACCCAGATGCAGCTTCTCACCCAGTTTTGACAACTTAAATGTTTCCAGACATTGCCAAATGTTCCCTGGGGGGGCAAAATTATCCAAGGTTGAGAACCACTTCTCTAGGTTCACTCTGCTTTAGTCCCCAGTCCCTGCCCTTTCCTCAGCCTCACTGGACATCTCCACCAACTTGGCTAACGAAATTGTTATGAAGTGAAGGGAAATCTGGGCTTAAGATACTCGGTTTTCATTGCTGGCTCCACCTCTTACTAGCTATGTGATCCTGGACAAGTTCCTTAACTCTCAGTTTCCTTATCTATAAAATGGAGATAATAATACTCCCATAGCACAGAGATTTTGTGAGGGTTAAATGTCTCTCCTTTTAACATTATTATTCGTAGCCATTGCTGTTATTATTTGTGGTTTTATAAAGTAAGATGACAGTGAATGGAGCAAGGGGTAGAGCTGGCAGATTTCAAGAGTACTACAACTCAGTGGCATAGAAGAAAAAAGCCACATGTCTGGAAGGAAGAAAAACAGAAGTATTGGTTTCCAAACTTAGTTGAGCATCAGAATCAGCTGGAGGCATTTTTTGGAAGGACAGAGTCCTGAGGCATATACTAGGTGTCCTGAATGCCAGTATTTGGGTGTGGGACACAGTATCTGTACCAAACAAGCTCTCCAGTAGATTCTGATGACAAGCCATGATAGTCAGTGATTGTATGATATGTCTATTTATACCTTGGCAGTATTATACACATTGGGATTGTATCTTCTGAGCATAGTCTTAGGATATTTGCAGGTTTTTAAACTATTATTATTATTTTTATTTTTTGAGATTGGAATTGAAGAATGTCACCTCGATTTAAGGGAATAAAGCAGTTTCTGTAGGCACATTTGCTCTTAAAAGGAGGGATGAAGGAGGCACCTCCATGAAGCCTCGATCAGCAGTTGCTTCATTTCACTAATTAAGGAGCATGAAACTCTATGGATTCAGGCCAGGGTGACTGAATGAATGTCTAGGGGTATAAAGGGTGGAGGAATTCATTTCTTTTGGGCACAAGGATAAACTCTCATTGGTGTAGGAACTCCTAGAGACGATTCATGGATTTATGTGTATGTGGGGTTAAAAGAGGGAGGCAGAGATGTAACTCTGGCTGGCTGGCTGGCTGGCCTGGTTCTCTTAGGAGCAATTGCGGCGGAGGGTGGGATTTGCTAGAGTAATAACAATGATAACTAATATTGTTTTGAGTGTTTTCTATATGCAGACACCATTCTAAGTGTTTACATGTATTAATCCTCCCCTAAACCTTTTGAGGAAGGTACTTATTATCCCTGTATTATAGATGAGAAAACTGAGGCCCAGAGAAACTCTAGTTAATGATATACCTGCTAAAGTAGTCAGGGGGAAGTGTACTGATGTTTACAACTTACTATGCAACAGAACAAAAAAAGAATGGTTTGATGAATGGATAGATGGAGATATATATTTTTACATATGATAAAGCAAATATAGTAAAATATTAATGGTAGAATCTAGTGGTTGGTATATGAGTGTTCCCTGTAAAATTTTTTAAACTTTGGTATATGTTTGAAAAATTTTATAATAAAATGCTGGAAAATAAGTGAATTGCCCAAGATCACACAGCTAATAATGGGTACGCCAGGATTCTAATCCAGGTAGTCTGGCTCCAAAGTATGTGTTTTTAATCACTATACTATATTGCTTCTCAGAAGCTTTGGTTTTCCAAGTATTTAAAGTGAATTCAATTTTTGAAACAGATTGCTCTCTTAATTGCTTTTTATAAGTTTTGCTATAGAAGCTATGAGACAGTGTAACACAGTCTCTGCCACAAGGAACTCAGGGTCTTGTTGGGGAGAAAAGATACACACATCTGAATCATTCTAAGAGGGGATAAAATAAGGGGCAGAGCTCTGGAGGCAGGCTGGTGGGAACTTAATTGAAGGCATGGGTTTGGGCACTGGCATTCTCCTCAAAGTTTGGAGGAAAGGAGGAGAATGAGAGCAAGGGTGTAGAGTTTAAGATATTTGAGGTAGGATAGAGAGAGTTTGGGCCCAATAAGACTATCTGGCAGGTATAGTAGGAGGTGAGATCATCTGCCAAGAAAGAATCGGTGGAAGCCAGGGTATTAAGCAAAGTGGCAAGAATTGAAACCATTGCTTTGGGGAGTGAATATGAGATAATTAGAAATTATGTTGGGCGATAGGCAGTTCCCAGTTGGGATCAGAGGACAAGTATTTACAATGGTTACATTTTCTTTAATCAAATTCTTTGTAGCCTATACAAAACAGAACGGGACAAGGCAGGAAGCAGGATAGGCTCAGAAGAAGACAGGAAAAAGACCAAGGAGCCTCAGGTGACTTTCACAAGAGAGCGATAGGGAGGACAGAAAGCTCAGTTTTCGCTGTCTTTGAAAGTCCTGGGCTAACTTTTCTGTTCATGTAAGAATTTGACTACCCTCTTTATCCTGTCACCGGCTTTGGCTACCTTATCTCTCAGGTCTTAGTTCTCTGCTGTGTAGACTTTACCCTCAAAGGCTTGATTGAAACCACCCTCTCAAAGGTCATCAAATCAAATGGCCTTTATTCTGTTCTTACTTCCTTGACCACTTTTCTCTGTACTCACCCTCTTTCTATTAACTCTCCTCCCCTGATTTTCATGACAATATTCTCTTGGTTCTCCTTCTACTTCCTGACTGCTCTTCCTCAGTTTCCTTGGTTGAACCATTCTACTTCTTCCATTTCTCAAAAGTAGTTGAGTCCACGAGTCCATCCTCGGCCCTCTTCCATTTTTATTTTAGAAGGTATCCCTCAGATCTCTGATGGATTCTATTTACTTCTGTGGCTTTAACAGTGATCTCTTGAGGTGGCTGGCAAGATGGCCAAATAGGAACAGCTCTGGTCTGCAGCTCCCAGTGAGATCAGTGCAGAAGGTGGGTGATTTCTGCATTTCCAACTAAGTTACTTGGCTCATCTCATTGGAACTGGTTAGACAGTGGGTGCAGCCCATGGAGGGGGAGCTGAAGCAGGGTGGGGCATCACGTCACCCAGGAAGTACAAGGGGTCAGGGAACTCCTTCCCCTAGCCAAGGGAAGCCATGAGGGACCGTGCCATGAGGAATGATGCATTCTGGCCCAGATTATATACTTTTCCCTCAGTCTTCGCAACCCCCAGACCAGGAGATTCCCTTGGGTGCCTATGCCACCAGGGCCCTGGGTTTCAAGCGCAAAACTGGGTGGCCACTTGGGCAGATACTGAGCTAGCTGCAGGATTTTTTTTTCATACCACAGTGGTGCCTGGAACACCAGTGAGACAGAACTGTTCACTCACCTGGAAAGGGGGCTGAAGCCAGGGAGCCAAGTTGTCTAGCTCAGTGGATCTCATCCCCATGGAGCCCAGCAAGCTTAGATCCACTGGCTTAAAATTCTCGCTGCCAGCACAGCAGTCTGAAGTTGACCTGGGACACTCAAGCTGGGTGAGGGGAGGGGCGTCCACCATTACTGAGGCTTGAGGAGGTGGTTTTTTCCTCACAGTGTAAACAAAGCTGCTGGGAAGTATGAACTGGGCAGAGCCCAGCCCAGCTAGGGAAAGCCTTTGTAGCCAGACTGCCTCTCTAGATTCCTCCTTTCTGGGCAGGGCATCTCTGAAAGAAAGGCAGCAGCCCCAGTCAGGGTCTTATAAATAAAACTCCCATCTCCCTGGGACAGAGCACCTGGGGGAAGGGGTGGCTGTGGGTGCAGCTTCAGCAGACTTAAACCTTCCAGCCTGCCAGCTCTGAGGAGTGCAGTGGATCTCCCAGCACAGCACTTGAGCTCTGCTAAAGGACAGACTGCCTCCTCAAGTGGGTCTCTGACCCCTGTGCTTCCTGACTGGGAGATACCTCCCAGCAGGGATTGACAGACATCTCATACAGGAGAGCTCCAGCTGGCATCTGGCAGGTGCCCCTCTGGGACAAAGCTTCCAGAGGAAGGAACAGGCAGCAATCTTTGCTGTTCTGCAGCCTCCGATTGTGATACTCAGGCAAACAGGGTCTGGAATGGACCTCCAGCAAATTCCAGCAGACCTGCAGGAGAGGTGCCTGACCATTAGAAGGAAAGCCAACAAACAGAAAGGGATAGCATCAACATCAACAAAAAGGACGTCCATACAGATATCTCATCTGAAGGTCACCAACATCAAAGAACAAAGGTAGATAAATCCACGAAGATGAGGATAAACCAGCACAAAAAATGCTGAAAATTCCAAAAATCAGAACACCACTTCTTCTCCAAAAAATCACAACTCCTTGCCAGTAAGGGAACAAAACTGGACAAAGAATGAATTTGATGAATTGACAGAAGTAGGCTTCAGAAGGTGGTGAATAACAAACTCCCCTGAGCTCAAGGAGCATGTAGTAACCCAATATAAGGAAGCTAAGAACCTTGAAAAAAGGTTAGAGGAATTGCTAACTAGAATAGCCAGTTTAGAGGAGAACATAAATGACCTGATGGATCTGAAAAACACAGCATGAGAACTTTGTGAAGCATACACAAGTATCAATAGCCAAATGAATCAAGCAGAAGAAAGGATATCAGAGACTGAAGATCAACTTAATGAAATAAAGCATGAAGACAGGATTAGAGAAAAAAAGAAAGAAAAGTAACCAACAAAGCCTCCAAGAAATATGGGACTATGTGAAAAGACCAAACCTAAGTTTGATTGGTGTACTTGAAAGTTATAGAAGACTTCCCCAACCTAGCAAGACAGGCCAACATTCAAATTCAGGAAATATGGAGAACACCACAATGACACTCCTTGAGAAGAGCAACCTGAAGACACATAATGGTCAGATTCACCAAGGTTGAAATGAAGGAAAAAATGTTAAGGGCAGCCAGAGAGAAAGGTTGGGTTACCCACAAAGGGAAGCCTATCAGAATAACAGTGATTCTCTCTGCAGAAACCCTACAAGCCAAAAAAGAGTAGTGGCCAATATTCAACATTCTTAAAAGAATTTCGGGTGTGATGCCTCGTGCCTGTGATCCCAGCACTTTGGGAGGCTGAGGCAGGCAGATCACCTGAGGTTGGGAGTTCGAGACCAGCCTGACCAAAATGTAGAAACCCTATCTCTACTAAAAATACAAAATTAGCTTGGCGTGGTGGCACATGCCCGTAATCCCAGCTACTTGGGAGGCTGAGGCAGGAGAACCACTTGAACCTGAGAGGTGGAGGTTGCAGTGAACCAACATCGCACCATTGCACTCCAGCCTGAGCAACAAGAGTGAAACTCCATCTTAAAAAAAAAAAAGAAAAAAGAATTTTCAACCCAGAATTTTATATCCAGCCAAACTAAGCTTCATAAGTGAAGGAGAAATAAAATCCTTTACAGACAAGCAAATGCTGAGAGATTTTGTCACCACCAGGCATTCCCTACAAGAACTCCTGAAGGAAGCACTAAATATGGAAAGGAAAAACCAGTACCAGCCACTGCAAAAACATGCCAAATTGTAAACATCAACACTATAAAGAAACTTCATCAACTTATGGGCAAAATAAGCAGCTAGCATCATAATGACAGGATCAAATTCACATATAACAACATTAACCTTAAATGTAAATGGGCCAAATGCCCAATTAAAAAGCACAGACTGGCAAAGTGGATAAAGAATCAAGACCCATTGGTATGATGTATTCAGGAGACCCATCTCATGTGCAAAGACACACATAGGCTCAAAATAAAGTGTTGGAGGAATATTTACCAAGCAAATGGGAAGAAAAAAAAAAGCAAGGGTTGCAATTCTAGTCTCTGATAAAACAGACTTTAAACCAACAAAGATCAAAACAGACAAAGAAGGGCATTACATAATGGTTAAGGGATCAATGAAACACGAAAAGCTAACTATCCTAAATATATGCACCCAATGCAGGAGCATCCAGATTCATAAAGCAAGTCCTTAAGAGACCTACAGAGAGATGTAGACTCCCACACAAAAATAGTGGGAGACTTTAACACCCAACTGTCAATATTACACAGATCAACGAGGCAGAAAATTAACAAAGGATATTCAGGACTTGAACTCAGCTCTGGACCAAGCGGACCTAATAGACATCTACAGAACTCTCCACCAAAAATCAACAGAATATACATTCTTCTCTGCACGTCATCACACTTATTCTAAAATTGACCACATAATTGGAAGTAAAACACTCATCAGCAAATGCAAAAAAACGGAAATTATAACAAACAGTCTCTCAGATAACAGTGCAATCAAATTGGAACTCAGGATTGAAAAACTCACTCAAAACCACACAACTACATGGAAACTGAACAACCTGCTCCTGAATGACTACTGGGTAAATAATGAAAATAAAGCAGAAATAAATAAGTTCTTTGAAACCAATGAGAACAAAGACACAATGTACCAGACTCTCTGGGACACAGCTAAAGTAGTGTTTTGAGGGAAATTTATACCACTAAATGCCCACAAGAGAAGGCAGGAAAGATCTAAAATTGACACCCTAATATCACAATGAAAAGAACCAGAGAAGCAAGAGCAAACAAATACAAAAGCTAGCAGAAGACAATAAATAACCAAGAGCAGAGCAGAACTGAAGGAGATAGAGACAGGAAAAATCCTTGAAAAAAATCAGTGAATCCAGGAGCTGTTTTTTTGAAAGATTAACAAAATAGGTAGACCACTAGCCAGACTAATAAAGAATAAAAGAGAGAAAAATCAAGTAGACGTAATAAAGAATGATAAAGGGGAGATCACCACTGATCCCACAGAAATACAAACTACTATCAGAGAATACTATAAACACCTCTATGCAAATAACTAGAAAGTGTAGAAGAAATTGATAAATTCCTAGACACACACACTCTCCCAAGACTAAATCATGAAGAAGTCAAATTACCGAATAGACCAATAACATGTTCTGAAATTGAGGCAATAATTAAAAGCCTACCAACCAAAAAAAGCCCAGGACCAGACGGATTCACAGCCAAATTCTACCAGAGGTATAAAGAGGAGCTGGTACCATTCTTTCTGAAACTATTCCAAGTAATAGAAAAAGAGGGACTCCTCCCTAACTCATTTTATGAGGCTAGCATCATCCTGATACCAAAACCAGGCAGAGATGCAACAAATAAAGAAAATGTCAGGCTAATATCCCTGATGAATATCAATGTAAAAATCCTCTATAAAATACTGGCAAACAAAATCCAGCAGCACATCACAAAGCTTATCCACCACGATCAAGTTGGCTTCATGCCTGGGATGCAAGCCTGGTTCAACATACACAAATCAGTAAACACAATCCATTACATAAACAGAACCAAAGACAAATACCACATGATTATCTCAATGGATGCAGAAAAGGCCTTTGATAAAATGCAACACCCCTTCATGCTAAAAACTCTCAATAAACTAGGTATTGATGGAAACCATCTCAAAATAATAAGAGCTAATTATGACAAACCCACAGCCAATATCTGGGCAAATGCTGGTAACATTCCCTTTGAAAACCAGCACAAGACAAGGATGGCCTCTCTCACCACTCCTATTCAACATAGTGTTGGAAGTTCTGGCCAGGGCAATCAGGCAGGAGAAAGAAATAAAGAGTATTCAAATAGGAAGAGAGGGAGTCAAATTGCCTTTGTTTGCAGATGACATGATTGCATATTTAGAAAATCCCATCGTCTTAGCCCAAAATCTCCTTAAGCTGATAAGCAACTTCAGCAAAGTCTCAGGATACAAAATCAATGTGAAAAATCACAAGCATTCCTATACACCAATAACAGACAAATAGAGGCAAATCATGAGTGAACTCCCATTCACAATTGCTACAAAGAGAATAAAATACCCAGGAATATGACTTACAAGGGATATGAAGGATCTCTTCTAGCAGAACTACAAACCACAGCTCAGGGAAACAAGAGCAGACACAAACAACTGGAAAAACATTCCCTGCTCATGGATAGGAAGAATCAATATCGTGAAAATGGTCATATTGCTCAAAGTAATTTATAGATTCAATGCTATCCCCATCAAGCTACCACTGACTTTCTTCACAGAATTAGGAAAAAACTACTTCAAATTTCATATGGAACCAAAAAATAGTCCGTATAGTCAAGACATTCCTAAGCAAAAAGAACAAAGCTGGAGGCATCACACTACCTGACTTCAAAACTGGTACCAAAACAGATATATAGACCAATGGAACAGAACAGAAGCCTCAGAAATAATGCCACACCTCTACAACCATCTGATCTTTGACAAACCTGAGAAAAACAAACAATGGGGAAAGGATTCCTTATTTAATAAATGTTGTTGGGAAAACTGGCTAGCCATATGCAGAAAACTTGAAAATGGACCCTTTCCTTACACCTTATACAAAAATTAACTCAAGATAGATTAAAGACTTAAATGTAAGACCTAAAACCATAAAAACCCTAGAAGAAAACCTAGGCAATACCATTCAGGACATAGGCAAGGACAAAGACTTCATGACTAAAACATGAAAAGCAAAGGCAACAAAAGCCAAAATTGACAAATGGGATCTAATTAAACTAAAGAGCTTCTGCACAGCAAAAGAAACTATCATCAGAGTGAACAAGCAACCTATAGAATGGGAGAAAATTTTTGCAATCTATCCATCTGACAAAGGGCTAATATCAAGAATCTACAAGGAACTTAAATATATTTACAAGAAAAAAAAAACAACCCCATCAAAAAGTGGGTGAAGGATATGAACAGACACTTCTCAAAAGAAGACATTTATGTGGCCAACAAATATATGAAAAAAAGCTCATCATCACTGTTTATTAGAGAAATGCAAATCAAAACCACAATGAGATACCATCTCATGTCACTTAGAATGGCGATCATTAAAAAGTCAGGAAACAACAGATGCTGGAGAGGATGTGGAGAAATAGGAACTCTTTTACACTGTTGGTGGGAGTATAAATTAGTTCAATCATTGTGGAAGACAGTGTGGCAATTCCTCAAGGATCTAGAACCAGAAATACCATTTGATCCAGCAATCCCATTACTGGGTATATACCCAAAGGATTATAAATCGTTCTACTATAAAGACACTTGTACACATATGTTTATTGCAGCACTGTTCACAATAGCAAGACTTGGAACCAACCCAAATGCCCATCAATGATAGATTAGAGAAAGAAAATGTGGCTCATATACACCATGGAATACTATGCAGCCATAAAAAAGGATGAGTTCATGTCCTTTGTAGGGACATGGATAAAGCCGGAAACCATCATTCTCAGCAAACTAACACTGGCACAGAAAACCAAAAACTGCATGTTCTCACTCATAAGTGGGAGTTGAACAATGAGAACACATGGACACAGGGAGGGGAACATCACACACTGGGGCCTGTTGTGGGGTGGGGGGCTAGGGGATGGATAGCATTAGGAGAAATACCTAATGTAGATGACAGGTTGATGGGTGCAGCAAACCACCATGGCACGTGTATAACTATGTAACAAACCTGCACGTTCTGCACACGTATCCCAGAACTTAAAGTGTAATTAAAAAATTGTAAAGTAAGACAAAACAAAACAAAGCAAAAAACACAATGATCTCTTTTTAGATGACTCTCAAATGTCTATCTTCAGACCTGACCTTTTTCTTAAGCCTCAGATCCATGTGTCTTATTGACAGGTGGAACATCCACCTAGATGTCCCTTAGATGCCTCAAATTAAACCTGTCTTAAACTGAGAGTCACTTCTTCAAGTCAATGGGTATCTTTTTTCCTCCCATTACAGGTATGAGCTCCTGGACGCTGGAGCTTACCCGCTGGCTCTTTGGCTAGCTTCATCCATGCCTGGCTGAACTAAGCTAGGATTAAAATGAAAAGAAGCAATCTTCTCCTTGCAGAAGCCCCAACAAAGACTGGTCTTGTTGGAGGAGTGAATTAATAACAGATATAAAAGAGGGCTAGGTGAAGGTGGCCACTGCTGTGTTTTTTACATGAATGTGATTTACAGGCATTGGGCATATTAGCCGTTTTGCTCTCGGAATCCCTAGTCCCGTTACTCTAGTGCTTGCTCATACACACATGGACTTATGCCCAGACCTTTCTCTTGTCTGCTGGGGGAGCACCTTCGACAGACATTCTTCACATGTCATGTCCATCAGCCTCAGTTTAGATAATCTTCAGACTCAGGGAATAGAGTGGTGGATGGGGTCTGGGAAGAAAATTCATGTCTTAAACCACTCCATCTTACTTCCTTATAGCACCCTAATCTTTAAACCAGGGACTGACTGTGCCCTGGGGCTGGGGCTGGGGCATTGTGGGCTAAACACTTTTATTCCATACATCCTGTCACTTGTTTTAGGATAGGATTTTTCATTTTCTATGCAAAACTCTATGGAGGCACGCTAGGATGTCATTATCTTTGCTTTCTAGGTGGTAAAACTCAGGCCTCAAAAGAAGTGACTTGAGGTAGAAGTGGACCTAGAGTCTTGGGCTGCTCATTTCCAGTTCAGGGCATTTGCCATTGCCTACATAGCTAAGCCAATAATCAGTTCCTGTGAGGTCCTGGTTGCTAAGTCAAGTAAGCAGTCAGCACTTTTAAGGGAGACACTGCTGGGGCCAGGCTGAGTTGGGATTCTGTTTCCTTTGCTTAGGAGATGATGGGGCAATAGGAGAGCAGGGACCTGTGAGCTGCTGTGAGAAGGGAAGGAGGGGCTTGGGATTTGGGCCCAGGAATTCTCATCAGAAATCAAACACTTTCCACCTGCTGCTGTCTGAAGTGCCTAACTCCATGATGGAATTTGCGTGCAGACAGTTAGGTTGGACTTTGGAAACAGAGAATGAAAAACGAGTTTCCTTCTTTCTGTTCACAGAGGCCAGCCAAGAGCCAGAGCTTGAGCCAGGCCTCTGGTCATAAACTAAACAACAGAACCAGTTATTGGTTTCAAGTCTGACTGCCTCTTTTTGTAACAACTTTGGAACTTAGGGAGGCTCCCTGGCCCTTTATAAACAAGCAGAAATTTAGAACTACGGTTGTCAAGATCCCAGGTGGAATGAAAGGCATACCCAAAGGTGGAGTGGGAGGCTAAATTGCTGCTTAGAATGTATTCAGTAATTTTATTACTTTAGTTATCCAATTATGTCCACGAAAAACCTGTTGGGAAAGGTCTGATTTGGGGTATAGAGGTGGTGATTAGGTAGGCAATATCAAGACACTGGGTGTCTTAGAATTGGGGGCGGGGAGCTTAAAGAGATATAACTTCATGCCTGGGAATACCTATAGCTAAACATAAGAATGTCTGCTATGGTTTGAATGTTCATCTCCTCCAGAACTAATGTTAGGGTTTAATTGCCATTGTTAAGGTGTTAGAAAGTGGGAACTTTTGGAAGTGTTTGGGACATGAGGGATCTACCTTCGCGAGTGGACTAGTGCTATTATTGAGGGAGTGGGTTTGTTATCACAAGAGTGGGTTTGGCCCCTTCTACTTTTGCTCTCTCTTACCTTCTCTTTGCTCTTCCACCATGGGATGATGAAGTAAGAAGGTCCTCACTAGATGCGGGCCTCTTTGACCTTGGATTTACAAGCCTCCAGAATTGTGAGCCAGTAAATTTCTGTTTATTAAAAATTACCCAGCAGGATGCGGTGGCTCACACCCTTAATCCCAGCACTTTGGGAGGCTGAGGCAGGTGGATAACTTTAGGTCAGGAGTTCGAGACCAGCCTGGCCAACATGGTGAAAACTCATCTCTACTAAAAATACAAAAATTAGCCGGGTGTGGTAGTGAGCACTTATAATCCCAGCTACTTGGGAGGCTGAGGGAGGAGAATCGCTTGAATCCAGGAGGTGGAAGTGACAGTGAGCCTAGATCGCGCCACTGCACTCCAGCCTGGGTGAAAGAGTGAGACTCTGTCTAAAAAAAAATCACCCAATCTATGGCATTCAGTAATAGCACACAAACAAACTAAGGCAGTGTCCCAGGAGACTAGTCCTCTAGTCAATTCTTGACCGTTAGGAGCCAAATATATAATGTGTAGCTTCATTAAGCTCCTGTCTTTGACTCTCAGTTCTTTCACCTACTAACTATGGGACAAAAGTTATCCCTCTGATCATCCCTCTGTGACTCAATTTCCTTTTCTGTTAAATGAAGATAATGCTAGTCTACCTCAAAGGATTGTTGAGAGAATTAAGTAGCCATAATATATGTGAAACCATAAAGCCTGGTGCAGATGTGAGGGATCAATGTCATTACTACCATGTGGTTTTCTGGCTTCTCCTATTAGCACCTATAGGAGAGAATAAGGAAATCCCAGGATCAAGGGGACATCCAAATGAGTTTATTTTAGTCTGGGTGACCTATAAAGAGGAGAAGTGCATGGTTGAGGGAGGCTGGAGCTCTTCCAGTGATGTCTATTCTGGATGTATATTCATCCTCTCTTCAGGGTGGGGATGCCAAGTCAGGCCTTCAGCTTTGGTCACAACTCCCTCTTTGATGCCATCCTCAGTTGCCTATTTGCCAGGTTGGAATTTGAGCAGGCAAATAAAACTAAGTTTAGGCATTAGAGTCATATCACAGGCCACTCAGCTTTACATCAGAATGAAGATTGACTCCATAAACACTTGCTGGGACAACAATTAACCTAGCTACAGAGGCAGTATAGAGTTGGGGAAGAGCACCCAACTAGGAATCAAGTCAGAGGTCCTGGTCTGGGTCTGTTCCTGACCTGCTGTGAGACCTTGCAGGAGTCTCAGAGTCGTATGTGTATTATCAAATGAGAGGGAGTATGTGAAAATATCTTCTAAGCTGTAAGGCAGCCTATAAATGGAAGCAGTTATTGTTATTTATATAATGTATTTCAATGTACAGAATTTTTATATTTGTTATTCTATCAGCAAGTGTGATGCTTTTGGTTGTAAAGGGGACCAGACATGCCGGATTGGTATATACCATTCCATTTATTATATAACAAATTGGAAATATAGGATATATTGTTTTTATTCTCATTATCACTTATGAAGAACAGATTTATTCAATAGTGGAGGTGGACCTCAAGGATCTCTGCCCAGGTACTAGGCTCCTTTTTGAGGTGATGGAAATGTTATAGAACTAGGGAGTAGTGATAAGTACACAAAACTGTGACTATACTGTAAACAAAAACTAAACTAAGCCACTGAAACTGCCTTAAAATGGAAATTTTTATCTCAATTTTAAAAAACTGCAAGAAAAAAAATCTGCCCAGAAGTCATGTGGGTAATGAAACCTGGGTTTGGAGCAGTGAGAACAGGTCCAGGGCAGGTAAGTCAAACATTGCTTCTTATTGTATAAATTATGTGCTTATGAGAGATAGGGAAGTCTCTTGGTGTGTGTGTGTGTGTGTGTGTGTGTGTGTGTGTGTGTGTGTGTGTGAGAGAGAGAGAGAGAGAATGTAGACATAAAAGCAGCACATCCCAGAAACAGTCAAGATGGAGTAGCATCAATAACTGTGGAAATGGTGGTCAAGTGCAGTTTTGGGGAATCTCTACTGGAGGTTCCACTATTGGCTCCATGGATGAGTAGCTCACATTTTCTTTTCTGAGGGGTAAGAGAACCAGTTACTCTTGTAAAGGCAAACTTAGATTGACCAACCATTTCAGTTTGCCCAGGACTGAGGGTTTTCCTGGTATAGGGGACTTTCAGTGTTAAAATTGTGAATGTCCTAGGCAAACCCCATGCTGCCCTTAAGCCTGTACCCCTGCTAGTAGAGAGTGTGAAAGGGCCCAAGGAAAGCCTCACAACTCTCTGGTTTAGGTGACAGTAAAAGGTTATCCCTAGTTGGTGTAGGAGAAAACCATTCAGAAAGAAAGCCAGAAAGAAAGAAAAATATTTCTGAGGGATACTGGGCAATGAAAGCCATTGTCAAGAGGCTGGTGAATGGAAAACTGTGTCAGGAATGACAAAGCAGGTCTTTTGGTGTACCTCTGGGGCCTTGGAAGTGATACGGGGTGCTATTCTTTCAAAGAAGGTGAAGGTGAAACTTTTGAAAGCAACATCAGCAGTTTTGTTACAAAGCACAGGGAATGATCATATAAACTAGGAAATAGGGAAGAATTGGGCTCTCAGCTTACTAATTCTAGGAGATTGGTGGCTTGCTCTAACTTGAGACTGACAGAAGTTATCACACCTAGATCTAAAATGGTCAGCTGAAGTTAGGTTTTCTTGACCTGCATTCAAGACAAGACATTAATTTCAATGTTTACTGAATGTCTATCCTGAACTAGGTTATATTCTAGTGTGTTAGGGATAAAATGGTAAATAAGATTAACATGATTTTTGCCCCCATGGGACTTGCAGGCAGATAATCATTTAAGTGCTGCAAAAGAAGTATGGGGCCTGTGAAAAAATAGGGGGACAACTAACATGGCCTTGGGAGCCAGGGAAAGCTTTCCAGAGGAAATGAGTTATAAGCACAGGACTGGAAAAGAAAAAGGACAGGCATCCCAAGCACAGGGAACAACATGGGTGAAAACAAAGGAAGTAGCAGATATATTTGTAGAATTATGATATGGTCCCATGTAGCTGTAGAGTGACGGTAATTTTCCAAATGTGGTCCACAAACCATTTGCATCAGAGTTGAACAGCCTGCTTCTTAAAAATGCAGATTCCCAGACATATTAATCTCTGTAGTAGGGCCTGTGAATCTGCATTTTAATTTGCTCCCTTGGTGATTCTGATGCATTATAATGTTCAAGAACCACTGGGAAGCATCTATACATTCCTGTATTAAGAAAATGAATGTGGCCAGGTGCAGTGGCTCATGCCTGTAGTCCTAGCTACTTGAGAGGCTGAGGTGGGAAGATTGCTTGAACCCAGAAATTCAAGGTTATGGTGAGCTATGGTCGTGCCACTGCACTCCAGCCTGGGTGACAGAGTGAAGCTCTGTCTCTAAAAAAAGAATGTGAATGCACATGCATGTGCATGCGTGCACGTGTGTGTGTGTGTGTGTGTGTGTGTTGGGGGGGTGTATTTAGGAGCTAAGTAGGAGATTAGGGATTGGGGCACCAAATTTGTGAAAGGACTCTTTCCAACCTTTTTCATAAGTTAAAACACTGCTCTTCCTAAGGCAAAAGTCTTTGGAGCTCAGCTACCCCAGGCCTCTCCCCCAGGGCTGAAGGGATCAATATCTGGGTACACCTGTAATCCATTTAGGGCACGTTGGTTGGGAAGCTCTGTTGTTGGCCATACAAAATAGTATGCACTTTATCCAGTAGGAAATGAGGATCCACTGAAAGGTTTTGGGTAGAAAATTATTTGAACTGATTTGTCATTTGAAAAAATTATTCTGTTTGCAGAAGGAGATTGGGTTAGAATGGGGCAAGATTGAAGTTACAGAGATTAGTTAGAAGAGGATTTAAATAGCCAAGTTCTGGTCGGGCACAGTGGCTCATGCCTGTAATCCCAGCACTTGTGGGAGGCTGAGGTGGATGAATCACCTGAGGTTAGGAGTTCGAGACCAGCCTGGCAAACATGGCGAAACTCTACTAAAAATACAAAAATTAGCTGGGCGTGGTGGCTTGTGCCTGTAGTCCCAGCTACTTGGGAGGCTGAGACACAAGAATCGCTTGAACCCAGGAGGCAGAGGTTGCAGTGAGCTGAGATCGTGCCACTGCACTCCAGCCTGGGTGGCAGAGTGAGACTCTGTCTCAAAAAAAAAAAAAAAATGCCAAGTTCTTTAAATCGTTTGATAAATAAAAATATATTGTTTTTTCAATGATTATAGGTTAATAACACTTTCCCCATCCCCTTGTTTTCCTTTCACCTAATATAATGAGGCACTATTATGAGTGTCAGGAGCTGTAAGGAGAGAAGAGCTTGTCCTATATTTGAATACAACTGATTGTGAAGGCAAAGATGCATCCTCAAATTTGAAGGTTCCTAATTTGGAAATCTGAAAAGCTAAAAACAATGGAATTCTTCCCTTGCCTGGTTGACTCTGGGATCTGCTCATGAGACCCAACTCAGTGAATGGGAGAGAAGAGATCAGAATCCCTTAGGTAGAGTGCCAAATCAGAAGCCAGGAGGATACCAACTGGTGCGTTACCCTGAAGAAGTACCAGAAAGCAATGGATGGCTGACAATGGAGAAGAAGATGCCCAAGGTAAATGGGGCACATTCTGGCTGACCCATTTTCCACTTTGCCAATTCCCTTGGGATCTGTGGACAGTGATTCCTTGCCTTCCATGGATGGCAACCCAGACTAAGGTAATCTCCTCAAGGGCATAAAGGGATCTGCAGAGGGCAGTGGTATATGAGCCTAGGGATTTGAAAAACTACTTGTCTATGAAGCATTTCTCCTTTGGGTGACGGACTGACTTATTTGGGGAGGAACTGGCTCCTCAAGATGTGCAGTGTGGTCTGACCTCCTGGGGTCAGTATGGCTTGCTCAGAGTCAATCTTCCTACTCTAATTGAGATGTTTGCTGCAGGTAAAAGAAACAGCTGCTGCTTTCTAGAGTAAATTAGTCACAAAGAAACCTGCTCCTTATTCTGTCTCATGGCGTCCCATAAATGCCTGAAGCCCAGCCTTGGAGCTGGTATGTACTTTTAATTATTTCAAGAACTGGCATCGCTTGCCTCATAGTAAAAGTGTCATGAAATTACTGTAAGGTTGCATGAGTTTGGGCCATAAATCTTATTCACTTTGGCTATATCTCATACCTTAATTCACTGGAGTATAAATGCCATTTACACTGGTTCTTAGTTCACTTAATCATAATTAAATGACCTCAGAGGGCAGTAATTCATTGAGGCCCTGGCTTTGATGTAACACAAATAACAAACTTGCTTTGCCATGTGGATGGGTTCCTCCACACTTTTACACTGGCCACAGACCTTGTGGAGCATATAATGCCGGCTTTTTGGTGTGGGCATGTGCTGTGGTTAGATGGAACATCTGGGTGACAGATGTGGTTGAAGGGAGCAGCTAAATGGTCCCATTTGCAATTTTGTTGCACCATCTTCAGGCCCCTCTAGGACTTTTTTTGATTTCTTTCAGTTCTGTAAGAATGAGTGTTTGCCCCATGTTGAGCCTAGATAAGAGGTGATGAGAACAATTCCTTCTTCAGATCTTTTTTTTGTTTTTGTTAATTTTTTTGGAGACAGAGTCTCACTCTGTCACCCACCCAGGCTGGTGTGCTGTGGCACAGGCTCATTGCAACCTCCACCTCCCAGGTTCAAGCGATTCTCGTGCCTCAGCCTCCCAAGTAGCTGGGACTACAGGTGTGTGCCACCATGCCTGGCTGATTTTTGTATTTTTAGTAGAGACAGGGTTTCACCATGTTGGCCAGGCTGGTCTCAAACTCCTGACCTCAAGTGATATGCCCACCTTGGCCTCCCAAAGTGCTGGGGTCACAGGTGTGAGCCACTGTGTCAGGCTCCTTCTTCAACTCTTCATCCTTGTGTTATTCTCTTCCTAAATGTCTGCCTCTAAAGGATCAAGTAGCTTAAAGGCTTTCAGACTTCAGCTGCAGGTGTAAAACTCATTAAACCCATGTCCTTAATCATGATGTGTCACCTGAGATCCAGACCCTCAAGACAGCTCTGGGACCATTACCATTTGGACACTCCACTTAACTTGGCAAAACCTTCTCTTCCTATCCAAATGGATTCCTCTCATTTTCTCCATCATCCTCAGTGGCAATACTTGAGCTCCTGAATTCTAACCCTTGAAAACTTGTGGTAGACATAATAGTGTTCCCTACCCCCATAGATGTCCACATCCTAATCTCCAAAACCCACGAATGTTAGGGTACACAGCAAAGAGGTATTAAAGTTGCAGATGAGATTAAGGTTGCTAATCAACTCACTTAAATTAGAAGTATTATCTTGGATTATCTAGTTTGACCTAATGTAATCACAAGGGCCTTTAAAAGTGGAAAGGTGAGGCAGAAGAGGAGTCAGAGTCTGAGGGAGTTGTGACTACAGAAGAAAGGCATGGAGACATGCAAGGCTACTGACTTTGAAGAAGGAAGGCCATGAGCCAAGGAAAGCAGATGGCTTCTGGAAGCTGGAAAAGCCAGGGAAATGGATTCTCCCCTTGAGCCTCCAGAAATGAATGCAGCCCTGCTGACACCTTGATTTTAGCCCAGGAAGACCTGTGTCAGACTTTTTACCTATAGAACTGTAAGAGAACACACTGTGTTGTTTTAAGCCACCAAGTTTGTGGTAATTTGTTATAGCTGCAAGAGGAAATAAAGACAGAGCCACTCTTCTCTTTCACCATATCTAATTAGATGATAAATCTTATAATAGTTTTCCAACTATGTCACTCAGATTCTTATCATTATTTGCCTTGGCATTCTCCACCTGCTTCACAATTTGGTTTGTTTCACCAATTTCAAGATTCTTTGCTCCAAATGATCCTATTTAGGAATGCTAGAAATTTTTTTCTCAAATATGATTTTTATCTTATTATTCTTGCCCAGGAATAAGTTATGGCCTTATATTACGTAAACTCCCAAATTCTTACTGTGACCTCCAAGATTTCACCCTTAGCGTTGGAGTTTATGGGAAAGCACCTTGTTATCTGCAAATCTTACATGAATGTGAGAAGTTATTATTAAAAATAAGGGACTTCCAATCTCTGTTGCTTGCAAATGAGGCCATTATCTTGCTTTTGTCTCTGTACAGACAAGCTAGTTTCACACAGAAAAGATTCCAAAACATGATTCCATACTCAGTTTCCGCATTATTATTTTACAAGTGCTATCAAAAGCTCAGTTTTTCATTAGGTTTTTTGTTCCTGAAAGAAAACTTCCTGTTTCAGTTATCTATTGTTGCACAGTAAAACAAAACTTATTGGCTAGAACCAACAATCTACTATTTCTCATATTGTGGGTTGGCTGGGTGGTTCTTCTATTCCAGAGATGTTTGTTGGGATCACTCTTTTTTTTATGTGTAAAGTTTAGTGAGTTTTAGTATACTCAGAGTTGTACAACTATTATGACTATTTAATTCCAAAAAGATTGTATCACCCCAAAATGAAACCTATAGCCATTGGCTATCACTTCCCTTATTTATTTATTTATTTATTTATTTTTATTATACTTTAAGTTCTGGGGTACGTGTGCAGAACGTGCAGTTTTGTTACATAGATATACACATGCATGATGGTTTCCTGCACCCATCAACCCATCATCTACTTTAGGTATTTCTCCTAGTGCTATCCCTCCCCTAGCCCCCCACCCCACAACAGGCCCCGGTGTGTGATGTTCCCCTCCAGGTGTCCATGTGTTCTCGTTGTTCAACTCCCAGTTATGGGTGAGAACATGTGGTGTTTGGTTTTCTGCTCTTGTGATAGTTTGCTGAGAATGATAGTTTCCATCTTCATCAATGTCCCTACAAAGGACATGAACTCATCATTTTTTATGGCTGCATAGTATTCCATGGTGTATATGTGCCACATTTTCTTTATCCAGTCTATTATTGATGGACATTTGGGTGGGTTCCAAGTCTTTGCTATTGTGAATAGTGCCGCAATAAACATACATGTGCTTGTGTCTTTATAGTAGAATGGTTTATAATCCTTTGGGTATGTACCCAGTAATGGGATTGCTAGGTCAAATGGTATTTCTAGTTCTAGATCCTTGAGGAATCGCCACACTGTCTTCCACAATGGATGAACTAATTTACACTCCCACCAACAGTGTAAAAGTGTTCCTATTTCTCCACATCCTCTCCAGCATCTGTTGTTTACTGACTTTTTAATGATCGCCATTCTAAGTGGCATGAGATGGTATCTCATTGTGGTTTTGATTTGTATTTCTCTAATGAGCAGTGATGCGCATTTTCTCATATGTCTGTTGGCTACATAAGTGTCCGTTCATAACCTTTGCACACTTTTTGATGGGGTTGTTTTTTTCTTGTAAATTAGTTTAAGTTCTTTGTAGATTCTGGATATTAGACCTTTGTCAGATGGATAGATTGCAAAATTTTTTCTCCCATTCTGTAGCTTGCCTGTTCACTCTGATGATAATTTCTTTTGCTGTGTAGAAGCTCTTTAGTTTAATTAGATCCCATTTGTCAATTCTGGCTTTAGTTGCCATTGCTTTTGGTGTTTTAGACATGAAGTCTTTGCCCATGACTATGTCCTGAATTGTATTGCCCCGGTTTTCTTCTGGAATTTTTATGGTCCTAGGTCTTACATTTAAGTCTTTGATCCATCTTGAGTTGATTTTTGTATAAGGTGTAAGGAAGGGGTCCAGTTTTAGTTTTCTGCATATGGCTAGCCAGTTTTCCCAACATTTATTAAATAGGGAATCTTTTCCCCATTGTTTGTTTGTGTTAGGTTTGTAAAAGATCAGATGGTTGTAGATGTGTAGAGTTATTTCTTAGGCCTCCATTCTATTCCATTGGTCAATACATCTGATCTGGTACCAGTATTGTGCTGTTTTGGTTACTGGAGTCTTGTAGTATAGTTTGAAGTCAGGCAGCGTGATGCGTCCAGCTTTGTTCTTCTTGCCCAGGATTGTCTTGGCTATGTGGGCTCTTTTTTGGTTCCATATAAAGTTTAAAGTATTTTTTCCAATTCTGTGAAGAAAGTCAATGGTAGCTTGATGGGGATGGCATTGAATCTATAAATTACTTTGGGCAGTATGGCCATATTCACCATATTCATTCTTCCTATACATGAGCATGGAGTTTTTTTCCATTTTTTTGTGTCCTCTCTTATTTCCTTGAGCAGTGGTTTGTAGTTCTCCTTGAAGAGGTTCTTCACATCCCTTGTAATTTGTATTCCTAGGTATTTTATTCTCTTAGTAGCAATTGTGAATGGGAGTTCACTCATGCTTTTGCTCTCGGTTTGTATGTTATTGGTGTATAGGAATATTTGTGATTTTTGCACATTGATTTTTTATCCTGAGACTTTGCTGAAGTTGCTTATCAGCTTAGGGAGATTTTGGGTGGAGACGATGGGGTATTCTACATATACAATCATGTCATCTGCAAACAGAGACAATTTGACTTTCTCTATTCCTATTTGAATGCCCTTTATTTCTTTCTTTTGCTTGATTGCCCTGGCCAGAACTTACAATACTATGTTTAATAGGAGTGGAGAGAGAGGGCATTCTTGTCTTGTGCTGGTTTTCAAAGGGAATGCATTCAGTTTTTGCCCATTCAGTATGATGTTGGCTGTGGGTTTGTCATAAATAGCTCTTATTATTTTGAGATACGTTTCATCTATACCCAGTTTATTGAGAGTTTTTAGCATGAAGAGGTGTTGAATTTTATCGAAGGCTTTTTCTGCATCTATTGAGATAATCATGTGATTTTTGTGATTGGTTCTGTTTATGTGATTGATTACATTTATTGATTTGTGTATGTCGAACCAGCCTTGCATCCCAGGTATGAAGCTGACTTGATCGTGGTGGATAAGCTTTTTCATGTGCCTCTGGATTCGGTTTGCCAGTATTTTATAGAGGATTTTCTCATTGATGTTCATCAGGGATATTGGCCTGAAATTTTCTTTTTTTGTTGTGTCTTTGCCAGGTCTTGGTATCAGGATGATGCTGTCCTCATAAAATGCGTTAGGGAGGAGATTCTCTATTTCTATTGCTTGGAATAGTTTCAGAAGGAGTGGTACCAGCTCCTCCTTGTATCTCTGGTAGATTTCGGCTGTGAATCCATCTGGTCCTGAACTTTTTTTAGTTTGTAGGCTATTAATTATTGCCTCAATTTCAGAACTTGTTATTGTTCTATTCAGGGATTCGATTTCTTCCTGGTTTAGACTTGGGAGGATGTATGTGTCCAGGAATTTATCCATTTCTTCTGAGTTTTCTAGTTTATTTGCGTAGAGGTGTTTATAGTATTCTCTGATGGTAGTTTGTATTTCTGTGGGACCAATGGTGATATCACCTTTATCACTTTTTATTGTGTTTATTTGATTCTTCTTTCTTTTATTCTTTGTTAGTCTGACTAGCAGTCTATCTATTTTGTTGATCTTTTCAAAAAACCAGCTCCTGGATTCATTGATTTTTTGAAGGGTTTTTTTCATGTCTCTATGTCCTTCAGTTATGCTCTGATCTTAGTTGTTTCTTGTCTTCTGTTAGCTTTTGAATTTTTTTGCTCTTGCTTCTCTAGTTCTTTTAATTGTGATGTTAGGGTGTCGATTTTAGATCTTTCCTGCTTTCTCTTGTGGGCATTTAGTGCTATAAATTTCCCTCTAAACCCTGCTTTAGCTGTGTCCCAGAGATTCTGGTATGTTGTGTTTTTGTTTTCATTGGTTTCAAAGGATGTATTTATTTTTGCCTTAATTTTGTTATTTACCCAGTAGTCATTCAGGAGGAGGTTGTTCAGTTTCCATGTAGTTGGGCGGTTTTGAGAGAGTTTTAAAATCCTGAGTTCTAGTTTGATTGCACTGTTGTCTGAGAGACTGTTTGTTATGATTTCTGTTATTTTGTGTTTGCTCATGAGTATTTTACTTCCAATTATGTGGTCAATTTTAGAATAAGTGCAATGTGGTGCTGAGAAGAATGTATATTCTGTTGGTTTGTGGTGGAGAGTTCTGTAGATGTCTATTAGGTCTGCTTGGTCTAGAGCTGAGTTCATTTCCTGAATACTTTTGTTAATTTTCTCTTGTTGATCTGTCTAATATTGATAGTTGGGTGTTAAAGTCTCCCACTATTATTGTGTGGGAGTCTGTCTCTTTGTAGGTCTCTAAGAATTTGCTTTATGAATCTGGGTGCTCCTGTATTGGGTGCATATATATTAAAGATAGTTAGCTCTTCTTGTTGCATTGATCCCTTTACCATTATGTAATGCCCTTCTTTGTCTCTTTTGATCTTTGTTGGTTTAAAGTCTTTTTTCATCAGAGACTAGGATTGCAATCCCTCAGTTTTTCTTCTTCCCATTTGCTTGGCAAATATTCCTCCATCCCTTTATTTTGAGCCCGTGTGTATCTTTGCATGTGAGATGAGTCTCCTGAATACAGCATACTGATTGGTCTTGGCTCTTTATCCAATTTGCCATTCTGTGTCTTTTAATTGGTGCATTTAGCTCATTTACATTTAAGGTTAATATTGTTATGTGTGTATTTGATCCTGTCGTTATGATGTAGCTGATTATTTTGCCTGTTAGTTGATGCGGTTTCTTCATAGTGCCGATGATCTTCACAATTTGGCATGTTTCTGCTGTGGCCAGTACTGGTTGTTCCTTTCCATGTTTAGTGCTTCCTTCAGGAGCTCTTGTAAGGCAGGCCTGGTGCATGACTAAATCTCTCAGCATTTGCTTGTCTGTAAAGGTTTTTATTTCTCCTTCACTTATGAAACTTAGTTTGCCTGGGTATGAAATTCTGGGTTGAAAATTCTTTTCTTTAAGACTGTTGAATATTGGCCCCTACTCTCTTCTGGCTTGTAGGGTTTCTGCAGAGAGATCTGCTGTTAGTCTGATGGGCTTCCCTTTGTGGGTACCCAACCTTTCCTCTGGCTGCCTTTAACATTTTTTCCTTCATTTCAATCTTGGTGAATCTGACAATTATGTTTCTTGGCATTGCTCTTTTCGAGGGGTATCTTTGTGGTGTTCTCTGTATTTCCTGAATTTGAATGTTGGCCTGTCTTGCTAGGTTGGGGAAGTCCTCCTGGATAATATCCTGCAGAGTGTTTTCCAGCTTGGTTCCATTCTCCCCATCAGTTTCAGGTACATTGATCAAATGTAGATTTGGTCTTTTCACTTAGTCCCATATTTCTTGGAGGCTTTTTTTTTCTCTAATCTTGTCTTCATGCCTTATTTCATCAAGCTGATCTTCAACATCTGATATCCTTTTTTCTGCTTGATTGATTCAGCTCTTGATACTTGTGTATGCTTCACAAAGTTCTCATGCTGTGTTTTTCAGCTCCATCAGGTCTTTTATTTTTTTCTCGAAGCTGGTTATTCTAGTCAGCAATTTGTCTAACCTTTTTTTCAAGGTTCTTGGCTTCTTTGTATTGAGTTAGAACATTCTCCTTGAGCTCGGAGGAGTTTGTTATTTCTCACCTTCTGAAGCTTAAGTCTGTCAATTCGTCAAACTCATTCTTCATCCTGTTTTGTTCCCTTGCTGATGAGGTTTTGTGATCTTTTGGAGGAGAGGAGGCATTCTGGTTTTTGAAATTTTCAACCTCTTTGTGCTGGTTTCTCCCTATCTTCGTGGATTTATCTACCCTTCGTCTTTGGTGTTGGTGACCTTCAGATGGGGTTTCTGAGTGGATGTCCTTTTTGTTGATGTTGATGCTATCCCTTTCTGTTTGTTAGTTTTCCTTCTACTCATCAGGCCCATCTTCTGCAGGTCTACTGGCGTTTGCTGGAGGTCCACTCCAGACCCTCTTTGCCTGGCTATCACCAGCGGAGGCTGCAGAACAGGAAAGATTGCTGCCTTTTCCTGTTCCTTCATCTGGAAGCTTTGTTCCAGGGGGGCACCCACCAGATGCCAGCCAGAGCTCTCCTGTATGAGGTGTCCATTGGCCCCTGCTGGGAGCTGTCTCCCAGTCAGTAGACATGGGGGTCAGGAACCCACTTGAGAAGGCAGTGTGACCCTTAGCAGAGCTTGAACACTGTGCTGAGAGATCTGCTGCTCTCTTCAGAGCCAATAGGCAGGGCATTTAAGTCTGCTGAAGCTGCACCCACAGTCGCCCCTTCCACCGGGTGCTCTGTCCCAGGGAGATGGGAGTTTTATCTATAAGCCCCTAACTGGGACTGCTGCCTTTCAGAGATGCCCTGCCCAGAGAGGAGGAATCTAGAGAGGCAGTCTGGCTACCTAGGCTTTGCTGAGCTGCAGAGGGCTCCTCCCAGTTGGAACTTCCCTGGGGCTTTGTTTACACTGCGAGGGGAAGACCGCCTACTTAAGCCTCAGTAATGGTGGATGCTCCTACCCCCGACAAGCTCAAACATCCCAGGTCAACTTCAGGCTGCTGCGCTGTCAGTGAGAATTTTAAGCCAGTGGATCTTAGCTTGCTGGGCTCTCTGGGGGTGGGATCCACTGAGCTAGAACACTTGGCTCCCTGGCTTCAGCCCCTTTTTCGGGGAGTGAATGGTTCTGTCTCTCTGACATTCCAGGCTCCACTGGGGTATGAAAAAAACCTCCTGCAGCTAGCTCAGTGTCTTCCCAAACAGCCACCCAGTTTTGTGCTTGAAACCCAGGGCCCTGGTGGCATAGGCACCTGAGGGAATCTCCTGGTCTGTGGTTTGTGAAGACCATGGGAAAAATGTAGAATCTGGGCCAGAGTGCACTGTTCCTCATGTGGCACTCCCTCACGGCTTCCCTTGGCTAGGGGAGAGAGTTCCCTGACCCCCTGTTCTTCCCAGGTGAGTCAACAACCCACCCTGCTTTGACTCACCCTCCATGGGCTGCACCCACTGACTAACCAATCCCAATGAGCTGAGCTGGGTACCTCAGTTGGAAATCCAGAAATCACCGGCTTTCTGCATTGATCTCACTGGGAGCTGCAGACTAGAGCTCTTCCTTTTTGGCCATCTTTGAGATGTTTTGATATAGGCATGCAATGCCTAATAATCACATTGTGGAGAATGGGGTATCCATTCCCTCAAGCATTTATTTTTAGTGTTACAAAGAATCCAATTATATTCTTTCAGTTGTTTTAAAATGTACAATTAAATTATTATAGACTATAGTCACCCTGTTGTGCTATCAAATACTACGTCTTATTCATTTTGTCTATTTTTTGTGCTCATTAACCATCGTCACCTCTTTCCCCAGACCCCCACTATGCTTCCCAGCCTTTGCAAACTTTCCTTGTACTCTCTATCTCCATGAGTTCAATTCTTTTGCTTTTTACATTCCACAGATAAATGAGAACATCCAATATTTGTCTTTCTGTGCCTGGCTTATTTTACTTAACATAATGATCTCCAGTTTCATGCATGTTGTTGCACATGACAGGATCTCATTTTTTTATGGCTGAATAGTACTCCATTGTGTATATGTACCACATTTTCTTTATTGATTCATCTTTTGATGGACACTTAGGTTGTTTCCAAATCTTGGCTATTGGCAACAGTGCTGCAACTAATGTAGGAGTGCAGATATCTCTTCAATATACTGATTTTCTTTCTTTCAGGTAGGTATTAGTCTGTTTCCATGCTGCTGATAGAGACATACTCAAGACTGGGCAATTTATAAAAGAAAGAGAGGTTTAATGGACTTACAGTTCCACGTGGCTGAGGAGACCCCGCAATCATGGCAGAAGGGAAGGAGGAGCAAGTCATTTCTTACATGGATGGTAGCAGGCAAAGAGAGAGCTTGTGCAAAGGAACTCCTCTTTAGAAAACCATCAGATCTCATGAGACTTATTCACTATCACAAGAACAGCATGGGAAAGACTTGCCCCCAAGATTCAATTACCTTCACTGGGTCCCTCCCACAACACACGGGAATTCGAGATGAGATATAGGTGGAGACACAGCCAAACCATATCGAGGTATATGCCCAGCAGTGGGATGACTGGTCATATGGTTGCTGTATTTTTAGTTATTTGAGGAAGCTGGACATAAGCCATTTTAACAGGGGTGAAATGATATCTCATTGTAATTTTAATTTGCATTTTTTCTGATGATCAGTGATGTTGAACAGCTTTTCCCATGTCTGTTTGCCATTGGTAAGTCTTCTTTTGAGAAATGTCTATTCAAATCTTTTGCCCAACTTTTGATCAGATTATTCAGTTTTTTCCTGTAGAGTTGTTTGAGCTCCTCGTATATTCTGGTTATTCATGCTTTGCCAGCCAGGCAGTTTGTAAATATTTTCTTCCACTCTTTGGGATGTCTCTTCACTTTGTTGATTGTTTTCTTTGCTGGACAAAAGCTTTTTAACTTGATGTGATCCTATTTGTTCATGTTTGCTTTGGTTGCCTGTGCATGTGGGACATCACTCAAAAAGTCCTTGCCCAGACCAATGTCCTGGAGAGTTTCCCCAATGTTTTCTTGTAGTAGTTTCATAGATTGAGGTTTTAGATTTTAATCTTTAATTCACGTTGATTTGATTTTTATATATGGTGAGAGATAGTGGTCTAGTTTCATTCTTCTGCATATGGATGTCCAGTTTTTCTAGCACCATTTATTGAAGAGCTGTCTTTTCTTCAGCGTGTGTTCTTGAAAGCTTTGTCAAAAATGAGTCCACTGTAAATGTGCGGATTTTGTTCTGGGTTTTCTATTCTGTTCCACTGGTCTATGTGTCTGTTTTTATGTCAGCCCTATGCCATTTTGATGACTATGGCTCTGTAGTATAATTTAAAGTCAGGTAATGTGACTTCTCCAGTTTTTTTATTTTAGCTTAGGATAGCTTTGGCTATTCTGGATCTTTTGTGGTTCTATATAAATTATAGGATTGTTTCTTATATTTCTGTGAAGAATGTCATAGGTATTTTGATAGGGATTACATTGTATTTGTAGATTGCTTTTGTGGCATGGATATCTTAACAATATTGATTCTTCCAATCCATGAACATAAAATATCTTTTCTTTTTTTGTGACCTCTTCTATATCTTTCATCAGTGTTTTACAGTTTTTATTATAGAGATCTTTCACTTCTTTGGTTAATTCCTAGGTATTTAGTTTTATTTGTGGCTATTGTAAATGAGATTACTTTTTTTTAATATTGTTCACTATTGGCATATAGAAATGCTACTGATTTCTGTATGTTGTTTTTGTTTCTTGTCACTATACTGAATTTGTTTTTCGGTTCTAAAAGATTTTTGGTGGAGTCTTTAGGTTTTTCCAAATATCAGATCATATATTCTACAAACAAAGATAATTTGATTTCTTCCTTTCCAACTGGGATGCCCTTTATTTCTCTTGTCTGATTGCTCTAGTGAGGAATTCCAGTACTATGTTGAGTAACAGTGGTGAAAATGGGCATCCTTGTTGTGTTTCAGATCTTAGAGGAAAGGTTTTCAGTTTTTTCCCCATTCATTATGATACTAGCTGTGGGTCTGTCATGGGCTTTTATTATGTTGGCATATGCTCGTTTTATCCACAGTTTTTTGAAGGTTTTTATCTTGAAGGATGTTGAGTTTTATCAAATACTTTTTTTCAGCATCAATGGCAATGATCATATGGTTTATCTTCTTCATTCTGTTAATAAGATGTATCACAGTAATTGATTTGCCTATGTTGAAACATTCTTGTATTCCACGGGTAAATCCCACTTTGTCATGATGAATGATTTTTTTAATGTGTGTTGAATTTGGTTTGCTAGTATTTTATTGAGGATTTTTGCATCAATATTCATCAGAGATGTTGGCCTATAGTTTTTTTCTTTTTTTTTTTTTTTTTTTTAATGTGTCTTTGTTTGGTTTTGGTATCAGGGCAATACTCATCTCATAGAATGAGTTTGGAAGTATTCCCTCCTGCCCTATTTTTTGGAATAGTTTGAGGAGGGTTGTTATTAGTTCTTTAGATGTTTGGTAGAAATCAGCAGTGACATCATCACATCCTGGAATTTTTTTACTGGGAGACCTTTTATTATGGCTTCAATCTCATTACTTGCTATTGGTCTGTTCAGGGTTTGGATTTCTTCCTGGCTCAATATTCATAGGTTGTATGTGTCTAGGAATTTGTCCATTTCTTCTAGATTTTCAAATTTATTGGCATACAGGTGCTCATAGTAATCACAAATGATCCTTTGAATTTCTGCAGCATCAGTTGTAATGGCTACTTTTTCATTTCTGATTTTATTTATTTGAGTCTTCTCTCTTTTTTTCTTAGTCTGGCTAAAGATTTGTCAACTATGTTTAACTTATGATTGTTTGTATTGTTTTCTTCATTTCAATTTTCTTTATTTCTGCTCTGATCTTTATTATTTCTTTTCTCCTACTAATTTTGGGTTTGGTTTGCTTTTGCTTTTCTAGTTCTTTAGGACACATCATTAGATTGTTTAATTTTTCTTCTTTTTTGATGTAAGCACTTATATCTATAAACTTTCCTCTTTACTTCTTTTGCTGTATCCCACAGCTTTCGTTATGTTGTGTTTCTGTTATCATTCGTTTCAAGAAGTTTTTCATTTATCTTCTTAATTTCTTTATCAACCCACTGGTCATTCAGGAGTATATTGTTTAGTTTCCACGTATTTGTATAGTTTCCAGATTTCCTCTTGTTATTGATTTCTAGTTTTCTAAATTGTGATTACAGAAGACACTTGACATTATTTCAATTTTTTGAATGTTTTAAGACTTGTTTTGTGACCTAACATATGGTTGATCTTTGAGAATGATCCATATGCTGAGGAAAAGAATGTGTATTCTGCAGCCATTGGATGAAATGTTCTGTAAATACCTATTAGATCCATTGGTCTGTAATGCAGTTTAAATCTGATGTTTCTTTATTGATTTTCTGTCTGGAAGAGCTGTTCAGTGTTGAAAATGGGGTATTCAATTCTCTAGCTAATATTATTTTAGGGTTTATCTCTCTTTATTTCTAGTAATGTTTGTTTTATATATCTGGGTGCTCCAATGTTGGGTGCATATATATTTAAAATTGTTACATCCTCTTGCTGAATTGACTTCTTTATCATTATATAGTGTCTTTGTCTCTTCTTATAGTTTTTGTCTTTACATCTATTTTGTTTTATATAAGTATAGCTACTCCTGCTCTTTTTTGGTTTCCATTGGCATGGAATATCTTTTTTCATCCCTTTATTTTCAGTCTATGTGTATCTCTGTAGGTGAAGTGTGTTTCTTGTAGGGAACAGGTCAATGGGTCCTTTTCTTTGTTTTAAATCCATTCAGCCAGTCTATGTCTTTTTATTGGAGAGTTTGGTCCATTTACATTCAATGTAACTATTGATAAGTAAGGACTTACTCCTGCAGTTTTCTTTTGTGTTTTCTTGTTGTTTTGTGTGTTTTTCTTTCTTCTTTCTTTTCTTTCTTTCTTCTTTTTTGAAGATGTTTTTTCTCTGGTGATAGGATTTAGTTTCTTGCTTTTTCTTTTTTTTGTGTGTCTGTTGTATTTTTTTTTGTTTTTGTTTTTGTTTGCAGTTACCACGAGGCTTGTAAATACTGTCTTATAACTCATTATTTTAAGCTGATAACAATTTAAAACTGTTTGCATAAACAAACAAACAAGTAGAAGGAATACTAATAAAAACTCTCCACTTTAACCTTTGTCCCCTTTTAAACTTTTGTTATTTCTATTTATATCTTATTGTACTTTTTCTTGAAAAGTTGTTGTAGTTAATATTTTTGATTGGCTCATCATTTAGTCTTTCTACTGAGGATAAGAGTAGTTTATACTGCATAGTTACAGTGCTATAACACTCTGTGTTTTTCTGTGTACTATTATCTGTGATTTTTGTAACTTCAGGTGACACTTATTGCTCATTAACATCCTTTTCTTTGTGATTGAAGTACTCCCTTTAGCATATTTTGCGTGATAGGTCTGTTATTGATGAAATCTCTCAGCTTTTGTTTGGGAAAATCTTTATTTCTCCTTCATGTTTGAAGGCTGTTTTTGCTGGATATTATTCTAGGTAAACTTTTTTTTCTTCAGTGCTTGAAATATGTCATGCCACTCTCTCCTGGCCTGTAAGGTTTCCACTGAAAAGTCTGCAGCCAGACATATTGGAGCTTCATTGTATGTTATTTGTTTCTTTTCTTTTGATTTTAGGCTCCTTTCTTTATCCTTGATCTTTGGGAATTTGATTATTAAATGCCTTGATGTAGTCTTCTTTGGGTTAAATCTGTTTGGTGTTCTATAACCTTCTTGGACTTGGATATAGATATCTTTCTGTAGGTTTGGAAAGTTCTCTGTTATTATCCCTTTTAGTAAGCTTTTTACCCCTATTGCTTTTTCCGCCTCCTCTTTAAGGCCAATAACTCTTAGATTAGCCCCTTTGAGGCTATTTTTTAGATCCTGTAGTTGTGCTTATTCTTTTTTTCTTCTGTCTCCAGTGACTGTGTGTTTTCAAATAGCTTCTCTTTGAGCTCACTAATTCTTTCTTATGCTTGATCAGTTCTTCTAATAAAGGACTATGATGCGTTCTTCAGTATGTCTACTGTATTTTTCAGCTTCAGAATTTCTGCTTGATTCTTTTTTTATTATTTCAATATCTTTGCTAAATTTATCTGACAGAATTCTGAATTCCTTCTCTGTGTTGCCTTGACTTTCTTTGAGTTTCCTGAAACAGCTATTTTGGATTATTTCTCTAAAAGGTCACATATCTCTGTTTCTCCAGGACTCTGTTTCTCCCTGGTGCCTTATTCCTTCATTTGATGAAGTCACTGTTTCCTCGATTTTCTTCATACTTACAGATGTTCATCTGGTCTGGGCATTGAAGAGTTAGGTATTTATTGTAGTCTTTACAGTCTGGGCTTGTTTGTACCCATCCTTCTTGGGAAGGCTTTCCATATACATATATATATATATATATATATATATATATATATATATATATATAAAATTTTTTAAAATTTATTTATTTATTTTTTTGAGATGGGATTTCACTGTTGTTGCCCAGGCTGGAGTGAAATGGTGGTGCGATCTTGGCTCACTGCAGCCTCCACCTCCTGGGTTCTGGCAAGTCTCCTGCCTCAGCCTCCTGAGTAGCTGGCATTACAGGCATGCGCCACCACACCTGGCTAATTTTGTATTTTTAGTAGAGATGGGGTTTCTCCCTGTTGGTCAGGCTGGTCTCGAACTCCCAACCTCAGGTGATCCACCTGCCTCGGCCTCCCAAAGTGCTGGGATTACAGGTGTGAGCCACTGCGCCCGGTCTGGCCTTCCAGATATTTTTAAGGACTTGGGTGTTGTGATCTAACCTGTATCTATTTTAGGGGACACTCCACATCCAGTAACACCGTGATTCTTGGAGACTTGTAGAGGTACCACCTTGATGGTCTTGGACAAAATCTATGAGAATCCTCTGGATTATTGGGCAGAGACTCTTGTCCTCTTCCCTTACTTTCTCTCAAACAAATGGAGTCTCTTTCTCTCTGTTTTGAGCCACCTGAAGCTGGGGGTGGAGTGACACAAGGACTCCTATGTCCACCACCACTATGACTGCACTGGATCAGCCCTGGAGCTAGCATAGCATTGGTTCTTGACCAAGGCCTGGTGTAACCACTCCCTGGCTACTACCTATGTTTGCTCAAGCCTGGAGCTCTACAGTCAGCAGTTGACAACACCAGGCAGGCATGTGTTTTTTCCTTCAGGGCAGTGAGGTCCATGAGGTTCCAGGCAGGTGCAGAGGTGTCATCCAGGAGCCAGGAACTAGATTTAAAAATCTTAGAGGTCTACCTGATGTTCTGTTGTACTGTGACTGAGCTGGCACTCAAACCACTAGACACAGTTTTCCTCACTCTTCCTTCCCCTTTCCAAAGACAAAGGGTCCTCACCTCATGGCCAGTGACACCACAGGCCCATGGGGAGTACTGCCAGACTACCGCTAATATTCCCTTAAGGCCCAAGTACTCTTCAGTCAGCTTGTGGTGAATGCTGCCTGGCCTGGGACTCACCCTTTAGGTCAGTGAGCCCTCCTCTGTCCCAGGGCAAGTCCAGAAATGCAGTCCAAGACTCAAATCATGGAACTGGGGACTCAGGAGCCCACTTGGTGCTCTACCTCTTGTGGTCATGCTGGTACCCGAGGTGCAAAATAAAGTCCCTTTTACTTTTCCCTCTGCTTTTCTCAAGTAGGGGTTCTGTCCCATAGCCACCACAGCTGATAATGTGCTAGTCTCACCTGAAACCAGCAATTCTCAGAGGCTCATCCAGGACCCTCGATGTAGTACAGGGTATCACTTCTGGTTATTCATGGCCCAAGGTCTCTTCAATTAGCAGGTGATGAATGCTGGTGGGGCTGGGTCCTTCCCTTCAAGGTAGCAGGTTCCTTCTGGCCCAGGGTGTGTCTAGTATTGTCATTCAGGAGCTAGGGTCTGCAAATGGGGCCTCAGTACTCTGGCCAGTGCCCTATCCTGCTGTGGCTGAGCTGGTATCCAAGATGCAAGACAAAGTCCTCCTCACTCTTCCCTCCCCTCTCCTCAGGTGGAAAGAAGGGGTCTCTTTTGGAGCTGTGATCTGTGCAGCCTGTGGTTAGGAGAGGGGTGATGCCAACACTCTCTTAGCTACTCTGGCTTGTATCTCAGTAGGTCACCTGCCCCCTAGTTCACTGTCTCTGGCCTCCATTCAGTACTGGGACTCATGTAGGGGTTGCAGTTCTTGCAGCCTACACTGCCTTTCGAGTTTATTTAGAGCCTCAGAGAACTGTAGCCCTCAGTGGCAAGGCTTGTAGAACTCAAGTTTGAACTGCTGTGATTGGCGTTTTGTCTCTGGCTAGGGCTGGTTTAAATGCCCTCCATGGGTCAGTGTCAGCTGAATTTGGTCCAGCTTTTCTTTCTGCTACAAGAGGACAGCACTGTGTTCAATGTTCCACAATCACTGGGCTCTCCCTTCCCCAGCACACTGAAAAGCTCTCTGCACCCTGCCGCCACTGCTGGGGGTGAGTGGTGGGAAAGGAATGGCTTTTGTGATTCAACACTGTGTTTTCTACACTTCAGCACCTCTTTCAATGATAGGAAGCTAAAACCAGATACTATGAGTACTCACTTGATTTTTGGTTCTTATGAAGGTGCTCTGTGCGTGTGTAGGTAGTTGTTAAATTGGTGTCCTTTTGGGGGGATGGTTGGTGAAGCCTTCTCTCCTGCCATCTTGCTCCACCTGGCTCCATAATTGTATTTATTTAAATAAACATTAAACAAACTTCCCCAAGTGCTAACATTCATATCACTAAACATAAATATTTTAAATCCCAACTTCACTGTGGTCTATTGAAGACTCTGATTCGTTAGACAACATTAAAAAACATTTTTTTCTTAATTTTTTTTTTTGTAGAGATAGGGGCTTGCTATGTTTCCCTGGCTGGTCTTGAACATCTGGCCCCAAGCAATTGCCTGCCTCAGCCTCCCCAAAATACTGGGATTACAGGTGCAAGCCACCATGCCTGGCCAACAAGCATATTTTTAAGAATATACTTTCATCTATAGGTCAGGTAAAGCTTTATTAAATGGTAAACATTTTTAACAGTGGAGAAATACAAGTTTTAAAAGCAAAAATATTCAGAAGGTCTGCTGTTCAAATAATATATTTTTTTCAAAACCTGGTGGAAGAGTATGATAAAATTCACTGAACTGAAAATCCAGTTACATTCTTATCAACATAACTAACTGGATCCGGTGTCCCTTGATACTTGATGTTAGACAATGCATATTTTTCCATTCAAGTGTATATTCTACATGGTCATATGTAATACCCCCGCATGTCCCTTCTGTGGAAGGCTGTTTGCTAGCAGCCTATTTTTCTCTTTATTATTGTGGTACAGGGCTCCTTATTTCCCATCACCAGACTGTGTACGTCTTGGCCAAGAGGTCTCTGATTCAAATTTACTTTATTATTATTATTTTTTTACAATTTTTATTGTATTTTTTTATTTCCATAGGTTCTTGGAACAGGTGGTGTTTGGTTACATTCATAAGTTCTGTAGTGGTGATTTGTGAGATTTTGATGCACCCATCACCCGAGCAGTATAGACTGTACCCAATTTGTAGTCTTTTATCGCCCACCCACCTCTGACTCTTTACCCTGAGTCCCCAAAGTCCATTACATCATTCTTATGCCTTTGTATTCTCATATATTAGCTCCCACTTATAAGTGACAACATACAATGTCTAGTTTTCCATTCCTGAGTTACTTCACTTAGAATAATGGTCTCCAGTTCTATTTAGGTTGCTGCGAATGCCATTATTTCATTCCTTTTTTTTTTTTAATCACTGAATAGTATTCCATGGTATATATAAGCAACAATTTCTTTATCCACTCATTGATTGATGGGCATTTGGGCTGGTTCCATATTTTTGCAATTGCAAATTGTGCTGCTATAAACATGTGTGTGCAAGTATCTTTTTTTGTGTAATGACTTCCTTTCTCTTGATAGATACCCAGTAGTGGGATTGCTGGATCAAATGGTAGTTCTACTTTTAGTTCTTTAAGAAATCTCCACACTGTTTTCCACAGTGGCTGTAGTAGTTTACATTACCACCAGCAGTGTAAAAGTGTTCCCTTTTCACTGCATCCCTGCCAACATCTATTATTTTTTGATTATGGCTATTCTTGCAGGAGTAAGGTGGTATAGCATTGTGGTTTGGATTTGCATTTCCCTCATCATTAGTGATGTTGAGCATTTTTTTCATATGGTTTTTGGCCATTTGTGTACCTTTTGAGAAATGTCTATTCATATCCATTTTTTGATGAGATTTGTTTGTTTCCTTCTTGCTAATTTGTTTGAGTTCCTTGTAGATTCTGGATATTAGTCCTTTGTTGAATGTGTAGATTGTGAAGATTTTCTCCCCCTCGCTGGGTTGTCTGTTTACTTTGCTGATTGTTGCTTTTTAGTTTAATTAAGTCCTACCTATTTATCATTGTTTTTGTTGCATTTGCTTTTGGGTTCTTGGTCATGAAGTCTTTGCATAAGCCAGTGTTTAGAAGGGTTTGTCCAATGTTATCTTCTACAGTTTTTATGGTTTCAGGTCTTAGATTTAAGTCCTTAATCCATTTTGAGTTGATTTTTGTATAAGGTGAGAGATGAGGATCCAGTTTTATTCTTCTACATGTGGCTTGTCAATTATCCCAGCACCATTTGTTGAATAGAGTGTCCTTTCCCCACTTTATGTTTTTGTTTGCTTTGTGGAAGATCTGTTGTCTGTAAGTATTTGGGTTTATTGCTGGGTTCTCTATTCTGTTCCGTTGGTCTATGTGCCTATTTTTATACCAGTAACAAGCTGTTTTGGTGACTATGGCTTTTTATTATAGTTTGAAATCAGGTAGTGTGATGCCTCCAGATTTGTTCTTTTTGCTTAGTCTTGCTTTGGCTATGTGGGCTCTTTTTTTGTTTCCATATGAATTTTAGAATAGTTTTTTCTAATTCTGTGAAGAATGATGGTGGCATTTTGATGGGGATTGCACTGAATTTGTAGATTGCTTTTGTCAGTATGGTCAGTATGGTCATTTTCACAATATTGATTCTACCCATTCATGAGCATGGAATGTATTTCCATTTGTGTTGTCTGTGATTTCTTTCAGCAGTGTTTTGTAGTTTTCCTTGTAGAGGTCTTTTGACTCCTTTGTTAGGTATATTCCTAAGTATTTTATTTTTTTGCAGCTATTGTAAAAGGGGTTGAGTTCTTGATTTCATTCTCAGGTCGGTTGCCATTGGTGTATAGCAGAGCTACTGATGTGTGTACAGTAATTTTGTATCCTGAAACTTTGCTGAAATCATTTATCAGTTCTAGGAGCTTTTTGGAGGAGTCTTTAGGGTTTTCTGGGTATAAAAACATATCATCAGCAAAGAGCAACAGTTTGACTTCCGTTTTACAAATTTGGATGCCCTTTATTTCTTTCTCTTGTCTGATTGCTCTGGCTAGGACTTCCAGAACTATGTTGAATAGAAGTGGTGAGAGTGAGCATCCTCCTCATTTCACTTCTCAGAGGGAATGCTTTCAACTTTTCCTCATTCAGTGTGATGTTGCCTCCGGGTTTGTCATAGATGACTTTTATTACATTAAGGTATTTCCCTTCTATGCCGATTTTGCTGAGTGTTTTAATCTTAAAGCGATGCTGGATTTTGTCAAATGCATTTTCTGCTTCTATTGAGATGATCACGTGAGTTTAGAAAATTCTGTTCATGTGGTGTATCACATTTATTTACTTGTGTATGTGAATCCATCCCTGCATCCCCGGTATGAAACCCATTTGATCATGGTGGATTATCTTTTTGATATACTGTTGGATTCGGTTAGGTATTATTTTGTTAAGGATTTTTGCATCTATATTCATCAGCAATATTGGTCTGTGGTTTTCTTTTTTTGTTATGTCTTTTCCTGGTTTTGGTGTTAGAGGGATGCTGGCTTCATAGAATAATTTAGGGAGGATTCTTTCTCTATCTTGTGGAATAGTGTCAATAGGATTAGTACCAATTCTTCTTTGAATGTCTGATAGAATTCAGCTGTGAATCCATCTGGTCCTGGACTTTTTTTGTTGGTGATTTTTTTTATTATCATTTCAATCTCACTGCTTGCTATTGGTCTGCTCAGAGTTTCTAATTATTTCTGGTTTAAGCTAGGAGGATTGTATATTTCCAGAAATTTATCCATCTCCTCTAGGTTTTATAGTTTATGTGCATAAAGTTGTTCATAGTAGTCTTGCATGGTGTTTTGTATTTCTGTGGTGTCAGTTGTAGTATCTCCCATTTTGCTTCTAATTGAGCTTATTTGGTTCTTCTCTCTTCTTTTCTTGGTTAATCTTGCTAATGGTCTATTATTATTTTTCTTGTCAAAGAACCAGCTTTTTGTTTCACTTATCCTTTGTATTTTTTTGTTTCAATTTCATTTAGTTCTTCTCTGATCTAGGCTATTCCTTTTCTTCTGCTGGGTTTGGATTTGGTTGGTTCTTGTTTCTCTAGTTCCTTGAGGTGTGACCTTAGATTGTGTATTTGTGCTCTTTCAGACATTTTGATGCAGACCTTTAAGGTTATGAACTTTCCTCTTAGCACCACCTTTGCTGTATTTTGTAGATTTTGATAGGTTGTGTCACTATTATTCAGTTCAAAAAAATTTTTAGTTTCCATATTGATTTCATTGTTGACCCAATGATCACTCAGGGGCAGATTATTCAATTTCCATGTATTTTAATGGTCTTGAGGGTTCCTTTTGGAGTTAATTTCCAATTTTATTCCATTGTGGTCAGAGAGGGTACATGATATAATTTCAGTTTTCCTAAATTCATTGAGACTTGTTTTGTGGCCCCTTACATGGTCTGTTTTGGAGAATATTCCATGCAGTGATGAATAGAGTATATTTTGTGTTTTTTGGTAGAATGTTTGGTACATATCTGTTTAGTCCATTTATTCTAGGGTGTAGTTTAAATCTATTGTTTCATTGTTGACTTTCTGTCTTGATGATCTGTCTAGTGCTGTCAGTGGAGTATTGAAGTCTCCCACTATTACTGTGTTGTTGTCTCTCTCATTTCTTTGGTGTAGTAGTAATTATTTTATAAATTTGGGAGGTCCAGTGTTAGGTGCAGGTATATGTAGGACTGTGATAGTTTCCTGTTGGACAAGGCCTTTTATCATTATATAATAACGCTCTTTGTCTTTTTTAACTGCTGTTGCTTTAAAGTTTGTTTTGTGTGATATGAGAATAGCTACTCCTGCTGGCTTTTGGTGTCCATTTGTGTGGAATGTCTTTTTCTACCCCTTTACCTTAAGTTTATGTGATTCCTTATGTGTTAAGTGAGTCTCTTGAAAGCAGCAGATACTTGGTTTGTGGATTCTTATCTATTCTGCTATCCTGTATCTTTTAAGTGGAGCATTTAAGCCATTTACATTCAGTGTTACTATTGAGATGTGAGGTACTATTCTATTCATCATGTTATTTGTTGCCTGAATACCTGTTTTTTTTCAAAGTTTATTGTGTTGTTATTTTATAGGTCCTGTGAGATTTATGCCTTAAGGAGGTTCTGTTTTGATGTGTATTTTGAGAATCTGTTTCAAAATGTAGTGCTCCTTTTACCAGTTCTTGTAGTGCTGGCTTGGTAGTGGTGTATTCTCTCACCATTTGTTTGTCTAAAACAGACTGTATTTTTCCTTCATTTATGAAGTTTAGTTTTACTGGATGCAAAATTCTTGGCTGATAATTGTTTTGTCTAAGGAGGCTGAAGATAGGGCTCCAATCCCTTCTAGCTTGCAGGGTTTCTGCTGAGAAATCTGCTGTTAATCTTATGGGTTTTCCTTTATAGGTTACCTTGTGCTTTTGCCTCACAGCTCTTAATATTCTTTCTTCCATCTTGACTTTAGATAACCTGATGACTATGTGCCTGGGTGATGATCTTTTTGTGATGAATTTCCCAGGGGTTATTTGAGCTTCTTGTATTTGGATGTCTAGATCTCTAGCAAGGCTGTGGAAGTTTTCCTCTATTATTCCCCCCAAATATGTTTCCCCAACTTTTAGATTTCTCTTCTTTCTCAGGAATGCCAATTATTCTTAGATTTGGTCATTTAACATATCCCAAACTTCTTGGAGGCTTTGTTCATTGCTTTTTAAATTCCTTTTTCTTTGTCTTTGTTTGAGCTCTGAAGTTCTTTCTTCTGCTTGTTTGATTCTGTTGCTGAGACTTTCCAGTGCATTTTGCATTTCTATAAGTGTGCCCTTGCTTTCCAGAAATTGTGATTGTTTTTATTTATGCTATCTATTTCATTTAAGATTTCTCCCCTCATATCTTGTATCAGTTTTTTGATTTCATTAAATTGGACTTCACTTTTCTCTGGTGCTTCCTGATTAGCTTAATAATCAATCTTTTGAATTCTTTTTCTGGCAAATCAGGGATTTCTTCTTGGTTTGGATCCATTGCTGGTGAGCTAGTGTGATTTTTTGAGTGTGATAAAGAAACTTGCTTTGTCATATTACCAGAATTGTTTTTCTGGTTCCTTCTCATTTGGGTGGCCTATGTTAGAGGGAAGATCTGGAGCTCAAGGCTGCTGTTCAGATTCTCTCCCCCTTTTCCTAGGGATGTGGCTTCTTAAGCACTGAATTCTAGCTATTGTTATTTCTTTTCTGGGTCTAGCCACCCAGTGTGGGTACCATGTTCCGGGCTGGTACTGGGGATTGTCTGTCACAGCACAGAGTCTTGTGATGTGAACCATCTTCCAGTCTCTCAGCCATGAATAGATGCACCTGCTCTGGTCGAGGTGGCAGAGGAGTGAAAGGGACTCTGTGAGGGTCCTTAGTTGTACTATTGTTGCTTATTGCACTAGTTTTGTGCTGGTTGGCCTCCTGCCAGGAGGTAGCACTTTCAGGAGAGCATCAGCTGTGGTAGTATAGGGAGGATCAGGCAGTGGGCAGGGCCCTAGAACTCCTAAGAGAATATGACCTTTGTCTTCAGCTACCAGGGTGGGTAGAGAAAGACCATCGTGGGGGGGCAGGGTTAGGCATGCCTGAGTTCAGATTCTCCTTGGGTGGGACTTGTTGCGGCTGCTGTAGGGGATGGGGTATGGTTCCCAGGTCGATGGAGTTATGTTCCCAGGAGGATTATGGCTGCCTCTGCTGTGTCATGCAGGTCACCAGGGAAGTGGAAGAAAGCTGGCAGTTACTAACCTCACTCAGCTTTTGTGCAACTCAAAGAGCCAGTCTCACTCCCACTGTGTCCCACCTCAACAGCACTGAGTTTGTTTCCAGGCTCTGAGTGAGCAGGGCTGAGAACTTGCCCCAGGCTACCAGCCTCTGGGCTGAGAAATCAGGCAGGGCTTTCAGGTTTTGCACCTCCTTGCCTGCCTGTCTGCACTCTGGATTCACCCATCTCCCCCGCGTTCTATCTAAGAAACTTTGCATTTGGTTAGAATTGTTGCAAAGTTCAGCTGGAGGTTTCCTTCTCCTTGTGTTTTTCCAGTTTGTCTGGAGCCCTCCCCAGGGACTCATGTGAAACAAAGTCAGACATGGCTTCTCTGGGGACTGAGAGAGCCCAGAGGACTCTTCTCCCTGCTTCCTCTACTCCTGTATTTCACTCAGCTGTCTAAATTATCTCAGCTCCAGGTAAGGTTAAATCCTTCTCCTGTGATCTGGACCTTAAGGTTCCTCAGTGAGGGTGTGTGATCGGGGGAGGACGATCCCTGTTTCCCGCTTTCACACCTTGGGCACTCACAGTATTTTGGCTGTCTCCCAGGTCCTGCAGGAGCAATCTCCTCCCTTCAAGGGGTCTGCGGATTCTCCCAGCTTTCCTGCAGTTGCTCTTGAAGCAAAAGTTTGTGATGTGAGTTTCCACATGCTGCTCTGTCCATCTGAATGGGAGCTGCGGTTTAGTCCTGCCTCCTATCTGCCATTTTTTTCTCCCCCTCTCTGATTCAAGTTAGCTTTCTGAGCAACACCAGTATCCCAGATTCCTGTGAAGCAACACCAGTGTCCCAGATTCCTGTGAAGTGGATCTTGAAGTCATAGTAGCTTTTGTTTTGATGTAAAAGTGCACTGGCTAAACAATCTCATGTTCCATATATTCTTCTGTCATTTTTTACAATGACAACATCTGTTCCCATGTGTCATATGTCCTGCTGCATGACTGGCATAACCTTCAGAAGGATGTGGCTGGTCCCACTGTCTCTGCAGCACTGCAGGCAGCACAACACTGAGGTGACCATCACACAGTGACCACTGACTCTTCTGTCCTTGATCTTTTATCTGTCTCTATAGATTTGCCTTTTCCAGAATGTCACGTAGTTGGAACCATACAGTATGCAGCCTTCTCAAATTGGCTCCTTTCATTTAGCAATATGCTTTTAAGGGTTTCTTTCACTTTTGTTGGCATTTGGTGGCAGAAGCAGGCCAAGGATACACCTGATGAGAGACTCAGGGCTTTCTCTCTCTTGAAATTTCCTCCAGGCATTGTTTTTGGAAGACATTTGAATAGTTTTCATGAAGAACCCAAACAACATGGAAAAATAAGCAGACAATTGTGCCAGCCCGCTGGATGTGACTGGCTAAATTCTGAATAACAGCTCTGGTAGATTGTTAAGGTAATTGTCCCTAGTGAATCATGCCTCCCAGTATCTGTGCCTTTTTATGGTTCCTTTCCACACTGACACTTGGCCAAGTGACTTGCTTTGGCCATTGGAATGTTAGTACATGTGATACAAATAGAAGCTTAAAAAGCCCTTGTGCATAGGAGTTGTCCTCTTTTGCTCCTGGGAATTCTTGGGACACATATGAAAAAAGACCAGGCTGGTCCCCTTGAGGATGAGAAACCACCCTAAGAGAGAGGCTCAGCTAACAGAGAGCACCAAGTGCCACACATATGAATGAGGCCATCTTAGATCACTCAGCCCCAGCTGAGGTATTGGATAAATATAGTCATATGGTTGACCCAGGAGAGTCCAGCAGAAGAAGCACTCAGCTGAGTCCAGAGCAAATTCTTTATCCCTAATATTTGTAAGAATTATAAAATGATTATTTTGTACCACTAAGTTTTGAGGTGGTTTATTACACAACAATAAATAATCAATACAATAATGATATTAATTTGAGTTACCTGTTATGGACCATCAGCTAAAACTGGCCTGCCTGTACATGTGTCGACAGGATCTAAGTATAGAGAAATTAAACACACTGAGGGGACAAAAATTTATATTCTTTTGAAATTAGAAATATTCTTAAAGACATTTCACTTTTTTGAACTCTAAAAACATCTTCCTGTTAATTTCTTTTGCAGCTCATTAGTCACTTAAGTCTGTTTCTCCTTCCCACCTTGAAGTAATTTTCCTGTTGAAAACCCTCTTCCTTGGAAGCTGGTGATAGTGCTGACTTTCCTTAGTGTTAAAATGGTTTGCCCAGAGGTGGCAGGCAGCATCATGTGCATACTCACCTATATGGTACTGACTTTGTGTCTATGACAAAGTTATTTGTTTGTGCCAACCTTTTTTTTAAATCTATACCCTTTGCATACTGTCATTTAAAGTCTGATTATAATTATTTGTAGATATTATCTATGTGTTTCTAACTAAGGGCAGAAGTGCTACAAAGTGACAAAAAGAGCACACCCTGGGGTCAGACCTCATGGGTTTTTATTGAAGTTCTCCTACTTACTGTGTGGCCTTGAAAAAATTACTTAACTTTATTGTGCTTTAGTTTCCCACTCTGTAAAATGAGCATATAACCAGCCTCATAAGGTTTAGAAGATTAAAATGATGTAATTGACATAAAGCACTTATAATGGTGCCTAGCACATATTCTCCATCAGTATTTGCTGTTATTATATAAAGGGACAAGGTCTCAGAGCCTGAAGGCAGCTCGAAGCCAGGCCTCTCTTAGAGAAAACTTTTAGAAATTAGGCTGACTTTAATAAGACCCTACCGTGGACAAAATCTCTGTTAAGGGTACAAAAACATACCTTTCTAAGGGAACATGGCCACCTGATATTCTGCTCCTATGCCAAGGCCCTTGTTCAGTAATTCAGTAATTCCTTATTATAAATTGTTTGTTGTGTGCCTGCTATGAAGAATACGGAAAATCACTGTACATCATTATTTTTCTTAAGGAGCTTCCATGAAAAATTAAATAACTAACAAAGACAGAAGTACAGGATATATTACAGGTCAATCTATGCTAAGTGCTAAGTAACAGTAAGTGTTGTAGAAGTTCAGAGAAGGGAGAGATCCTTGAGGCTAAAGGAGGAAAGGTAGGCTTCCTAGAAGAACTAAAGCTTGAGCTGGGCCTTAAGGATTTATTAGGTAGAAAGGAGAAGGAAGTCATTACAGGCACGGGGTACACCTTAAGCAAAGACAAAGAGGTTGATGTGGTTAAGTGAATTCAGATAACTGAAGAGATCAGTAATGCTATCTTAATGATCCTCTTAATGATCAATTTGCAGTGTTTGAGTTTTCTCCATAATTAAACTCCCCCTTGTTTTTTTCTTCTCCTTCCCTTACTCCAGCACAACTCGTTCTCCACAGATCCTCTGTCTTACAAGACAGCATTGTGGAAATTTATTTGGCCTGGCAGGTAGAAAGGTTGTTCAGCTCAACTCCAAGCTCCCAAAGGGATATTACAAAGTTCCTATCTGGCTGTCAATATTCTGTGCATATTGAAGCATGCATTTGTAGTTCACTGTATAAAGAAAGTGAAGAAAAAGAAAGAGCATAGCTTCTGTAAGTGGTTTGGAGCTTTGGTGAAGAAAGGCATGGCTTCTGTAAGAAGTTGGTAGTGGAAATCAGGTTCTAAAGCTGATTAAATCTCTAGGATTTGTAAGAGACAGTTTTGAGCAATGAAAGGCAAATTAACTTTTACACAGCCATGTGCTCCAAAGAGCAGGGAAATTAGGCAGGAGAGGAAAGTGGTGGAGAAAAAAATATCCCAACAGGAAAGCAAAATCACAGGGCATCATCTATAGACATTCTGGAGCATCCAGCCTAAGTAAACATATAGAATTGTGATGTGGTGGACATGTTTCTTTATTCATCTGAAACAGGGTGAAAGCGGAGAAGACTCACATGGAGCTGAAAACAGTTATTCCTCTGTACAAAAAAGATGCAGGGCAAGTACTTTGGAGGTTCTGAATTCTAAGTGAATGAATACTAAGGAAACCACTCATCACTTTCTTGAAATTTCTAAGAATATGGAGCAATAGGAATGGAATAGTCACAAAGCAGCACAAAAATGTAACTGTCTTTCTTTTCTTTCTTTCTTTTTTGTTTTTTACATTACAGAGCTTAACTTTGTTCTGAGCCTTCACATCCATGTGGTGATTTTTTCAGCAATTACTATAATTGTCATTATGTCAGACTACCTGGTCTTTGGCCACTGTGTATTCACTTGCTTCTGAGGACCATAGATGTTGCTAGGCCCTCCTCTAGTGAGGAGGTCCCTGTACTTTAGCTCATTAATCTCCTCTTCTCTCACTGGTTGGCTTAGGAACCCTCTTCTGCTTTCTCTACATCCTACAAGAGAAGGGTGTGCAAACCCCTGTGAGGCCACTCTAAGGCCCACCTGTCTTGTCTCCTCCTTCAGTTCTAACTACTCAATAGTGGTTGATTTTTTTCCTCCAAGGAACATTTGGCTACATCTGGAGACATATTTATTGTCATAACCAGGGATGGTGCTATTGGCATCTTGTGCTTAGGGGCCAGGGATGCTGCTCAAGATCCTACAATGCACAGGAGAGCCCCTCACAATGTCAAGAATACCGAGGTGGAGAAACTCTGGTCTGGGCTGGCAATACAAATGACTGAGAAGGGAAAGCCTATTGAGTGACTTTTCAAAATGTTACTCTGCTGCTTTTATGTTGAACGTGTGACTTGCTACGGAGGGACTAAAGTCTAGCAGACAGAGTCACTCATGTAAACAAATAACTGAGGTAGTGTGTTATAGGTGCTGACATTTAATATATGTATGCAGTTTTTTTTAAAAAAATGCATTCTTCACTGTAGCCTTTAAACTTATAAAACTGTTAGTAATGCATGATTAGCTAGTATTGAAACTTTTCAATTTAACAAATATTATACCACAAGTGTTATCTGTGTTCTAAGTATTATCCATCAACTGCTGCTTGTCTAAAAGTTTGCTCATAAAGCCACATTCAGGCAGTACTGTCCACTTAGTGGGAGCCTTCTGAATTGTAGGCATAATGCCTAGAAAGAACTAATCAGCCTTGGGAGTGTTGGGCTTGGAAAACCCAAATGTATAACGTGATGGCAAATGTTGTGGCTAAAGGAAACTTATAATTCATCATCCAAACTGGGACAAGTTGAGAGTAAATGGACTACTATTAATAACCACGCCAGGACAATAGGTATACACTAGTACTGTCCAGAGAAAATCAAAATCATAGCACTTTTGAAGGTGACTACCAATGAATGTCTAAAAATTCCTCGTGTAAGTGGCTAATAGTTTAAGAAGTATCTCTTTTTAGAAGGAGTTGCATCTTCACATGAAATTTTGGGAGACCAAAGAGCAGTTAAGGTCTAAAATAACACAGCTGTGACAATGGAATTTATTTATTTATTTATTATTATTTATATTTTTCCACAAGTTATTGGATTACAGGTGGTATTTGATTACATGAGTAAGTTCTTTAGTGGTGATTTGTGAGATTTTGGTGCACGTATCAGCCAAGCAGTATACACTACCCCATATTTGTAGATTTTATCTCTTGCCCCCCTCCCACTCTTACCCCCAAGTCCCCAAAGTCCATTGTATCATTCTTATGCCTTTGGGTCCTCATAGCTTAGCTCCCACATATCAGTGAGAACATACGATGTTTGGTTTTCCATTCCTGAGTTACTTCAGTTAGAATAAGTCTCCAGTCTCATCTAGGTCCCTGAAAATGCTGTTAATCCATTCCTTTTTATGACTGCATAGCATTCCATCACATATATATATATATGTGTGTGTGTGTGTGTGTGTGTGTATATATGTGTGTGTGTATATATATGTGTGTATATATATATGTGTGTGTGTATGTATATATATATATATATATATATATATATATATACTGTTTTCCATAGTGGCTGTACCAGTCTACATTCCCACCAGCAGTGTAGAAGTGTTCCCTGATCACCGCATCCACGCCAACATCTACTGTTTTTTGATTTTTTTGATTATGGCCATTCTTGCAGGAGTAAGGTGGTATCACATTGTGGTTTTGATTTGCATTTCACTGATTGTTAGTGATGCTGAGTATTTTTTTATATGTTTGTTGGCCATTTGTATATCTTCTTTTGAGAATTGTCTATTCATGTTCTTAGCCCACTATTTGATGGGATTGTTTTTTTCTTACTGATTTGAATTTGTTGTAGATTCTAGTTGTTAGTCCTTTGTAAGATGTATAGATTGTGAAGATTTTCTCCCATTTGGTGGGTTGCCTGTTTACTCTGCTGACTGTTCCTTTTGCCATGCAAAAGCTCTTTAGTTTAATTAGGTCCCAGCTATTTGTTTTTATTGCATTTGCTTTTGGGTTCTTGACCATGAAATCCTTGCCTAAGCCAATGTCTAGAAGTTTTTCCAATGTTATCTTCTAGAATTTTTATAGTTTCAGGTCTTATGTTAAAGTTCTTAATCCATCTTGAGTTGATTTTTGTATAAGGTGAGAGATGAGGATCCAGTTTCATTCTCCTACATGTGGCTAGCCAATTATACCAGCACCATTTGTTGAATAGAGTGTCCTTCCCCCACTTTATGTTTTTGTTTGCTTTGTTGAAGATCAGTTGGCTGTAAGTATTTGGGTTTGTTTCTGAGTTCTCTATTCTGTTCCATTGATCTATGTGCCTATTTTTATACCAGTTCCATGCTGTTTTGGTGACTATGGCCTTACAGTATAGTTTGAAATCAGGTAGTGTGATGCCTCCAGATTTGTTCTTTTCACTTAGTCTTGTTTTGGCTATGTGGGCTCTTTTTTGCTTTCATATGACTTTTAGAATTGTTTTTTCTAACTCTGTGAAGAATGATGGTGGTACTTTGATGGGGATTGTGTTGAATTTGTGGATTGCTTTTGGCACTGTGTTCATTTTCACAATAATGATTCTACCCATCCATGAGCATGAGATGTGTTTCCATTTGTTTGTGTTGTCTATGATTTTTTTCAGCAGTGTTTTGTAGTTTTCCTCGTAGAGGTCTTTTGAATCCTTTGTTAGATATATTCCTAAGCATTTTATTTTTTTTCCAGCTATTGTAAAAGGGGTTGAGTTCTTGATTTGATTCACCACTTGGTCACTGTTTGTGTATAGAAAAGCTACTGATTTGTGTACATTTATCTTATATCTGTAAACTTTGCTGAATTCTTTTATCAGTTCTAGGAGCTTTGTGGAGGAGTCCTTAGGGTTTTCAAGGTAAACAATGATATCTTCAGCAAACAGGGGCAGTTTGACTTCTTCTTTATCAATTTGGATGGTCTTTATTTCTTTCTCTTGTCTTCTAGGTTTTCTAATTTATGTGCGTAAAGGTGTCCATAGTAGCCTTGAATGATCTTTTGTATTTCAGTGGTGTCAGTTGTAATATCTCCTGTTTTATTGCTTAGTTAGGTTATTTGGATTTTCTGTCTTCTTTTCTTGGTTAATCTTGCTAAAAGTCTATGAATTTTATTTATCTTTTTAAAGAACAAGCTTATTGTTTCATTTATCTTTTTAATGTTTTTGTTTCAATTTCATTTAGCTCTGCTCTGATCTTGGTTATTTCTTTTCATATGCTGGTTTTGGGTTTGGTTTGTTCTAATTTCTCTAGTTTCTTGAGGTGTGACCTTAGATTGTCTGTTTGTGTTCTTTCAAATTTTTTGATGTAGGCATTTAGGGCTACAAACTTTCCTCTTAGCACTGCCTTAGCTGTATCCCAGAAGTTTTGATAGGTTGTGTCATTATTATCATTCAGTTCAAAGAATTTTTAAATTTCCATCTTGATTTTGTTTCTGATCTATTGCTCATTCAGGAGCAGGTTATTTACTTTTTATGTATTTGCATGATTTTGGAGGTTCTTTTTGGTGTTGATTTCCAGTTTTATTCCACTGTGATCTGAGAGAGTGCTAGATATAATTTCAATTTTATTAAATTTATTGAGGCTTGTTTTATGGCTTATCATATGATCTATCTTGGAGAAAGTTCCATGCACTGTTGAATAGAATGTGTATTCTGTGGTTGTTGGATGAAATGTTCTGTATATATCTGTTAAGGCCATTATTTTCCAAGGTGTAGTTTAAATCCATTGTTTCTTTGTTGACTTTCTGTCTTCATTACCTGTCTAGTGCTGTCAGTGGAGTATTGACGTCCTCCACTATTATTGTGTTGCTGCCTGTCTCATTTCTAAGGTCTGCTAGTAATTGTTTTATAAGTTTGGGAGCTCCAGTGTTAGGTGCATATATATTTGGGATTGTGATATTTTCCTGTTGGACAAGGCCTTTTACCATTATATAATGTCCCTCTTTGTCTCTTTTAACCACTGTTGCTTTAAAGTTTGTTTTGTCTGATATAAGAATAGCTACCCCTGCTCGCTTTTAGTGTCCATTTGCATGAAATGGCTTTTCCCACCCCTTTACTTTAAGTTTATGTGAGTCCTAATGTGTTAGGTGAGTCTCCTGAGGGCAGCAGATAATTGTTTGGTGAGTTTTTATCCATTCTGCAGTTATTTATCCATTTAAGTAGAGCATTTGGGCCATTTACATTCAATGTTAGTATGGAAATGTGAGGTACCATTGCTTTTATCATTCTCTTTGTTGCCTGTGTAATTTGTTTTTGTTTTTGTTTTATGGTTTTTGCTTTTTAACTTGTAGTTTTGTTTTATAGGTCCTGCATGATTTATGCTTTAAAGAGGTTCTGTTTTGATGTGTTTCCAGGATTTGTTTCAAGATTTAGAGCTCCTTTTGGCAGTTCTTGTTGTGGTGGCTTGGTAATGGCAAATTCTCTCAGCATTTGTTTGTCTGAAAATGACAGTATCTTTCCTTCATATATGATGCTTAGTTTCCCTGGATACAAAATTCTTGGTTGATAATTCTTTTGTTTGAGGAGGCTGATGATAGGGCCCCAATCCCTTCTAGCTTGTAGGGTTTCTGCTGAGACATCTGCTTTTAATCTAACAGGTTTTCTTTCATAGGTTACCTGGTGCTTCTGTCTCACAGCTCTTAAAATTCTCTTCTTTGTCTTAACTTTGGACAACCAGATGACAATGTGTTTAGGTGAAAATATTTTTGTGATAAATTTCCCAGGTGTTCTTTGTGCTTCTTGTTTGTGTGTGTTGCTCTGTAGCAAGGCTGGGGAAGTTTTCTTCAATTATTTCCCCAAATATGTTTTCCAAGCTTTTGGAATTGTCTTCTTCCTCAGGAACACAGATTATTCTTAGACTTGGTCATTTAACATAATCCCAGAGTTCTTGGAGGCTTTGGTCTTATTTTCTTATTCTTTTTTCTTTGTCTTTGTTGGGTTAGATTAATTCAAAGACCTTGTCTTTGAGCCCCTAATTTCTTTCTTCTACTTGTTCAATTCTATTGTTGAGACTTTCCAGAGCATTTTGCATTTCTAAAAGTATGTCCAAAGTTTCCTGAATTTTTGATCTTTTTTTCCTATGCTATCTGTTTCTTGAATATTTCTCCCTTCACTTATTGTATCATTTTTTGGATTTACTTGCATTGGGCTTTGCCTTTCTCTGTTCCCTCCCTGATTAGCTTAATAACTAACCTCCTGAATTCTTTTTCAGGTAAGTCAGGGATTTCTCCCTGGTTTGTATCCATTGCTGATGAACTAGTGTGATTTTTGGTAGCTGTTGACAAGCCTTGTTTAGTCATATTACCAGGGTTTATTTTCTGTGTTTTCCTCATTTGGGTAGGTTCTGTCAGAGGGAAGTTCTAGGGCTGAAGGCTGTTGTTCAGATTCTTTTGTCCCACAGGCTGTTCCTTTGATGTAGTACTTTCCCTTTTTTCCTGTGGATGTGGCTTCCTGTGAGCCGAACTGTAGTGATTGTTGTCTCTCTTCTGGGTCTAGCTACCCAGAGAGTCTTCCCGGCTCCAGGCTGATACTGGGGGTTGTCTTCACAGAGTCCTGTGATATGAACTGTCTATGGGTCTCTTAGCCATGGATACCAGTGCCTGTTCTGGTGGTGGTGGCGGAGGGTGAAATAGACTTTGTAGGGGCCATTAGTTTTGGTGGTTTAATGCTTTATTTTTGTGCTGGTTGGCATCCTGCCAGGAGGTAGCACTTTCCAGAAAGCATCACCTATAGTAGCATGGAGAGGGACCAGTGGTGGTCAGGGCCCTACAACCCGAAGATTATATGCCCTTTGTCTTCTGCTACCAGGGTGGATAGAGAAGGACCATCAGGTGGGGGCAGGGCTAGGCATGTCTGAGGTCAGACTCTCCTTGGGTGGGTCTTGCTGTGGCTGCTATGGGGAGTGGGGATGAGATTCCCAGGCCAATGGAATTGTGTACCTAGGAGGATTATGGCTGCCTCTGCTAAGTCATGCAGGTTGTCAGGGAAGATAGGGACAGCTGGCAGTCACAGGCCTCACCCCGCTCCCATGCAAACTGAAGGGCTGGTCTCACTCTTACCGTGTCCCCCACCAAGAGCCCAGTGTCTATTTTCAAGCAGAGGGTGAGACAACCTTGCAAACTTGCCCGAGGCTATCCACCTCCCAGCTGCAAAAGAAAAGGGCTTTAGTTGCAATCTGGATTTGCACCCTCCCTCGAGTTCTGGTCAGGAGGCTTCTTGCCCCATTCAAATTGTTACAAATTTCAGCTAGAGAATTCCTTCTGCCTGTGGAATTTTACCCTCTGCTCCTTTGGCCACCCTCCCAATGGATGTCTGTAGTTCCAGGAAGGAATGGGCTGCCTGGGGACCTAGCAAACTCCTAGGCCTTTTCTGCTGCTTCCTCTACCCCTGTATTTCACTCGGCTTTCTAACTTGACTCAGCTCCAGGTAAAGTTTGAAATTTCTCTGGCAAACAGACCTTTACCTTCTCCAGTGGGGGTGTGTGTTTGGGAGAGGAGGGTCTCCCTTTCCCACTTCCACCGTTGGGGCACTCACAGTATTTGGGGGTCTCCCAGGTCCTGCAGGAGCAGTCCATTTCCTTCAGAGGTTCTGTGGGTCCTCTTGGGATGGCTGATTTATTCTTGCAGTCTACCTGGAGCTAAAAATCACAATGCAATCCTCTGCATTCTGCTCTGTCTGGAGATGCAATCTAGTCCTGCCTCCCATCTGCCATGATCCTTGACAGTGGAATTTCAAATACTGGAATTGGCTAGCAGTGGGCAAATTGGGAACAGGAAATCCTTTCTGGGAATCCTCAAATTCCATTGGACATGTAGTCATCTTTGCCAATCTTTTGGGGGAGGTCAGTTGTTCCAGGTTCCTACAGGATCCTCCTTTCAAGAGGAGGTTCAAGATGGCAGAGAGGAGGCAGGGCTGATGTGCAGACCCCACTTGGATTAACAGAACAGTGTGTGGAGACTCACATCATGGACTTTTGCTCCAGGAACCACTACTGGCATGAACCAGGAAACTGGAAAGAATTCAAAAATCTTTTGAAAGAAGTTGCAGGCTGCTGCAAATTTCCTGAGACAAGCAAAAAACTTTGAGTTCCCAAAGTGTGAGAGTGGGGAAAACCTGCCTCCCATCACACGTCTTTACTGGGGAACCTGAAAATCCAGATTACAAGAGAAGGATTTAAACTTACCTACTGCTGAAATGAATTTACTGTGAAATATAAAAGTAGAAGCAGCTATGGGAAGAACCTTGTAGGCACTCCCATTCTCCAGCTTGAGCCCAAGGAAACCACCCCTGACTGTATCTCACAGGGGCACTCAGGGAAGGAAGCTGGCAGAATTTGTGAGGGGGTCACAGGGTGAAAATAGCTTCCAACTGAACATTGTAATAGTTTTGATTGGATGCAAAATCTCTTGAGCAGAATCCAGGGGTGAAGGGGAACTGCAGCAGAAAGGAGCGCAATGTGGGCAGATGGGGAGGGGTATGGCCTGAAAGCTGTGCTTGCTTTCTCAGTGGGGAAGTTTCTAGCCTGGGGCTAGGTCTGAGTCCCATGGCCAGGCTGTCTGGAGATAAACTTGGCGCTGTTAGCCAGGCACAGGGGGAGTGAGACTGGCCTTGCCAACTGTGTGGGAGCTGGGTGAGGCCTATTGCTATTGGCTTTCCCCCACTTCCCTGGTGACAGAGGCAGCCATAATCCCCTCTGGAGCATAACCCAATTGGTCTGAGAACCACCCGCCAGCCTCCACAGTGGCCACGGCAAGCCCTGTCCAAGGAGAGTATGAGCTCAGACCCACCTAACCCCGCCCTCACCTGATGGTATTTCTCTACTGCCCTGGTAGCCAATCACAAAAGATATAAACTCTTGGGAACTTTATGACCTTGCCCTCTGCTTGAAAAACCCAAATACTTATCCTGGCCAACTTAGGGCAAGCCTATATCCCTCTTCTACTGTCGCAGCCGGTGCTCTCTTGAAAGTGCTACCTCCTGGCTGGAGGCCAACCGACTCAGGACATTACAGCAACTCATGACAGAAAAATCCTGCTCCAAGGGAGGAGAAAAGAACAGCTAATTCCACTGCCTACAACATTATTGTTGCAGTGGTCCTGAGTCTGTCCAGGTGACAACATCACTGCTAACATAACCAGAATTTGAGAAAGCTGGCACACTGAACATATCTAAAACTAAGGACTCTCACAGAGTCTACTTCACTCCCCTACCCCCTCCACCAGAGCAGGTGCTTGTATCCACAGCTGGGAGACCTGAAGATGGGTCACATCACAGGACTCTTTTACAGACATACCCCAGCACCAGCCCAGAGCCAGGTAGCCCCAGTGGATGGCTAGACCCAGAAGAGCAATAACAGCCACAGGAGACCCTATCCCTAGGGGAAGAGGAAGTGCAGCACATCAAGGGACCACCCCATGAGACAAAATAATCTGAACAGCAGCTTTTGAGTTCCAGATTTTTCCACTGAAATAGTCTACCCAAATGAGAAGGAATCAGAAAAGTAATTCTGGTAATATGACAAAACAAGGTCCTTTAACACCCTAAAAAAAATCACACTAGCTCACCAGCAATGGATCCAAACCAAGAACAAATGTCTGGATTGCCAGATACAGAATTCAGAAAGTTGATTATTAAATTACTCAAAGAGGCACCAGAGAAAGACAGAAACCAACTTTAATAAATTAAAAAAAATACAGGATATGGATGAAAAATGCTCCAGAGAAATAGATATAATAAAGAAGAAAGAATCACAACTTCTGGAAGTGAAAGACACACTTAGAGAAATACAAAATGCACTGGAAAGTTTCAACAATAGAACAAAACAAGTAGAAGAAAGAACTTGAGAGCTTGAAGACAAGGCCTTTAGATTAACCCAATCAGACAAAGACAAGAAAAAAGAATAAAAACATGTACAAAGCTTCTGAGAAATTTGGGGTTATGTTAAATAGCCAAACCTAAGAATAATTGGTGTTCCTGAGAAAGGAGAGAAATCCATTATATATATATATGGACATTATATATATATATATATATATATATATTACATATATATATAGACATTTTATATATATATTACATATATATATATAAACATACATCATATGTTCTCACTTATAAGTGGGAGCTAAGCTATGAGAATGCAAAGGCATAAGAATGATATAATAAACTTTGGAGACTAAGGGGGAAGGGTGGGAAGGGGTTGAGGGAGAAAAGACTACACATTGGGGGCCGGGCACGGTGGCTCACGCCTGTAATCCCATCACTTTGGGAGGCCAAGGCAGTCGGATCACGAGGTCAGGAGATCGAGACCATCCTGGCTAAAACAGTGAAACCCCGTCTCTACTAAAAATAAAAAAAAAATTAGCCGGGCGTGGTGGCGGGCGCCTGTAGTCCCAGCTACTCGGAGGCTGAGGCAGGAGAATGGTGTGAACCCGGGAGGCTGAGTTTGCAGTGAGCTGAGATTGTGCCACTGCACTCCAGCCTGGGCGACAGAGCGAGACTCCATCTCAAAAAAAAAAAAAAAAAAAAAAAAAAAGACTACACATTGGGTACCATATACCCTGCTTGGATGGTGGGTGCACCAAAATCTCAGAAGTCATCACTAAAGAACTTTTTCATGCAACCAAACACCACCTGTTCCCCCAAAACCATTGAAATGAAAAAATAAAAAACAAAACAAAACAAAAAGAATCCTCCTTTGATGACAACTCTCTTTTTTACAATTGAATCATGCAAGTGATCATACGACTGAAGTAGGTAAGTCATCTTTATAATTAGTGCTAGAAGATGTCCAGGTTACAAGTAAGGTAAGTAGTTGGTTTTTGGTTTCCAGAGGTAATTTAATACCAGCAGAGTGTGCTAAAATGTATAGTTTCTCCCTCTTAAAATAAATATCTAATATTTTCATAAAATCATAAACTAGATAAATGTAGATACATTGACTAATTGTTCTGAAAAGTTTGGATGAGGATATCACTTGTCACTGTTTAGCTTTCTTGAACAGAGCTCCACTTGAAACCTAGGGGCCCTTGTACCCATGCCTCTAGGCTCCTTTAGAGCTAAATCAGTTTTCTTTCAGTTGGAATCTCAGCTACAGGAAAGTAATTAAAGCACATAAGATTATATTCACCTCATGCTCCAACTAGAAGGCAAAGCTCAACCGCTGATCTTTTTATATAGCCCAGTGAAAGATGGTTGTTTGCTACTTCTTTAAGTTTTCAGTGCCTTTTCTTCCCAGCAAAGTATCAGTCTTCCAAGAAAAAAATAACTCTTCTCAATTTCTGACTCTTTCTTTATAGAATCAAAGAACATTAGTGCTTGTAGGGAATTTAGCAAACCTGCAAGCCAGTGGTTTTCCAACTACTTTTAGCATTGGATTAATTTTTTTTCAAATGGATTATTTCATGGAAGCCTAATGTATAAAACAGATAGAAGCAGAAATCCTCCGTTGAAGTGTGGGTTATGGGGTCTGCAATGTCTGCCCACTTGACCTCTCCTTGCCTTTCTCATCCCTGAGGTAGCCCTTAAGCTGTGTGCTCAAGCCACACCATTTGAACCTGAACCTTAGGGCTTCACAAAACAGTTTGAAATCTATGATTGCATTCAAGTTCACTCATACTGGGAAACTGAGTCCAGTGGGGGAAAATGTTCAAGGGTATGAAAGATGGCTGGAGGAGTCAGTTAGTCTGGTCAGCAGGGCCAGAGTCCATGTATACAGAGCATGTAGTGGAAGTGGAATTTTAGTTCTATGGAGTCCCTTGTGAATAGTTATAGATGTACACAGGTCCTGGTCTACAGTAAACATATTTGATATTTCTGTAGAATTCCTTCAGCTCATTCCCCTGGGAGGAGTGTAATCTCTTCCTCCACACCTCCACCCCCACTCCGCCACCAAGCACCAAGGACACCCTTGAGGAAATACCTCATGACCCTCTGATACATACTCTGGTTGGGTCTGGATGATACACTCTTGGTTTGGCCCCGGGAAACTTGTGAAATCTTCCAATTAGTTTAAAGCAACCTAATCTTACCTTTCTGTGACTTTCTTCTTCCCTTGGCATTTGGGCTTTTGCTCAAGATGCTAGTCAGGGGGCCCAAAAAGCCTGCTGATCTTATTCAGGCCAATATGCTCCCTTCAGATGTTCTACCTTTAACCAAATTGAACCAAATTGTTTCTTTTACATAATGCAAGCTCTCCTTCCTTTGGACAGAGATGCCACTCCTCAGGGACCCCAAGTTTTGGGGAATGAGATCAAAAGAGATAGCTAATGATCTATGCCTTCTCAGTGAAGGGGAAACTGTCATTTTGGAGTGGCTCCTGTAGCAAGGGTTGGGGGGAAACAGGCTTTCAATCAGCATGTATGGCTCAAGATATATGCCATGTTTGGCATCATGCTCAAAAAGCCTTTGTCAGATTATCTTAAACATGGTGCCAGATGATTTCATGGCCTTGGGTGAGTGGTATTCCCCACTGTGTGAATGGCTTCCCTTGGAGTTGTATGACCCTCAGGTACTGAAGATGATGTTAATTGGACTTACAGCCCCAAGTTCTGGGACAGTGCATTCTGACATGAATATGTTTGTGTGGGCAAACCATGATTATTAGGACCAAAAGGGTCCTAAGAGATTAGCAGTTTAACCCCGTCATTTTATTAATGCATTTTTAAGAACTCAAAAGGGTAGAAAAGTCTTCCCCGAGGTCACATAGATGAGGGCAGAATTTGGAACAGAAGCCAGGCTTTCTAAGTCCCAATGATTGCCCTTACCACTGTACATGATGCTTCTCTACATGTAAGGGACATGAAATTACCTCCACAGTGGAAAATAAAGTCCATGTATTTCACTAAAATATTTGTATTTTCACTTGTCTTTTGAATGGTGAGAAGCAAAATGAGGGAGTTGCTAGAGGAGCTGGGAGCCTGGGAGGTTGGGGACTATTCCCTGGATTCATTGTATCAACATATTGTATAAAGACCCAGGCCTAGATATGTCTTGGAGCCATTGCTAGGAGTGAGATTAATGGAAAAATAGGCTCAGAAACTTAATAAGAGGAATGTGAACATTAAAAAAAATCTGCCCCATTGCTCAGCAAACTCTAAGACCACCCTCAGTGCTGGTGGATAAGACCCAAACACTGGCAGATTTTCTTCTCATCATAGTCAGACTTGAGCACCCAAGATAACTTAATATACTGAAATGATGCAATTAAGGCAGGCTCCTCAGGCTCAGAGTCCAGTCTCACTCACTTTAACAAATATAATTTGGGTAACATAATGAAAAACAACATTCTTTTTGTGAGTGGATGTAGATTATAAGAAAAAGGACCACATGGATTAGCCTTGGCAAGCAAAGAGAAAGCACTAAATTTGGTCCTTATGAAAATGTGTTCTGTAAATGTCTGGTGGTTACACAAGTGATAGAACTTAGTCAAAACTGTGTATCTGTGTGTTTTTGCACACACGCACATACATGCTTGCATGTATCTGTGCATGCGCATAACTCTGACCATCATCTTCTTAATTCTAGGTCATACATTTACACATGTTAGCTCATCTTTCAAAGCAACCTTATTTATCTAAGCCCCTTCTTCTATGGAAGTTAAAAACTTAGATTGAGAACTGGGCAGTGACTTGTCCAAGGTCATTAACACATTAATAACAAAACCTGGGCCAAGACATGTCTCCTGACTGCCAGTCTTGTAGTTAGCAGTAGGCTGATGTGACTGGGACACTACTCCAAGGAGCCATCACAGTCAACCTTGGTCATATCTCTTTAAAAATTATCTTTTCTCTTTGCTTCAAAGAGTGGCTTTTGCCTGTTGTCCCTGAAACAATATCTTTTATCATAGCAATAAGGATTGTCTGTAAGCCAGAGATTCCCTGTATTAAGCTGCAAAAGTCTTTACTGCTCTGGAGAGAAATGCCTAGAGAGATAGAAAGGTAGGCAGGAGAGCAGTGGGTATATGGTCACAAAAAGGCATGTGACAAGTGGCCCCAGATTTGAAGGTATATGATCCTTTGAAGTAGCTGACAGTGGCAGAAAGTGCCACTGTCACTGATTTATTTAAGTGCCAACATTATGTCAGGCACTTTGGTGTGGTAAAAGAATACAGCCTTTAGCATCTGAGTGTCCACTTCAAATTCAACCTTGACCACTTGCTGGAGGTATGAGCTTTGTACAAGTCATCTGAACTCTCTAAGCCTGAATTTCATCATCTATTAAGTAGGAAGACTATAGTACCCAACTTCTAGGGTTGTTGGGAAGACTTTAGATGAAATTATCTATCTATCTATCTATCTATCTATCTATCTATCTATCTATCTATCATCTGTCTATCTATCTATCATCTATCTATCTATATATGTACACACATATTTATATATACACATGCACATATACACATGTGTGTGTGTGTATGTGTGTGATCACACAATTTCTGGTATATAGTGAATATGATGGAATAAATGTTCTCTGCCTGCTGTGTGGAATGCAGAGATGGAGATGTAGACCCTGACTTTAGGGAAGGTGCAGCCTAAAAAGGGAGATAAACGATGTATTCAAATGACATACACTTTTACAGTTTCAATTCTTTGGCTCTCTCTATATACAGTTATAAATACTGCTCATTACCTATCTAATATCCTTTTCTTAATTTCTTCTGTACTAAAAAAAATACCTGACTATATGGGGCTGCAATATGCCCAGTTAATTTCTTGAGTGTCTGAGCAGCAAAAGGTAATCATGTGATGCAGTTCTGGCCAATGAGATGTACGTGGAAATCTACTAGGTGGGGCTTTAGGGAACATTATTGTTTTCCTAACAAAAGAGACAAATGTTGCTGACTTTCTCCATCCAGCCTTTTCTTCATCCTGCTTGGAATGCACATGTAATGTCTAGAGTTGCAGCAGTCGTTTTGCAAAATGAAATATTGTGGAGCTGCTGTATCTTCCCTGGACTGCATGCCATCAGCCTTCTGGCTTCATGAGAAGAAGAAAATCAATTTCCTGTTTAAGTAACTGGACTTGGGTTTCTGTTACATGTAGCTGAACACAATCCTGACTGACACAGTAAAGTTTCTGATTTTTTTTTCCAGATCTACTGGAATTTTCCATTAGAATTGAAGGAAGTATGACACTTATTCTTTAGGAGGTCCATGCTATTGGAGGGAGCTGGGAAGTTTCATTTGAAACAGAAATGAAAGATACTGTCTCACCAGATATTTTATCCCTCATTCTAATAAGAAGGCCCTTTGAGATACAGAAAGACATTTTTGCTGAAATTTGGGGCCTTTATCTTCAGGTGAGTCCACCAACAACAGGAATTTTGTTACAGTGTCATCTTTGTTCCAGGTACATCCTTTAGCAACTGACTGTTCAAATCAAAATCTGCCTAGACCACTTGCTAGAGGCTTAGTATGGGAGGTAAAAGCTACGGTCAAAGGTTTGATAATGGAACATACCAGTAGTAATGAGGCTACACATTGAGAAGAGAGGCTTGTTATTGAAAGCATCTTGATGACGGAAACTAGAGTATAAACAACAGGGAATGCTCTTGGGGTTGTCTGACATTGTCCTTGACCAACATTCCTCGGGCACCAGATCTCCTCAGAGGTGCCTTGAAGTCTCAGATAGTGAGTCCCAGTAATAAGCATCTCCTTTCATGATAGCATTTGCTGTTTTCATACTCTTTCTCTTGGCCCTATTCCAAAGAGCATGATCTAAGGTAGAAAGGGCTCAGTGCCTGAGGAAGGTACAGAGACGGGGTATAAGAATTCAAAGTAGGGGAAATCCAGATGACTTTTTGGTACAGATGGCGTTAGAATTGGAACTTAAAGGATGCACAGCATTTGTACATGGGGAAGAAGGTAGTGGAAATAGGAAAAGGATATCCCAGGCAGAGGGGAAAAGAGTGAGAAGAAACAGAGATCGGGGGTGTGGTCTTGCTTGATGAGCAGGGCTTAATCACTTTGGGAAGTTAGAGACATTAGGGAAACTTAAAAAGGACCTTATAATAGTTAACAATAATGTATTGTATATCTCAAAATAGCTGTAAAAGAGGATTTTGAGTGTTCTCACCACAAAGAAATGATAAATGCTTGAGATAGTGAATATGTCAATTACCCTGATTTGATCATTACATAGCATAGCATATATGTGTGTCAAAACTCACCCTGTGTTCCATAAATATGCACAATTATTATGTGTCAATTAAAAATAAAAAAGCAAACAAAGGGCAGTATGTAGTCTCACCCAACTCTGGAGTCTTTCCTGGGACTGACAATCTATTCTAATTCTTGGAGGTGTGCAAATCAGATTCTGTCACCCTCTTCCCTATTCAAAACCACCAATGGCCTCTCCTTACATTTATAACATCATCCACAATTAATTCTATAGAGTTAAAATTTTGGAGATAATTTTTTAGTACTTTTGTAAATATTCTTTGAAGAGAAGTGCCAAAAGACTAATCAGATTCTAGAAAGTACAGACAAAAAAACTTGATGTTGAGACAGCCAGATGGAAAAGGCTTCCTGGCAGAACCTCTGACCGACCTGCACACTGGGAGGAATGCGCACTGGGGTGGAGCCTTGGGAAGTTTGCACCATTTGCAGTGGGGAGGAGCCTGGTCTCTCCTCTCCCTGGGTGGTACCTGGGATTCAATCTGTGAGGCAGGATGTGCACTAGCAGGACTATGGCTTTGTGGAGGGTCCACGTTTCCCTTTTTTCCCTTTTCGTCCAATAAATTTCATTTTTTCTCACCCTTCAAAGTGTCTGTGAGCCTAATCTCTCATGGCCATGTGACAAGAGACTGCCTCTTAGCTGAACTGAGGAAAAAGTCCTATAACAATGTCAGTGCTCAGCAACAATTTAAGATTGATTAGTAGGCTCATGGTTTGTGAGCATCTAGAAAATAAAGTGATTGCTAGGAGTTGGTCTACCAAAAGAAATGAATTTCTTCTCTGAATGTGGTTATTAGATTTGCAGACAGAGAATGCTTTAGTCATGGTGTATATTGATTTTGGTATATTTTCTCTGTGATATCTTTGTTGGCAGAATGCAGATAAGTGGGCTGAATAATGAAACTGCGCAAGATTCATAATTTGAACCCAAAGGTGACATATTCATGCTTTATGTCACCCTAAAGCAGATCTTTATAGCCACTTTGGACTGGGTCCCTTTCCAGTCAACATTTTAATCAATGATATGGATGAAGACATAAAAAGTGAGCTGATAAAATTGCAGATGATACAAAGCCGGGAGAAGGAGGTAATATGTGGAATGAATCGAGATGTAAAAAAATTGTTGGACAGGCTAAAATAACAACCCAAAACAAGAACAATGACAATAAATAGGAAGAAAATAAGTCCTGTTTTGCAACTTCAAAGTCTAGGACAGGGAAATCTGACTGAATTACAATTCTTTTTTTTCCTAAAAGAAAGCTATTTTTATTGTGAAATATTATACAAACCAAAAAGTGCTAAGAAAAAAATACTGTAGGAACAGTTTACATTTTTTTGAAATACTGTAGCAATTTTTAAAATTATACTGCACCCATTAACTCGTCATTTAACATTAGGTATATCTCCTAATGCTATCCCTCCCCCCTCCCCCCACCCCACAACAGGCCCTGGTGTGTGATGTTCCCCTTCCTGTGCCCATGTGTTCTCATTGTTCAATTCCCACCTATGAGTGAGAACATGCAGTGTTTGTTTTTTTGTCCTTGCTATAGTTTGCTGAGAATGATGGTTTCCAGCTTCATCCATGTCCCTACAAAGGACATGAACTCATCCTTTTATATGGCTGCATAGTATTCCATGGTGTTTATGTGCCACATTTTCTTAATCCAGTCTATCATTGCTGGACATTTGGCTTGGTTTCAAGTCTTTGCTATTGTGAATAGTGCCACAATAAACATACGTGTGTATGTGTCTTTATAGCAGCATGATTTATAATCCTTTGGGTATATACCCAGTAATGGGATGGCTGGGTCAAATGGTATTTCTAGTTCTAGATCCCTGAGGAATCGCCACACTGACTTCCACAATGGTTGAACTAGTTTACAGTCCCACCAACAGTGTAAAAGTGTTCCTATTTCTCCACATCCTCTCCAGCACCTGTTGTTTCCTGACTTAAATAACGAGTTAATGGGTGCAGCACACCAACATGGCACATGTATACATATGTAACTAACCTGCACATTGTGCACATTTACCCTAAAACTTAAAGTATAATAAAAAAATTATACTTTATGTTCTGAAATACATGTGCAGGATGTGCAGGTTTGTTGCATAGGTATACACGTGCCATGGTGGTTTGCTGCACCCATCAACCCGTCATGCATGTTAGGTATTTCTCCTAATGCTATATCTCCCCCAGCTGCCCCTACCAACAGGCCCTGGTGTGTGATGCTCCCCTTCCTATGTCCATGTGTTCTCATTGTTCAACTCCCACTTATGAGTGAGAACATGTTGTGTTTGGTTTTCTGTTCTTGTGTTAGTTTGCTGAGAATGAAGATTTCCAGCTACATCTATGTCCCTGCAAAGGACATGAACTCACCCTTTTTTGTGGCTGCATAGTATTCCATGGTGTATATGTGCCACATTTTCTTTATCCAGTCTATTATTGATGGACTTTTGGGTTGGTTCCAAGTCTTTGCTATTGTGAACAGTGCTGCAATAAATATATGTGTGCATATGTCTTTATAATATAATGATTTTTAATCCTTTGGGTGTATACCCAGTAATATGATTGCTGGGTCGAATGGTATTTCTGGTTCTAGATCCTTGAGGAATCACCACACTGTCTTCCACAATGGTTGAACTAATTTACACTCCCACCAACAGTGTAAAAGCATTCCTATTTCTCCACATCCTCTCCAATATCTGTTGTTTCCTGAATTTTTAATGATCACCATTCTAACTTGCATGAGATGGTATCTCATTGTGATTTTGATTTGCATTTCTCTAATATCCAGTGATGATGAGTTTTTTTTCATATGTTTGTTGCCCACATAAATGTCTTCTTTTGAGAAGTGCCTGTTCATATCCTTCACCAACTTTTTGAAGGGGATGTTTGTTTTTTTTCTTGTAAATCAGTTTAAGTTCCTTGTAGATTCTGGATATTAGCCCTTTGTCAGATGGATAGATTGCAAAATTTTTCTCCCATTCTGTAGGTTGCCTGTTCACTCTGATGATAGCTTCTTTTGCTGTACAGAAGCTCTTTAGTTTAATTAGATACCGTTTGTCAATTTTGGCTTTTTTTGCCATTGCTTTTGGTGTTTTATTCGTGAAGTCTTTGCCCATGCGTATGTCCTGAATGATATTGCCTAGGTTTTCTTCTAGGTTTTTTATAGTTTTAGGTCTTACATTTAAGTCTTTAATCCATCTTGAGTTAATTTTTGTATAAGGTGTAAGGAAGGGGTCCAGTGTCAGTTGTCTGCTTGTGGCTAGCCAGTTTTCCCAACACGATTTGTTAAATAAGGAGTCATTTCCCCATTGCTTGTTTTTGTCAGGTTAGTAAAGAGCAGTTTGTTGTACATGTGTGGCATTATTTCTGAGGCCTCTGTTCTGTTCCATTGGCCTATATATTTGTTTTGGTACCAGTACCGTGCTGTTTTGGTTACTGTAGCCTTGTAGTATAATTTGAAGTCAGGTAGCATGATGCCTCCAGCTTCGTTCTTTTGGCTTAGGATTGACTTGGCAATGCGGGCTCTTTTTTGGTTCCATATGAACTTTAAAGTAGTTTTTTCCAATTCTGTGAAGAAAGTCATTGGTAGCTTGATGGGGATGGCATTGAATCTATAAATTACCTTGGGCAGTATGGCCATTTTCACGATATTGATTCTTCCTACCCATGAGCATGGAATGTTCTTCCATTTGTTTGTATCCTCTTTTATTTCATTGAGCAGTGGTTTGTAGTTCTCCTTGAAGAGGTCCTTCATGTCCCTTGTAAGTTGGATTCCTAGGTATTTTATTCTCTTTGAAGCAATTGTGAATGGGAGTTCACTCATGATTTGGCTCTCTGTTTGTCTATTATTGATGTATATGAATGCTTGTGATTTTTGCACATTGACTTTGTATCCTGAGACATTGCTGAAGTTGCTTATCAGCTTAAGGAGATTTTGGGCTGAGATGATGGGGTTTTCTAAATGTATAATCATGTCTTCTACAAACAGAGACAATTTGACTTCCTCTGTTCCTATTTGAACACGCTTTATTTCTTTCTCTTGCCTGATTACCCTGGCCAGAACTTCCAACACTATGTTGAATAGGAGTGGTGAGAGAGGGCATCCTTGTTTTGTGCCAGTTTTCAAAGGGAATGCTTCCAGCTTTTGTCCATTCATTATGATATTGGCTGTGGGTTTGTGATAAATAGCTCTCATTATTTGGAGATAAAGTTTCTTCAATACCTAATTTATTGAGAGTTTTTAGCATGAAGGGGTGTTGAATTTTATTAAAGACCTTTTCGGCATCTATTGAGATAATTATGTGGTTCTTGTCATTGGTTCTGTTTATGTAATGGATTATGTTTATTGATTTGCATATGTTGAACCAGCCTAGCATCCCAGGGATGAAGCTGACTTGATTGTGTTGGATAAGTTTTTTGATGTGCTGCTGATTTGGTTTGCCAGTATTTTATAGAGGATTTTCACATCGATGTTCATCAGGGATATTGGACTTAAATTTTCTTTATTTGTTGTGTCTCTGCCAGGTTTTGGTATCAGGATGATGCTAGCCTAATAAAATGAGTTAGGGAGGAGTTCCTCTTTTTCTATTTTTTGGAATAGTTTCAGAAGGAATGGTACCAGCTCCTCTTTGTACCTTTGATAGAATTTGGCTGTGAATTCATCTGGTCCTTGTTTTTTTTATTATTTTTAAATTTTTGGTAGGCAATTAATTACTGCCTCAATTTCAGAACTTGTTATTGGTCTCTTCAGGGATTCGAATTTTTCCTGGTTTAGTCTTGGGAGGGTGTATGTGTCCAGGAATTTATCCATTTCTTCTAGACTTTGTAGTTTATTTGCGAAGAGGTGTTTATAGTATTCCCTGATGGTAGTTTGTATTTCTGTGAGATCAGTGGTGATGTGATCTTCCCTATATCTTTTTTATTGCATATATTTGATTCTTCTCTCTTTTCTTCTTTATTAGTCTGGCTATCGGTCTATCTATTTTGTTAATCTTTTCATAAAGCCACCTCCTGGATTCACTGATTTTTTGAGGGTTTTCTTTATGTCTCTCTCTCCTTCTGTTCTTCTCTGATCTTAGTTATTTCTTGTCTTCTGCTAGCTTTTGAATTTGTTTGCTCTTGCATCTCTAGTTCTTTTAATTGTGATGTTAGGGTGTCAATTTTAGATCTTTCCCACTTTCTGATGTGGGCATTTAGTGCTATAAATTTCCCTCTAAACACTGCATTAGCTGTGTCCCGGAGATTCTGGTGCATGGTATTTTTGTTCTCAGTGGTTTGAAATAACTTATTTATTTTTGCCTTAATTTCGTTATTTACCCAGTAGTCATTCAGGAGCAGGTTGCTCAGTTTCCATGTAGTTGTGCAGTTTTCGGTGAGTTGTTAAATCCTAAGTTGTAGTTGGATTGCACTGTTGTTTGAGAGACTGTTTATTATGATTTCCGTTCTTTTGCATTTGCTGAGGAGCGTTTTACTTTCAATTATGTGGTCAATTTTAGAATAACTGCAAGGAGGTGCTGAGAAGAATGTATCTTCTTTTGATTTGTGGTGGAGTGTTCTGTCAATGTCTATTGGGTCCACTTGGTCCAGAGCTGAGTTCAAGTCCTGAATATCCTTTGTTAATTTTCTTCCTCATTGATCTGTCTACTATTGACAATTGGGTGTTAAAGTCTCCCACTGTTATAGTGTGGGTGTCTAAGTCTCTTTGTAGGTTTCTAAGAACTTGCTTTATGAATCTGAGTGCTCAGGTATTGGGTGCATAGATATTTAGCATAGTTAGCTTTTCTTGCTGCATTGATCTCTTTACCATTATGTAATGCCCTTCTTTGTCTATTTTGATCTTTGTTCGTTTAAAGTCTGTTTTATCAGAGACTAGGATTGCAACCCCTGCCTTTTTTTTTTTCTGTCCATTTGCTTGGTAAACATTCCTGCATCCCTTTATTTTGAGCCTATGTGCATCTTTGCACAAGGGATGGGTCTCCTGAATACAGCACGTCGATGGGTCTTGACTCTATCCAATTTGCCCATCTGTGTGTTTTAATTTGGCATTTAGCCCACTTACATTTAAGGTTAATATTGTTATGTGTGAATTTGATTCTGTAATTATGATGCTATCTGGTTATTTTGCCTGTTAGCTGATGCAGTTTCCTCATAGCGTTGATGGTCTTTACAATTTGGTATGTTTTTGTATTGGCTGTTACTGGCTTTTTTCCCCCATATTTAGTGCTTCCTTCAGGAGCTCTTATAAGACAGGCCTGGTGGTGACAAAACGTTTCAGCATTTGTTTATCTTTACAGGATTTTATTTCTCCTTCACTTATGAAACTTAGTTTGGCTGGATATAAAATTCTGGGTTGAAAATTATTTTCTTTAAGAATGTTGAATAATTGGCTCCCACTCTCTTCTGGCTTGTAGGGTTTCTGCAGAGAGATTCATGGTTAATCTGATGGGCTTCCCTTTGTGGGTAACCCGACCTTTCTCTCTGGCTGCTCTTAACATTTTTTTCCTTCATTTCAACGTTGGTGAATCTGAGGATTATGTGCCTTGGGGTTGCTCTTCTCAAGGAGTATTTTTGTGGTGTTCTTTGTATTTTCTGAATTTGAATTTTGGCCTGTCTTGTTAGCTTGGGGAAGGTCTTCTGGGTAATATTCTGAAGAGTGTTTTCCAACTTGGTTCCATTCTCCCCATCACTTTCAAGTACACCAATCAAACTTAGGTTTGGTCTTTTCACATAGTCCCATGTTTCTTTGAGGCTTTGTTTGTTGCTTTTCATTCTTTTTTCTCTAATCTTCACACTTTATTTCATTAAGCTGATCTTTAATCTCTGATATTCTTTCTTCCGCTTGATCAATTCCACTATTGGTACTTGCATATGCTTCACAAAGATCTTGTGCTGTGTTTTTCAGCTCCGTCAGGTCATTTATGTTTTCCTATAAAATGGTTATTTTAGTTAGCAATTCCTCTAACCTTTTATCAAGATTCTTAGCTTTCTTGTATTGGGTTAAAACATGCTCCTTGAGCTCAGAGGAGTTTGTTATTACCCACCTTCTGAAGCCTACTTCTGTTAATTCATCAAACTCATTCTCTGTGCATTTTGCTCTCTTGCTGGTGAGGAGTTGTGATCCTTTGGAGGAGAAGAGGCATTCTGGTTTTTGGAATTTTCTGCCTTTTTGTGCTGATTTTTCCTCATCTTCATGGATTTATGTACTTTTGGTCTTTGATGTTGGTGACCTTCGGTTGGGGTTTCTGTGTGGACGTCCTTTTCATTGATGTTGATGCTATTCCTTTCAGTTCGTTAGTTTTCCTTCTAACAGTCATGCCTCTCTGCTGCTGGTCTGCTGGAGTTTGCTGGAGGACCACTCCAGACCCTCTTTGCCTGGGTATCACCAGCGGAGGCTGCAAAACAGCAAAGATTGCTGTCTGTTTCTTCCTCTGGAAGTTTTGTCTCAGAGAATCGCCCACCAGATGCCAGCCAGAGCTCTCCTGTATGAGGTGTGTCTGTCGACCTCTGCTGGGAGTTGTCTCCCAGTAAAGAGGCACAGGGGTCAGGGACCCACTGGAGAATGCAGTGTGACCCTTAGCAGAGCTCAAGCACTGTGCTGGGAAATCCACTGCTCTCCTCAGAGCTGGCAGGGAGGAACGTTTAAGTCTGCTGAAGCTGTGCCCACAGCCACCCCTTCCCCCAGTTGCTCTGTCCCAGGGAGATGGGAGTTTTATCTATAAGCCCCTTACTGGGGATGCTGCTTTTCTTTCAGAGATCCCCTGCCCAGAGATAGGAATCTAGAGAGGCAGTCTAACTACAACAGCTTTGCTGAGCTGCAGTGGGCTCTGCTCAGTCTGAACTTCCTGGGTGTCTTTGTTTACACTGTGAGGGGAAAACCACCTACTCAAGCGTTAGTAATGGCAGATGCCCCTTCCCCCACCAAACTCTAGTGTCCCAGGTCGACTTCAGACTGCTGTGCTGGCAGTGAGAATTTCAAGCCTGTGATTTTAGCTTGCTGGGCTCCTCGGAGGTGGGATTTGGTGAGCTAGACTGCTTGGCTCCCTGGCTTCAGCCCACATTCCAAGGGAGTGAACGTTTCTGTCTTGCTGGCGTTCCAGGTGCTACTGGGGTATGAAAAAACAAAACAAAACAAAAAATCCTGCAGCTAGCTCAGTGCCTGCCCAAACGGCAGCCCAGTTTTGTGCTTGAAACCCTGGGCCCTGGTGGGGTAGGCACCTGAGGGAATCTCCTGGTCTGTGGGTTGAGAAGACTGTGGGAAAATCATAGTATCTGGGCCGGAGTGCATCATTCCTCATGACACATTCCCTCATGGCTTCCCTTGGCTAGTGGAGGGAGTTCCCTGACCCATTGTGCTTCCTGGGTGAGGTGATACCCCCCTGTTTCGGGTCTCCCTCTGTGGGCTGCACCCACTGTCTAACCAGTCCCAATGAGATGAGCCATGTACCTCAGTTGGAAATGCAGAAATTACCTGCCTCTATGTTGATTTCACTGGGAGCTGCAGACTGAAGGTGTTCCCCTTTAGCCATCTTGCCAGCCACCACTCTGGAATACAATTCTTACAGCTAAGACTTCAGGGTGGTAGTTAAAAACAAACTAAGTAGGAGCCAAAATTATGACATGACTGCTATAAAAAGCTACTACCATCATAAGCTACTTTTAGCATATGCAGACTAAAGAATGTTAGCTCCAGGGTACTTTGGACTTTGAGAGACTTCCAATTAGTGACTTTCAGGGCATTGTATTCTACTGGTTCTCCTGTTGCTCTTTGGGCTATTCTTCAGTTTCATTTGGAAACTCTTCTCCTTCCTCCTGAATGTGAGTTTCCTCAGAGTTTCGTTTTTGATTATCTTCTCTTTTCATTCTTTATTTTCCTTGGGTAAGCTCACCATTCCCAAAGCTTTGGACATCATTTATATGCTGAGGGCTTCCAAATCTGTATCTCTCTTCTCCATCTTCACTGTCACTATCCTAGTCTAGGCCTTTGCTTTTACTCACCTAGACACTGAAGTATCCTCTTAACTGGTCTTCTTTCTGTACCAGCCTCATTGCCTTTACTCCACTTTCTATGGAATGACTGGAGTTGCCCTTTTAATGCAGTGGCTAGATCCTGTCACTTCTCTCCCTTATAATTATGAAATAACTAAACCCAAAATCCTTAACCTAGCATTCAAGAGCCCTCCTCCTCTAGCCTCTGCTACTTTTTTTCTGATGTCATCTCTTATTACATTTCCCCAAGAATCCTACATATAGTCATTCTATATCTAGTGAGTAATGGGTACCAAGGCTAAGTGACTTCTCCTTCAGTCATAGCTGATTACCTACTCTTAGCTCAATAGTTCACTTACTTCTCTGCCTTCATGACCTTGCTTATGATCTCTTAGCCTGGATTGATGCCTCTCATCATTTCTAGCTCTTGAAATCTAACTCATCCTTCAAGCCTTAGCTTCTATGTCACCTCCTCTGTGAAGTTGGTTATAATCTCCCAATCACATTTAATGGTACTTTTCCTTTTAATCACTGAGCTCTTTGCTTGTACTTGATCATATTATATAATTCATTCTGATTGGTGTTAATGTTTGTTATATATATATCTATTAATCCTCCTCGACTGTAATCACCATACTATACTTTTAAGTAAATGTTTGTCTGTTTGTTAATTAAAGGCAACAAACTTTTGATGGATTCTGGTAAAAAGGATGGGGAGGACGGCCTCACTTAAGGAGTTCCCTACCTTACCCTGTTTCTGGAACCTAACATCCTGGATAAGTGTGAACACTCTCCAGGTGTTTTTCTTCTATAACTTATCTGGTTATATCTTTCTTTCTTTCTTTTTATTTTTTTGAGATGGAGTTTCACTCTTGTCACCCAGGCTGGAGTGTAGTGCATGATCTCAGCTCACTACAACATCTGCCTCCCAGGTTCAAGTGATTCTCTTGCCTCAGCCTCCCGAGTAGCTGGGATTACAGGTGTCTGCCACCATGCCCAGCTAATTTTTGTATTTTTAGTAGAGATGAGGTTTCACCATATTGGCCTGGCTGGCCTCGAACTCCTGACCTCAGGTGTTCTGCCCACCTTGGCCTCCCAAAGTGCTGGGATTACAGGCATGAGCCACCATGCTTGGCCTATGCTTTTCTTGATAACTTAGCTGATGGGCTGGGAAATGTTTCTGGAGAAAGGAATTTGATGAATGCAATAAAAGGGCTGCAATGAAGGCATGCTAATGGGGAATTGTTAGCAGTAAGGGGAAGTCTCCCACTTTCTGGGGAATGCCAAAATCCTAATGAGTCTTATTTGTAGGGAGGAGAAAAGGAGAAGGACGCTTATTTATACGGATGAGAAACTTATTCCTCCCTATGACCTTTCTGGCTGCCAGAGGGCACCTGGCAGGCTACAGAATACAGCTCCCCTAGGATGCTGTGAAGGTGAGACTTTGGGGCCAAGAAGGATGTAGAAGTCCATAATCTCTTTGGCGTTGTATAAAACTTTTCCCTCTCTTAGACGTAGATGCAATTGCCTCTCCCAGAAAACTGTGTGATAACAATTCCATTTCAGTGGGCATCTCCCCACCTCCAAGCACTCTAACCCTTAGAGATATTTTTCCTTAGCCTTCTACCCCCTAAAAGGGATAACAAAAATTTCATGATGTGCATGTGGAACCCAGAGCCTGGGCAATATAGCAAGACCCTGAGAACCTTTTTCTTTCTTAAAAAAGTTCATGAAGGGGCACTGATGGCTGATGGTAGGTTAGTTGTTCTTCCTGGGAGACTTAACATTTTTCAAGGACAATAACTGGGAGTGAAAAGTGAGGGACGGTGACCAGGGATTTCCCACACGAATAGATATAATTTTGTTGTAAGCATTAAGAAAGTAAAAATCAACTAAAATCTTACCACCCAGAAAAAACTATAGTAGACTTCATTTAGGACATCTTTCTGTTTACACAAACATAAACACACATAAACATACATTCAAAATTTCATACAAATGAGATTGTAGTTTATAAGCTATTAGAATTAAACTCCATAAGAGTGGGGCCAAGATCTTGTTTTCCATTTTCTTCCCAGTGCCTAGAACAGTGCCTGGTACATAGTAGATAACTCAATAAATATATGCCTAATGAATATATATACCATTTTGAAATAGGTCTTAAAAAACCTGACAATGCATCTTTCCATGTCTATATATATTATAATATCCTAGATCTGTGAGGGTAATTTTTAAAGTTTTCTCTTGCCCTCTCTTTATCTCACTGTTTCTTCTGATTTATTTTTTTTTAACTTTAATATAGGAGGCTTTCCTATAGGAATAGGACTTATCAACTGATGAACTTCACTGTAAGATGAATGAGTGAGAGAACCTAACTGGTTTACTGGGGACCCCACAATGACAGTATTTGTAGGTATTTTCTCTGAGAGCTGTTCAGTTTCTTCAGAACTGAATTCTCTAATTTCCTGCCTGGAAAATATATACCTGGCTGCTTGTGTTCTTAGAATCAAGCTATCTGGGGGGTAGAAATAGAGATCTTATGTTCAACTTTTATTCAATGCCCCTTTTTTCGATATGACACCATTTTCCACTCTACCTGGGATATCTGGGTTTGGGTCTTCTGTGGATCAATTTTCTTTGAATAAACTCAGAGTCTTTTGCCAGAATAAGGAAATGGTACTGACCTGGCTGAACAGGATGAGGTAAGGGACCTCAGAGCAGTCTAGCTGTACATCACACACACATGCAGAAAAACCCTGTTTCAACTTGTTGACACACTCCTGCCTTTTTTGAGACACTAGTCATTAGTGATTAGTGATCGACTAGTGATAGTGTCTTTAAGTCCTGAGCTCTCTAGGCATTCTGCAGCATGAATTACCTTGCTTCTTATGTCACATTCCTCTTTGCAGGCATTTGCTCTTTAGCTCTCTCAGCTCTGCTAATCCCCTTCTGCTTTCCATCTTCCAAAGACGTGTTGGCATATTTTATCTGTTGCTCCCTACTTTTCATTCTGTTTGTCTTTGTAGGTTTGTACCTACAAAGAAGAAAAAATTCTCTTCTTCTCATTTTAGTGCAGTTTTAGAAGGGATAATAGATAAATATGTATTTAATCTTCCATATTTAATGGGAAGTCCTCCAACTGTGTTTATCAAAATTAAACATCTACATGACCTTTGACCTGAAAAATCTCACTTATGGCAATACAACTGTCAGAAATAAAAGTAGTAGAATGTGTAGGTACATGTACTGGGGTGTTTACTACAATATTGTTTGTAATAGCAACAACTGGCCAGGTGCGGTGGCTCATGCCTATAATCCCAGCAATTTGGGAGGCCGAGGCAGGCATATCACACAAGGTCAGCAGTTCGATACCAGCCTGGTCAACATGGCAAAACCCTGTTTCTACTAAAAATACAAAAAATTAGCTGGGCATGGTGGCATGCGCCTGTAATCCCAGGTACTTGGGAGGCTAAGCCAGGAGAATCGCTTGATCCCAGGAGGTGGAGGTTGTGGTGAGCCGAGATCATGCCACTGCACTCCAGCCTGAGTGACAGAGCGAGACTGTGTCTAGGAAAAAAAAAATAGCAACAACCTGAACATTCACTGATAGGAAAATAGCTATAAAAATTATGGTAGATATGGACTATGTATTATTCGGTCATTAAAAGGAATAAGGCATATTGACTAGCAATGCTGTTCATGATATATTGCTAAGTAAAAGAGAAAGCCATAGTGACCCCATTTTTGTGAAAGAAAATAAACTCACACTATGTGTTTATATGTGTGAAACAGAAAGTGTGGAAGGATTTACCTTAAATTTTAGTAGTGGTTCCATTGTGGGGGTGGCTTTGAAGGGGGAATGGAATAAATCTATTAATTTTACTTTAGGAACTTTTGTATTATTTGAATTGTTTCAGTTAACCTGTGTTGCTTTTGTCATGCAAATGACAAAAATAAGCATATTTTTAAAGCATACTTTAAAAAGGTGTAGATGCAAGAATGTTCACTGAAGCATTATTTATGAGAATGATAAATTGGAAAAAATATAAATGTCTAACAAAAGACTGGTTAAATATGGTATGAAATATCCATGTAGCAGAATACCATGTGCCCCTTATAATGGCATTTTAACACAAATTTTAATGATGTGGGACAATGATTATGAATCAAGCAAAGTAGAAAAGGAAGATTAAAAATAGTATATATATAGTGATTTAAATATTGTAATTAAAATATCTATGCATAGAAAAGACTGGAAAGAAATATGCTATCTTGGTTATTTAGTACAACATTAATAAACCATCTTTAAGCTTAGTGATGTAAACTAACAACAAATCATTTATTATTCTCTCTCAAGACTCTAGGGGTTGACTGGGTCACTTACAAGGTTCTTGCTCAGAGTCTCTCATACAATTGCAGTTAGACGACAGCTGGGGCTGGAGAAATTTTGAAGGCTTCCTCATTCACACATGTCTGGCAGTTGATGCTGGTTGCTAACTAGGAACTCAGCTGGGGTTTTAACTGGAATGCTTTCATGTAGCCTCTCCATGTGGCCTGTGTTTCCTCATAGCATGACAGCTGGGTTCCAAGAACAAGTGTCCCAAGAGCCAGGTGGCAGCAGAATTGCTTTTTTGACCTAGCATTGGGAGTCATGCAACATCATTTTCACTGTATTCTATCTGTTAGAAGCAAGTCACCAAGGCCAGCCCATAATCTTGGCTGGGTTGGGGTGGTATTAAATTCCATCTCTTGATGGGACAGATGTCAAAGAATTTGTGAACTTGTTTTAAAGCCACCACCTGTCTGAAAATGTTTACAGTTAATGGTAAGATTATAAAGATTTAAATTTTATTCTTTTTTTGTGTTTTCTAAATTATCTACAGAAAACATATGTGACTTATAAATTAAGAAAAGGTAATGAAGTTCCATAGAGTAAATACGAGCCTGGGACAAAGTTAAAAGACCTGAATTGTAGTCCCAGCTCTGCTGTTAACTCACTGAACCTTGGATAAGTATCTTCTCTCTGAGCCTCACTTTTCTCACCTGTCACAATTAGAAGTTTGGACTACATGACCTCAGAGGGTTCTGCAAACTTTGGGGTTTTCAGGACTGTTTCCTTTTGTGACAACACTAGCTTCTGGCTTCTCTTTCTCATTTACCTTTGCATTCTCCTCTTCTTCTATTCATTCTTTATATTTTGATGCTTCCCAGGGCTCCATCTTGAGCCTGGGAGCCTCATTTCAAGCATTCTCACCATGTTCTCTACTCTTTTGCCACACATTCCGCATAGAGCTACAACTCAGGATAAGTCCAAATTCCCAACTGCTGAGACAAGCTAGGTCGTGGAGACCCTAACCCAGTGGTGCTAGAGGAATTAAAGACACACACACACACAGAAATATCACATGCCTTACGGGAAATAAAGGGATGGGCTGAAATAAAGGGATGGGCTGAAATAAAGGGATGGGCTCTGGCTAGATATCTGCAGCATGAACATGTCCTTAAGGCACAGATCACTCATGTTATTGTTTGTGGTTTAAGATCGCCTTAAGCGGTTTTCCACCCTGGGTGGGCCAGGTGTTCCTTGCCCTCATTCTGGTAAACCAACAACCTTCCAGCGTGGGTGTCAAGGCCATCATGAGCATGTCACAGTGCTGCAGATATTTTGTTTATGGCCGTTTTGGGGCCAGTTTATGGCCAGATTTGGGGGCCTGTTCCCAACACCAACACTTCTCTGCTCAACACTCAGGCTATTGAAAAAAAAATCACACAACAATGCAATTTGGAGTCAATGCAAATTTATGGTTTTGCATTTCCAGCTAGGCCTTCAACTGAGCTGCCCAGCAACCCTTCCATATGTCCCCATGCAGCTCATTCTTAATTTCTAAGTGGCTATTCAACATTTTAACTTTTCTTCTTCTTTTCAATTTTTTAGAGTTGGGTTATAGCTGTGTTGCTCAGGTTGGAGTGCAGTGGCTATTAACAGGTGTAATCCTAGTGAGCTGCAGCCTTGAACTGTTGGGCTCCAGCAATCCTCCTGCCTCAGCCTCCTGAATATCTGGGATTACAGGTGCATGCCACTAAACTCAACTCCACTTTTCTTCTTCATCCCTTTGCTCCACCCTCTCTCTTCTCATTTTTGGAAGTTGACTTTGTCTTCTACTTGACTGACAACATGAAGATAGGTAGGACTACCTATCTTCTCTCAACTTTTTCTTTCACCACCTATTAACTCATTTTCAAATCTGAGCTCATTATCTCCTCCTTTCCTTCTGTCTCAGTGGAGATGGTATAGGCTCTTCTGTTCAGAGCATATCCTTTACCCAAGCTTTGGATCTCATTCTATTCTGTTTCCTCAGACATTATGTGATTGAGCACTACTAGTCCTCCACCAAACACACACACTTCTGTATCTTCAATTTCTTCCTTTCTATTAGTTCTTTCTCCTCAACTTGTCATTGGATTAAGTATTTTATAGATGTATTTTATTTATATCCAGATGGTTGAGTGCTGTTGATTTCAACTATGTCCTTACTGATTTGCTGCCTCCTGGATCTGTCAGTTTTTGAAAGAGGGTGTTGAAGTCACCTACTATAATAGTGGATTCATCTATGTCTTTTTTAAAAAAATTATATTTTAAGTTCTAGGGTACATGTGCACAACGTGCAGGTTTGTTACATAGGTATACATGTGCCATGTTGGTTTGCTGCACCCATTAACTCATCATTTACATTAGGTATTTCTCCTAATGCTATTCCTCCCCTTGCCTCTCACCCCATGACAGCCCCCGTGTGTGATGTTCCCTGCCCTGTGTCCAAGTGTTCTCATTGTTCAATTCCAATCTATGGGTGAGAACATGCGGTGTTTGGTTTTCTGTCCTTGTGGTAGTTTGCTTAGAATAGATGTTTTCTAGCTTCATCCATGTCCCCGCAAAGGACATGAACTCATCATTTTTGTGGCTGCATAGTAATCCATGAGGTATATATGCCACATTTTCTTAATCCAGTCTATCACTGATGGACATCTGGGTTGGTTCCAAGTCTTTGCTATTGTGAATATTGCCACAATTAACATACGTGTGCATGTGTCTTTATGGCAGCATGATTTATATCCTTTGGGCATATACCCAGTAATGGGATCGCTGGGTCAAATGGTATTTCTAGTTCTAGATCCCTGAGGAATCACCACACTGTCTTCTACAATGGTTGAACTAGTTTACAGTCGCACCAAAAGTGTAAAAGTGTTCCTATTTCTCCACATCCTCTGCAGCATCTGTTTTTTCCTGAATTTTTAATGATCGCCATTTTAACTGGTGTGAAATGGTATCTCATTGTTGTTTTAATTTGCATTTCACTGACGACCAATGAAGATGAGCATTTTTTCATGTGTCTGTTTGCTGCATAAATGTCTTCTTTTGAGAAGTGTCTGTTCATATCCTTCACCTACTTTTTATGGGGTTGTTTGATTTTTTCTTGTAAATTTTTTTAAGTTCCTTGTAGATTCTGGATATTAGCCCTTTGTCAGATGGGTGGATAGCAAAAATTTTCTCCCATTCTGTAGGTTGCCTGTTAACTCTGATGGTAGTTTCTTTTGCTGTGCAGAAGCTCTTTAGTTTAATTAGATCCCATTTGTCAATTTTGGCTTTTATTGCCATTGCTTTCGGTGTTTTATTCATGAAGTCCTTGCCCATGCCTATGTCCTGAATGGTATTGCCTAAGTTTTCTTCTAGGGTTTTTATGGGTTTAAGTCTAACATTTAAGTCTTTAATCCATCTTGAATTAATTTTTGTATAAGGTGTAAGGAAGGGATCCAGTTTCAGCTTTCTACATATGGCTAGCCTGTTTTCCCAGCACCATTTATTAAATAGGGAATCCTTTCCCCATTTCTCGTTTTAGTCAGATTTGTCAAAGATCAGATGGTTGTAGATGTATGATGTTATTTCTGAGGGCTCTGTTCTGTTCCATTGGTCTATATCTCTGTTTTGGTACCAGTACCATGCTGCTTTGGTTACTGTAGCCTTGTAGTATAGTATGAAGTCAGGTAGTGTGATGCCTCCAGATTTCTTCTTTTTGCTTAGGATTTCCTTGGCAATGCAGGCTCTTTTTGGTTCCATATGAACTTTAAAGTAGTTTTTTCCAATTCTGTGAAGAAAGTCATTGGTAGCTTGATGGGGGTGGCATTGAATCTATAAATTACCTTGGGCAGTATGGCCATTTTCATGATATTGATTCTTCCTATCCATGAGCAGGGAATGTTCTTTCATTTGTTTGTTTCCTCTTTTATTTCATTGAGCAGCGGTTTGTAGTTCTCCTTGAAGAGGTCCTTCACGTCCCTTGTAAGTTGTATTCCTAGGTATTTTATTCTTTTTGTAGCAGTTGTGAATGGGAGTTCACTCATGATTTGGCTCTCTACTTGTCTATTGCTGGTGTATAGGAATGCTTGTGATTTTTGCACATTGATTTTGCATCCTGAAACTTTGCTGAAGTTGCTTATCAGCTTAAGGAGATTTTGGGCTGAGGCGATGGGGTTTTCTAAATATACAATCATATCATCTGCAAACAGGGACAATTTGACTTCCTCTTTTCCTAATTGAATACCCTTTATTTCTTTCTCTTGCCTGATTGCCCTGGCCAGAACTTCCAACACTACGTTGAATGGGAGTGGTTAGAGAGGGCATTACTGTCTTGGGCCGGTTTTCAAAAGGAGTGTTTCTAGCTTTTCCCCATTCAGTATGATATTGGCTGTGGGTTTGTCATAAATAGCTCACATTATTTTGAGATATGTTCCATCAATACCTAGTTTATTGAGAGTTTTTAGCATGAAGTGGTGTTGAATTTTGTCGAAGGCCTTTTCTGAATCTTTTGAGATAATCATATGGTTTTTGTTGTTGGTTCTATTTATGTGATGGATTACATTTATTGATTTGTATATGTTAAACTAGCTTCGCATCCCAGGGTTGAAGCCGACATGAACATGGTGGGTAAGCTTTTAAATGTGCTGCTGTATTCGGTTTGCCAGTATTTTATTGAGGATTTTTGCATCGGTGTTCATCAGGGATATGGTCTAAAATCTCTTTTTTGTGTGTGTCTCTGCCAGCCTTTGTTATCAGGATGATACTGGCCTCATAAAATGAGTGAGGGAGGATTCCCTCTTTTTCTATTGATTGGAATAGTTTCAGAAGGGATGGTACCAGCTCCTCCTTGTACCTGTGGTAGAATTCAGCTCCAAATCCGTCTGCTCCTGGACTTGTTTTGGTTGGTAGGATGTTAATTATTGCCTCAATTTCAGAGCCTATTATTGTTCTATTCAGAGATTCAACCTCTTCCTGGTTTAGTCTTGGGAGGGTGTATGTGTTGAGGAATTTATCCATTTCTTCTAGATTTTCTAGTTTATTTGCATAGAGGTGTTTATAGTATTCTCTGATGGTAGTTTGTATTTCTGTGGGATCAGTGGTGATATCCCCTTTATAATTTTTATTGCTTCTATTTGATTCTTCTGTCTTTTCTTCTTTATTAGTCTTGCTAGTGGTCTATCTATTTTGTTGATCTTTTCAAAAAACCAGCTCTTGGATTCATTGATTTTTTGAAGGGTTTTTTGTGTCTCCATCTCCCTCAGTTCTGCTCTGCTCTTATTTATTTATTGCCTTCTGCTAGCTTTTGAATGTGTTTGCTCTTGCTTCTCTAGTTGTTTTAATTGTGATGTTAGGGTGTTGATTTTAGATCTTTCCTGGTTTCTCTTGTGGGCATTTAGTGCTATAAATTTCCCTCTACACACTGCTTTAAATGTTTTCCAGAGATTCTTGTACCTTTTATCTTTGTTCTCATTGATTTCAAAGAACATCTTTATTTTTGGCTTCATTTTGTTATTTACCCAGTAGTCAATCAGGAGGAGGTTGTTCATTTTCCATGTAGCTGTGTGGTTTTGAGTGAGTTTCTTAATCCTGAGTTCTAATTTGATTGCACTGTGGTCTGAGAGACAGTTTATTGTGATTACTGTTCTTTTACATTTGCTGAGGAGTGCTTTACTTCCAACTATGTGGTCAATTTGGGAATAAGTGCGATGTGGTGCTGAGAAGAATGTATATTGTTTTGGGATGGAGAGTTCTGTAGATGTCTATTAGGTCTGCTTGGTGCAGAGCTGAGTTCAAGTCCTGGATATCCTTGTCAACCTTCTGTCTCATTGATCTGTCTAATATTGACGTGGGGTGTTAAAGTCTTTCATTATTAATATGTAGGAGTCTAAGTCTCTTTGTAGGTCTCCAATGACTTGCTGTATGAATCCAGGTGCTCCTGTATTGGGTGCATATATAGTTAGGATAGTTAGCTCTTCTTGTTGAATTGATCCCTTTACCATTATGCAATGTCCTTCTTTGTCTTTTTTGATCTTTATTGGTTTAAAGTCTGTTTTATCAGAGACTAGGATTGCAACCCCTGCTTTTTCTTTCTTTCCATTTGCTTGGTAGATCTTCCTCCATCCCCTTTTTTTGTACCTATATGTGTCTTTGCACGTGAGATATGTCTCCTGAATACAGCACATCAATGGGTCTTGACTGTTTATCCAATTTGCCAGTCTGTGTCTTTTAATTGGGGCATTTAGCCCATTTACATTTAAGGTTAATATTATTATGTGTGTATTTGTTCCTGTCATTATGATGTCAGCTGGTTATTTTTGCCCGTTAGTTGACGCAGTTTCTTCCTAGCATTGATGGTCTTTACAATTTGGCATCTTTTTGCAGTGGCTGGTACCAGTCATTCCTTTCCATGTTTAGTGCTTCCTTCAGGATCTCTTGTAAGGCAGGCCTGGTGTTGACAAAGTCTCTCAACATTTGCTTGTCTGTAAAGGATTTTATTTCTCCTTTGCTCATGAAGCTTAGTTTGGCTGGATATGAAATTCTGTGTTGAAAATTATTTTGTTTAGGAATGTTGAATATTGGCCCCCACTCTCTTCTTGTTTGTAGAGTTTGTGCTGAGAGATCCGCTGTTAATCTAATGGGCTTCCCTTTCTTGGTATCCCGACCTTTCTCTCTGGCTGCCCTTAACATTTTTTCCTTCATTTCAGCCTTGGTGAATCTGACAATTATGTGTCTTGGGGTTGCTCTTCTCGAGGAGTATCTTTGTGGTGTTCTCTGTATTTCCTGAATTTGAATGTTGGCCTGTCTTGCTAGGTTGGGGAATTTCTCCTGGATAATATCCAGAAGAGAGTTTTCCAACTTTTTTCCATTCTCCCTATCACTTTCAGGTACACCAATCAAATGTAGATTTGGTCTTTTCACATAGTCCCATATTTCTTGGAGGCTTTATTTGTTTCTTTTTACTCTTTTTTCTCTAAACTTCTCCTCCTGCTTTCTTTCATTAATTTGATCTTCAATCACTGATACCCTTTCTTCCACTTGATCAAATCAGCTACTGAAGCTTGTGCATGTGTCACGTAGTTCTTGTGCCATGGTTTTTGGCTCCATCAGGTCATTTAAGGTCTTCTCTACACTGTTTATTCTAATTAACCATTCATCTTATCTTTTTTCAAGGTTTTTAGCTTCCCTGCGATGGGTTCAAAGATTCTCCTTTAGCTCTGAGAAGTTTGTTATTACTGATCTTCTGAAGACTACTTCTGTCAGCTTGTCAAAGTCATTCTCCATCCAGCTTTGTTCCATTGCTGGTGAGGAGCTGTGATCCTTTGGAGGAGAAGAGGTGTTCTGGTTTTTAGCATTTTTAGCTTTTCTGCTCTGGTTTCTCCCTCTTTGTGGTTTTATCTACCTTTGTTCATTGATGCTGGTGACCAACAGATGGGGTTTTGGTGTCGATGTCCTTTTTGTTGATGTTGATGCTATTCCTTTCTGTTTGTCAGTTTTTCTTCTAACAGTCAAGACTCTCAGCTGCATGTCTGTTGGAGTTTGCTGGAGGTCCTTCCAGACCCTTTTTGCCTGGGTATCACCAGCGGAGGCTGCAGAGCAGCAAATATTGTAGAACAGCAAATATTGCTTCCTGATCCTTCCTCTGGAAGCTTCATTCCAGAGGGGCACCTGCCTGTATGAGGTGTCAGTCAGCTCCTACTGGGAGGTGTCTCTCAGTTAGGCTATGTGGGGTCAGGGACCCACTTGAGGAGGTAGTCTGTCCATTCTCAGAGCTGAAACACTGTGTTGGGAGAGTGATTGCTCTCTTCAGAGCTGTCAGACAGGGATGTTTTAGTCTGCAGAAGTTTCTACTTCCTTTTGTTCAGCTATGCCCTGCCCCCATGGTATGGTCTACAGAGGCAGCAGGCCTTGCAGAGCTGTGATGGGTTCCACCCACTTTGAGCTTCCCAGGCCACTTTGTTTACCTACTCAACCCTCAGCAATTGTGGACACCCCTCCCCCTGCCAGGCTGCTGCCTCACAGGTCGATCTTAGACTTCTGTGCTAGCAATGAGCAAGGCTCCATGGGTGTGGGACCCACCAAACCAGACAGGGGATATAATCTCTTGGTTTGCTGTTTGCTAAGACCACTGGAAAAGTGCAGTATTTGGCTGGAAGTGTCCCAATTTTCCAGGTACTGTCTGTCATGGCTTCCCTTGGCTAGCAAAGGAATATCCCCCAATCCCTTGCACTTTCCCTGGTGAGGTGATGTCCTGCCCTGCTTCAGCTCACCCTCTGTGGGCTGCACTGACTGTCCAACCAGTCCCAGTGGGATGAACCACGTACCTCAGTTGGAAATGCAGAAATCACCATCTTCTGCATCAATCATGCTTGGAGCTGCAGCCCGGAGCTGTTCCTATTCTGCCCTCTTGGAAAAGAATTGGATTCATCTATTTCTTCATGTGGTTCTACCAGTTTTTGCCTTATGTATATTAGGTGCATATACATTAAGGATTGCTAAGTCTTCTTAGTGAATTGACCCCTTTATCATTATGTAATGTTCCACATTATTCCTGATGATTTTCCTTGCTCTAAACGTCTCCTTTGTCTGAAATGAATATAGCTACTCAAGTTTTTTTGGGTTAGTGTTAGCATGGTATATCTTGCTCCATCTATTTATTTATTTAATTTTAATAAGTGATACATAATAATTGTAAATATTTATGGTTAACATGATATTTTAATACATGCAAACTGTGTGCAATTATCAAATAAGGGTATTTAAGATATTTATCACCTCAAATATTTATCTTTTTATGTTGAAAACATGTCAACTCTTCTAGTGATTTTTAAAGACACAAGAAATTATTGTTAACTCGGAGAGGCAAGATGGCTGGTTAGAATCAGCTGTGGTGCACAACACTCATAGAGAAGAATGAAAAGGGGAGAGTGAATTCAACACCTTCAATTGAAACATCCAGGTTATCACATTGGGACTGTATAGGCATGCAGAAGCTGGGGGTGATGGCCCACCAGGGAGCCACATGGAGCCAAAGGAACCCACATCTGCAGCCAGGGGAGGCAGTGAGTGATTATGTGACCTGCTGGGAAGCCATGCTTCTCCCACCAATCATTGCAACCTGTGGAGCAGGAGATCCCCTCATAAGCCCACACCACCAGGGCCTTGGCTTTGATATACGGAGCTGTGAGGAGTCTTGGCAAAACAGCTGCTCAGGTGCACATAGAGATGCAGGAGTTTTGGATGCTCCAGTGCCAAATCCCCACCAAGGTGAAAAAATCCATCCATATATGTCCCTAGGAAGGGGGCTGAATACAGGGAGCAAAGCAGCCTCATTCTGTGGGTGCCAATTTCATGGCACCTCACAGGTTAAGACCCACTGGCATGGAATCTCAGCCAGCCAATGGGAGAGCTGAAGTTTGCCAGAGACAAGACATAATTTCCCAGGGGAGGGGCAGCTGTCATCTCTGCAGTTCAGGGGAAACAGCCATTCCAGCTTGCTGGCTGTGGAGAGTACAGATGGTCCAGACAAGAAGCCCCCCTCCCCTCCACAGTGCAGCACAGTGGCCTTGCCAGAATTGGGCCAGACTGCTTCTTTAACTGGGGCCCTGACACACTCCTCCTCACTGGGCAGGTCCTAGGTTCTGCAGACAGAGCTCTGATCTCTCACTGGCAGGCAGCTTTCAGGGGGAGAGGCAGTCTCCATATCTGCCCTTCCATAGTCTCAGCCATCCCAGCCTACTGGCTGTGGAGAATGCAGACAGCCCAAACGAGGAGGGTCCCCCCATGGCACAATGGAGTGGCCTTGCCAGATCGTAGCCAGACTGCTTCTTTAACTAAATCCCCAATCCCCCCTTCCTCACTAGGTGGGTCTTTGGTTTGGTGGAGAGATCTGACCTCTCCCTGGGAGGGAGCTTGGTGGAAAGGGAAGGGACAGCTGCCATCTCTGTGCTACTGAGGACTCAGCCATTCCAGTCTGCTGGCTGTGGAGAGTGTAGATGGTTCAGATGAGGATGGGCCCCCCACTGTGCAGTGCATCTGCCTTGCCAGATCATGGCCAGACTGATTCTTTAACTGGGAACCCACTTCTACTCACTGGGGGAGGCATCTTCAGTTCTGTGGATAGAGATTGATCTCTCCCTGGGAGGGAGCTCCTGGGGTGAGGGGTGACTGCAATCTCTGAGTTCCCTAAACTCAGCCATTCCACCCTGCTGGCTGTGGAGAATACAGGTGGTCCAAATGAAGAAGGGTTCCCCACCCCCACCAATGCAACATTTCTGCTCTATCAAGAACAACCAGACTTCTTCATTGGGTGGGTTCCTGTTCCTGTCCCTCCTGACTGGGTGAGATCTTTCAGTGGGGCACCCCAGCTGCCTCCTGCAGGTGCAGGAGAGGCCAAGGACACTGGAGTCTTGAGCAGATCCCCAGCAAACTGCAGCAGCCCTATGGTATTGTGGACTGACTGGTAAAAGCAAAACAAACAAACAAACAAACAAACAGAAAACAACATCATCAACTAAGGAACCCCACAAAAACCTCACTCAAAGGCCAACAGCCTCAAAGATTGAAAGTAGATAAGCCCACAAAGATGAGAAAGAATCAATGCAAAAAGGCTGAAAACTTAAAAAGCCAGAGTACCTCTTCTCCTTCAAATGACTGCAACACCTCTCCAGCAAGAGCAGAGTACTGTGCTGAGGCCGAGATGGATGAATTGACAGAAATAAGCTTCAGAAGGTGGATAATATCGAACTTAACTGAGCTAAAGGAGCATGTTTTAATTCAATGCAAAGAAGCTAAGAATAATGATAAAACAATATAGGAACTGATGGCCAGAGTAGCTAGTTTAGAGAGGAATATCACCAACGTGATGGAGCTGAAAAACACAACATAGGAACTTCACAATGCCATCACAAATATCACTAGCAGAACAGATGAAGTGGATAAAAGAATTTCAGAGCTGGAAGACTATCTTTCTGAGGTAAGACAGGTAGATAAGAATAGAGAAAAAAACAATAAAAAGGAATGAACAAAATCTCCGAGAATTATGGGATTGCGTAAAGAGACTGAACCTACGACTGATTGGGGTACTTAAAACAGATGAGAAGAATGGAACCACGTTGGAAAACATACTTCAGGATATCATCCTGGAGAACTTTTGCAACCTAGCAAGACAGGCCAAGATTCAAATTCAGGAAATGCAGAGAACCCCAGTAAGTTATTCCGTGAGAAGATCAACCCCAAGACACATAATCAGCAGATTCTTCAAGGTCAAAGTGAACAAAAAAATATTAAGGGCAGCTAGAGAGAAAGGCTAGGTTACCTACAAAGGGAAACCAACTAGACTAACAGCAGACCTCTCAGCAGAAACCCTACAAGCCAGAAGAGATTGGGACCAATATTCAGCATTCTTAAAGAATTTCCAGCCCAGAATTTCTTATCTGACCAAACTAAGCTTCACAAGCGAAGGAGAAATAAGATCCTTTTCAGACAAGCAAATGCTGAGGGAATTTGTCATTAGCAGGCCTGCCTTGTAAGAGCTCCTGAAGGAAGCACTAAATATGGAAAGAAAAAACCATTACAGGCACTACAAAATGCACTGATGTACACAGTCTGGTGACACTATGAAGCAACCACACAAACAAGTCTGCAAAATAAGTAGCTTGCATAACTGACAGGATCCAATTCACACACAACAGTACTAACCTTAAATGTAAATTGTCTAAATGCCTCAATTAAAAGACATAGAATGGCAAGCTGGACACAGAATCAAGCCCCGTGAATATGGTGTCTTCAAGAGACCCATCTCACATGCAAAGGCACACAGAACCTCAAAATAAAGGTGTGGGGGAAAATTTGCCAAACAAATGGAAAACAGAAAAAACAAGGGTAGCAATCCTAATATCTGATAAAACAGACTTTAAGCCAACAAAGATCAAAAAAGACAAAGGCGGGCATTACATAATGGTAAAGTGTTCAATTCATCAACAAGAGTTAACTATCCTAAATATATATGCACCCAATATAGGAGCACCCAGATTCATAATGCAAGTTCTTAGAGACCTACAAAGAGAATTAGACTGCCATAAAATAACAGTGGGAGACTTTCACAGCCCTCTGACAGTATCAGACAGATCACTGAGGCAGAAAATTAACAAAGATATTCAGGAACTGAACTCAGCTCTGGACCAAGTGGACCTGATTGATATCTACAGAACTTTTCACCCCAAAGCAACATAATATATATTCTCATCATTACACAGCACTTACTCTAAAGTTGATCACATTATAGGAAGTAAAACTTTCCTCAGCAAATGCAAAAGAACTGAAATCATAACAGTCTTTCAGACCACAGTACAATCAAATTAGAATTTAAGAATTTCACATTAAGAAATCCACACAAACCCACACAACTACATGGAAATTGAACAACCTTTTCCTGAAGAACTTTTGGGTAGATAATACAATTAAGGCAAAAATGAAGAAGTTCTTTGAAATAAATAAGAACAGAGAGACAACATATCAGAGCCTCTGGGATGCAGCTAAAGCAGTGTTAAGAGGGAAATTTATAGCAATAAATGCCCACATCAAAAAGCTAGGAAGCTCTCAGATTAACAACTTAACATCTCAACTAAAAGAATTAGAGCACCAAGAGCAAACAAACCTCAAAGTTAGCAGAAGACAGGAAATAACAAGATCTGAACTGAGCTGAGGGAGATAGAGACACGAAAAATCTCTTGAAAAAGGAACAAATCCAGGCTCTGGTTTCTTGAAAAAAATTAATAAAATAGATGGACCACTAGCTAGGCTAATAAGAAAAAAGAGAAGAATCAAATAAACACAATCAGAAATGATAAGGTGGATATCACCACTGACCCCCAGAAATACAAAAAACCAACAGAGAATACTATAAACACCTTTATGCACATAAACTAGAAAATCTAGAATAAATGGACAATTTCCTGGACAAACACACCCTCCAAGACTGAACTAGGAAGAAATTGAATCCCTGAATAGACTGATAATGTGTTCTGAAATTGAGGCAGTAACGAATAGCCTAACAAAAAAGAAAAGCCCAGAAACAGACAGATTCACAACCAAATTCTACCAGCGGTACAAAGAGGAGCTGGTACTATTTCTATTGAAACTACTCCAAAAAACTGAAGAGGAAGGACTTGTCCCTAACTCATTCTATGAGGCCAGCATTATCCTGATACCAAAACCTGACAGAAATAAAACAAAAAAAGAAAGCTTCACACCAATATCATTGATCAACATTGATGCAAAAATCTTCAAAAAAATACTGGAAAACTAGATCCAGCTGCACATCAAAAAGCTTACCCACCACGATCAAGTAGGCTTCATCCCCAGGATGCAAGGTTGGTTCAATATATGCAAATCAATAAACGTGATTCATCACATAAGCAGAGCTAAACACAAATACCACATGATTATCTCAATAGATGCAGAAAAGGTCTTTGATAAAATTTAACATCCCTTAATGTTTAAAACTCTTAATAAGCTAGATATTGAAGGAACATACCTGAAAGTAATAAGAGCCATATATGACAAACCCATAGCCAATATCATACTGAATGGGCAAAAGCTGGAAGCATTCCCCTTGAAAACTGGCACAAGACAAGGATGCCCTCTTTCACCACTCCTATCCAACAGAGTTTATTTCAAGATACTGGTAGGGAAATCAGGCAAGAGGAAGAAATAAAGTGTGTTCAAATAGGAAGAGAGGATGTCAAATTATCTTTGTTTGAAGATAACATGATTCTATATCTAGGAAACCCCATCATCTTAGCCCAAAACCTTCTTAAGCTGATAAACAACTTCAGCAAATTCTCAGGATATAAAATCAACCTGCACGGTGGCTCACACCTGTAATCTCAGCACTTTGGGAGGCTGAGGAGTTCAAGACTAGCCTGTCAAACATGGTGAAACCCCATCTCTACTAAAAATACAAAAATTAGCCAGGTGTGGTGGTGTGCAACTGTAATCCCAGCTACTCAGGAGGCTAATGCAGGAGAATTGCTTGAACCCAGGAGGTGGAGACTGGAGCAAGTCAAGATTATGCTACTGCACTCCAGCCAGGGCATCAGAGTGAGACACCGTCTCAATAAATTAAATAAATAAATAGATAAATAAAATCAATGTGCAAAAATCACTAGCAATTCTATACACCAACAACAGGCAAGCAGAGAGCCAAATCATGAATGAATTTCCATTCACAATTGCTACAAAAAGAATAAAATACCTAGGAATTGAAGGACCTCAAGGAGAACTACAAACCACTGACTGCTCAGAGAAATCAGAGAGGATACAAACAGATGGAGAAACATTTCATGCTCATGGATGGGAAGTATCAATATCATAAAAATGACCATGCTTCCCAAAGTAATTTATTGATTCAATGCTATTCCCATTAAAATACCATTGGCATTCTTCACAGAATTGGAAAAACTATTTTAAAAGTTATATGGAACTAAAAAAGATCCCAAATAGCCAAGTGAACCCTAAGCTAAAAGAACAAACGGAGACATCACACTACCTGACTTCAAACTATACTACAAAGCTACAGTAACCAAAACAGAGTGGTACTGGTACAAAAACAGACACATAGACCAATGGAACAGAATGAGAACCCAGAAATAAGACTGCACACCTACAACCATCTGATCTTTGACAAACCTGACCAAAAGGAGCAATGGGGAAAGTATTTCCTATTTAAAATGGTGCTGGGAGAACCAGCTAGCCACTGGCTAGCTGAAAACTGAAAACTGGAACCCTTCCTTACATCATATACAGAAAACTGAAACTGGAACCCTTCCTTACATCATATACAGAAAATTGAAACTGGAACCCTTCCTTACATCATATACAAAATTTAACTCAAGAAGGATTAAAGACTGAAATATAAAACCCCAAACTATAATAACCCTAGAAGAAAATCTAGGCAATATCATTTGTGATGTAGGCATGGGCAAAGATTTCATGACAAAAAAGCCAAAGCAATTGATACAAAAGCCAAAATTGACAAATGGGATCTAGTTAAAGTGATTCTGTGCAACAGAAGAAATGATCATCAGAGTGAACAGACAACTTACAACATAGGAGAAATTTTTTGCAATCTATCCATCTGACAAAGGTCTAATGTCCAGAATCTAGAAGGAGCTTAAACAAATCTACAAGAAAAAAAAAACAAACAACAACAAGCCTATTAAAAAGTGGGTAAAGAACATGAACAGACACTTCTCAAAAGAAGACACACATGTGGCCAACAAACACGAAAAGAAAAAAAGCTCCACATGACGGATCATTAGACAAATGCAAATCAAAGCCACAGTGAGATACGATCTGATGCCAAGAAGAATGGCTATTACTAAAAAGTCAAAAAACCACAGACACTGGCAAGGTTGTGGAGGAAAAGGAACACTTTTACTTTGTTGGTGTTCAACCATTGTGGAAGACAGTGTGGTGATTCCTCAAAGACCTAGAGGCAGAAATACCATTTGACCCAGCAATCCCATTACTGGGTATATAGCCAAAATATAAATCATGCTATTATAAAGATACATGCACGCATATGTTCACTGCAGCACTATTTACAATAGAAAAGTCATGGAATCAACCTACATGCCCATCAATGATAGACTGGATAAAGAAAATGTGGTACATATACGAGATGGTACATATACACACTATGCAGCCATAAAAAGGAATGAGATCTTGTCCTTTGCAGGGAGATGGATGGAGATGGAAGCCATTATTCTCAGCAAAGTAACGCAGGAACAGAAAACCAAACACTGCATGTTCTTACTTGTAAGTGGGAGCTGATCAATGAGAACACATGGACACATGTGGGGGGGACAACACACACTGGGGACTCCTCGGGGGGTTGGAGGGGAGTGCATCAGGAAGAAAAGCTAATGGATGCTGGGCTTAATACCTGGGTGATGGGATGACCTGTGCAGTAAACCACCTTGGCACACGTTTATATAACAAACCTGCATATCCTGCACATGTACCCCTGAACTTAAAATAAAAGTTGAAAAAAAGAGAAATTATTGTTAACTATAGTCATGCCACTATCCTATCAAACACTAGAACTTATTTCTTCTACCTAACTGCATGTTTTCACCCATTAAGAAACCTCTCTTTATTACCCCCCACACCCTTCCGTGTTTCTGGGAACCATCATTCTACTCTGTATCTCTACGTGATGTTAGTCTTTCTTTCCCTGAATTATTTCCCTTAACATAATGACCTCCAGTTCTGTCTATGTTGCTGTGACCAATATGATTTTATTCTTTTTAATGGCTGAATATACAGTGCTACATTAAACACAGGGGTGCAGGTATCCCTTGTTATACTGATTTGCCTTCCTTTGGATAAATGTCCAGTAGTGGAATTGCTGGGTTTTATGTTAGTTCTATTTTTAGTTTTTTTTGAGAAACCTCCATGCTGTTTTCCATAATGGCTGTACGACTGTCTGTTCCCATGAACAATGAACAACTGTTGATCTTTTTCTGCATTCCTGTTAGGATTTGATACTTTTTGTCTTTTTGATAATAGTTATTTTAACTGGGGTGAGATGATATCTCAATATGGTTTTGATTTGCATTTCCCTGATGATTAGTGATGTTGAGCATTTTTCACATGCTTTTTGGCCATTTATGTATCTTCTTTTTGACAAATCTGTATTCAGATCCTTTGCCCACTTTTTAATGGGATTAATTTTTTTATTTGTTGTTGAGTCATTTGAGTTCCTTGTGTATTTTGGATATTAGTCCCCTCTTAGAGGAATAGTTTACAGCTCTTTTCTCCCATTCAGAAGGGATTGTCTCTACTGATTTCATTGCTTTCTTTGCTGTGTAGAAGATTTTCAGTTTAATATAGTCCCGTTTGTCTATTTTTGTTTTTGTTCCCTGTGCTTTTGTAGTCTTAGCATAAGATCTTTGCCTAGACCAATTACCTGAAGCATTTCTCTTTTATTTTCTTCTTAAAGTAGTTTTCTAGTTTCTGGCCTTATGTTTAAGCCTTTATGTTGGGTTGACTTTTGTAAATGGCGAGAGATGGTGGTCTTGTTTCATTATTTTGCATATGGATGTACAGTTTTCTCAGCACCACTTATTGAAGAAAATGTCCTTTGCCCAATGTATGCTCTCAGCACCTTCTTGGAAAATCAGTTGGCTGTAAACATATGGCATTATTTCTGTGTTCCGTATTTTGGTACATGAGTCTGTGCATCTGTCTTTGTACCAGCATTAAGCTGTTTTAATTACTAGTGTTTTTTAGTATATTTTTAAGTCCAGTAGTGTGATGCCTCCAGCTTTGTTCTTTTTTTAAATTATTATTATACTTTAAGTTTTAGGGTACATGTGCACAACGTGCAGGTTTGTTATATATGTATACATGTGAAATGTGGGTGTGCTGCACCCATTAACTCATCATTTAGCATTAGGTATATCACCTAATGCTATCCCTCCCCCCCCTTCTCCCACCTCACAGCAGGCCCCGGTGTGTGATGTTCCTCTTCCTGTGTCCATGTGTTCTCATTGTTCAATTCCCACCTATGAGTGAGAACATGCAGTGTTTGGTTTTTTGTCCTTGCGATAGTTTGCTGAGAATGATGGTTTCCAGCTTCATCCATGTCCCTACAAAGGACATGAGCTCATGATTTTTTATGTCTGCATAGTATTCTATGGTGTATATGTGCCACATTTTCTTAATCCAGTCTATCAGAGTTGGACATTTGGCTTGGTTCCAAGTCTTTGCTATTGTGAATAGTGCTGTAATAAACATACGTGTGCATGTGTCTTTATAGCAGCATAATTTATAATCCTTTGGGTATATACCCAGTAATGGGATGGCTGGGTCAAATGGTATTTCTAGTTCTAGATCCCTGAGGAATCGCCACACTGACTTCCACAATGGTTGAACTAGTTTACAGTTCCAACAGTGTAAAAGTGTTCCTGTTTCTCCACATCCTCTCCAGCACCTGTTGTTTCCTGACTTTTTAATGATCGCCATTCTAACTGGTGTGAAATGGTATCTCATTGCGGTTTTGATTTTCATTTGTCTGATGGCCAGTGATGATGAGCATTTTTTCATGTGTCTCTTGGCTGCATAAACGTCTTCTTTTGAGAAGTGTCTGTTCATATCGTTTGCCTACTTTTTGATGGGGTTGTTTGTTTTTTTTTCTTGTAAATTTGTTTGAGTTCATTGTAGATTGTGGATATTAGCCCTTTGTCAGATGAGTAGGTTGCAAAAATTTTCTCCCATTCTGTAGGTTGCCTGTTCACTCTGATGGTGGTTTCTTTTGCTGTGCAGAAGCTCTTTAGTTGAATTAGATCCCATTTGTCAATTTTGGCTTTTGTTGCCATTGCTTTTGGTGTTTTAGACATGAAGTCCTTGCCCATGCCTATGTCTTGAATGGTATTGCCTAGGTTTTCTTCTAGGGGTTTTATGGTTTTAGGTCTAACATGTAAGTCTTTAATCCATCTTGAATTAATTTTTGTATAAGGTGTAAGGAAGGGATCCGGCTTCAGCTTTCTCCATATGGCTAGCCAGTTTTCCCAGCACCATTTATTAAACAGGGAATCATTTCCCCATTTCTAGTTTTTGTCAGGTTTGTCAAAGATCAGATAGTTGTAGATATGTGGCATTATTTCTGAGGGCTCTGTTCTGTTTCATTGGTCTATATATCTGTTTTGGTACCAGTACCATGCTGTTTTGGTTACTGTAGCCTTGTAGTCTAGTTTGAAATCAGGTAGAGTGATGCCTCCAGCTTTGTTCTTTTGGCTTAGGATTGACTTGGCAATGCAGGCTCTTTTTTGGTTCCATATGAACTTTAAAGTAGTTTTTTCCAATTCTGTGAAGAAAGTCATTGGTAGCTTGATAGGGATGGCATTGAATCTGTAAATTACCTTGGGCAGTATGGCCATTTTCATGATATTGATTCTTCCTACCCATGAGCATGGAATATTCTTCCATTTGTTTGTATCCTCTTTTATTTCATCGAGCAGTGGTTTGTAGTTCTCCTTGAAGAGGTCCTTCACATCCCTTGTAAGTTGGATTCATAGGTATTTTATCCTCTTTGAAGCAATTGCGAATGAGAGTTCACTCATGATTTGGCTCTCTGTTTATCTGTTATTGGTGTATAAGAATGCTTGTGATTTTTGCACATAGATTTTGTATCCTGAGAATTTGCTGAAGTTGCTTATCAGCTTAAGGAGATTTTGGGCTGAGACGATGGGGTTTTCTGGATATAGAATCATGTCATCTGCAAACGGGGACAATTTGACTTCCCCATTTCATAATTGAATGCCCTTTATTTCCTTCTCCTGCCTCATTGCCCTGGCCAGAACTTCCAACACTATGTTGAATAGGAGTGGTGAGAGAGGGCATCCCTGTCTTCTGCCAGTTTTCAAAGGGAATGCTTCCAGTTTCTGTCCATTCAGTATGATATTGGCTGTGGGTTTGTCATAGATAGCTCTTCTTATTTTGAGGTACATCCCATCAATACCTAATTTACTGAGAGTTTTTAGCATGAAAGGTTGTTGAATTTTGTCAAAGGCCTTTTCTGCATCTATTGAGATAATCATGTGGTTTTTGTCTTTGGTTTTGTTTATATGCTGGATTACATTTACTGATTTGTGTGTGTTGAACCAGCCTTGCATCCCAGGGATGAAGCCCACTTGATCATGGTGGATAAACTTTTTGATGTGTTGCTGGATTCGGTTTGACAGTATTTTATTGAGAATTTTGCTTCAATGTTCATCAGGGATATTGGTCTAAAATTCTCTTTTTTGGTTGTGTCTCTGCCTGGCTTTGGTATCAGGAGGATGCTGGCCTCATAAAATGAGTGAGGGAGGATTCCCTCTTTTTCTATTGATTGGAATAGTTTCAGAAGGAATGGCACCAGCTCCTCCTTGTACCTCTGGTAGAATTCGGCTCTGAATCCATCTGGTCCTGGACTTTTTTCTGTTGGTAAGCTATTAATTATTGCCTCAACTTCAGAGCCTGTTATTGGTCTATTCAGAGATTCAATTTCTTCTTCGTTTAGTCTTGGGACGATGTATGTGTCAAGGAATTTATCCATTTCTTCTAGATTTTCCAGTTTATTTGCATAGAAGTGTTTATAGTATTCTCTGATGGTAGTTTGTATTTCTGTGGGATCGGTGGTGATATCCCCTTTGTCATTTTTTATTGCACCTATTTGATTCTTCTCTCTTTTCTTCTTTATTAGTCTTGGTAGCAGTCTATCAATTTTGTTGATCTTTTCAAAAAACCAGCTCCTGGATTCATTGATTTTTTGAAAGGTTTTTTGTGTCTCTATTTCCTTCAGTTCTGTTCTGATCTTAGTTATTTCACGTCTTCTGCTAGCTTTTGAATGTGTTTGCTTTTGTTTCTCTAGTTCTTTTAATCGTGATGCTAGGGTGTCAATTTTAGATCTTTCCTGCTTTCTCTTGTGGGCATTTAGTGCTATAAATTTCCCTCTACACACTGCTTTGAATGTGTCCCAGAGATTCTGGTATGTTGTGTCTTTGTTCTTGTTGGTTTCAAAGAACGTCTTTATTTCTGCCTTCATTTCATTGTGTACCCAGTAGTCCTTCAGGATCAGGTTGTTCACTTTCCATGTAGTTGAGTGGTTTTGAATGAGTTTCTTAATCCTGAGTTCTAGTTTAATTGCACTGTGGTCTGAGAGACAGTTTGTTATAATTTCTGTTCTTTTACATTTGCTGAGGAGTGCTTTACTTCCAACTATGTGGTCAGTTTTGGCATAGGTGTTGTGTGGTGCTGAAAAGAATGTATATTCTGTTGATTTGGGGTGGAGAATTCTGTAGATGTCTATTAGGTCCACTTGGTGTAGCACTGAGTTCAAATCCTGGATATCCTTGTTATCTTTCTGTCTCGTTGATCTGTCTAATGTTGACAGTGGGGTGTTAAAATCTCCCATTATTTTTGTGTGGGAGTCTAAGTCTCTTTGTAGGTCACTAAGGACTTGCTTTATGAATCTGTGTGCTCCTGTGTTGGGTGCATATATATTTAGGATAGTTAGTTCTTCTTGTTGAATTGATCCCTTTACCATTTTGTAATGGCCTTCTTTGTCTCTTTTGATCGTTGTTGTTTTAAAGTCTGTTTTATCCGAGACTAGAATTGCAACCCCTGCCTTTTTTGTTTTCCATTTGCTTGGTAGATCTTCCTCCATCCCTTTATTTTGAGCCTATGTGTGTCTCTGCACATGAAATGGGTTTCCTGAATACAGCACACTGATGGGTCTTGACTCTTTATCCAATTTGCCAGTCTATGCCTTTTAATTGGAGCATTTAGCCCATTTACATTTAAGGTTAGTATTGTTATGTGTGAATTTGATCCTGTCATTATGATGTTAGCTGGTTATTTTGCTCGTTGGTTGATGCTGTTTCTTCCTATCATTGATGGTCTTTACCATTTGGCTTGTTTCTGCAGTGGCTGGTACCGGTTTTTCCTTTCCATGTTTAGTGCTTCCTTCAGGAGCTCTTTTAGGGCAGGCCTGGTGGTGACAAAATCTCTCAGCATTTGTTTGTCTGTAAAGTATTTTATTTCTCCTTCACTTATGAAGCTTAGTTTGGCTGGATATGAAATTCTGGATTGAAAATTCTTTTCTTTAAGAATGTTGAATATTGACCCCCACTCTCTTCTGGCCTGTAGAGTTTCTGCTGAGAGATCAGGTGTTAGTTTGATGGGCTTCCCTTTGTGGGTAACCTGACCTTTCTCTCTGGCTGTCCTTAACATTTTTTCCTTCATTTCAACTTTGGTGAATCTGACAGTATGTGTCTTGGTGTTGCTCTTCTCAAGGAGTATCTTTGTGGCATTCTCTGTATTTCCTGAATTTGAATGTTGGCCTGCCTTGCTAGATTGGGGAAGTTCCCCTGGATAATATCCTGCAGAGTGTTTTCCAACTTGGTTCCATTATCCCCATCACTTTTAGGTACACCAATCAGACGTAGATTTGGTCTTTTCACATAGTCCCATATTTCTTGGAGGCTTTGTTCATTTCTTTTTATTCTTTTTTCTCTAAACTTCTCTTCATGCTTTATTTCATTTATTTCGTCTTCCATCGTTGATACCCTTTCTTCCAGTTGATCGAATTGGTTACTGAGGCTTGTGTATTTGTCACGTAGTTCTCATGCCATGGTTTTCAGTTCCATCAGGTCCTTTAAGGACTTCTCTGCATTGGTTATTCTAGTTATCCATTCATCTAAATTTTTTTCAAAATTTTTAACTTCTTTGCCATTGGTTCGAACTTCCTCCTTTAGCTCAGAGCAGTTTGATCTTCTGAAGCCTTCCTCTCTCAACTCATCAAAGTCATTCTCCATCCAGCTTTGTTCCATTGCTGGTGAGGAGCTGCGTTCCTTTGGAGGAGAAGAGGCACTCTGATTTTTAGAGTTTCTGGTTTTTCTGCTCTGTTTTTTCCCCATCTTTATTGTTTTATCTACCTTTGGTCTTTGATTATGGTGATGTACAAATTGGTGTTTGTTTTGGATGTCCTTTCTGTTTGTTAGTTTTCGTTCTAACAGTCAGGACCCTCAGCTGCAGGTCTGTTGGAGTTTGCTGGAGGTCCACTTCAGGCCCTGTTTGCCTGGGAATCAGCAGCGGTGGCTGCAGAACAACGGATATTGGTGAACCACAAATGCTGCTGCCTGATTCTTCCTCTGGAAGTTTTGTCTCAGAGGCGTACCAGGCCGTGTGAGGTGTGAGCCCACCCCTACTGGGGTGTGCCTCCCAGTTAGGCTACTTGGGGGTCATGGACCCACTTGAGGAGACAGTTTGCCAATTCTCAGATCTCAAGCTGTGTGCTGGGAGAACCACTACTTTCTTCAATGCTGTCAGACAGGGACATTTAAGTCTGCAGAGGTTATTGCTGTCTTTTGTTTGTCTGTGCCCTGCCCCCAGAGGTGGAGCCTACAGAGGCAGGCAGGCCTTCTTGAGCTGTGGTGGGCTCCACCCAGTTCGAGCTTCCCGGCTGCTTTGTTTACCTACTCAAGCCTGAGCAATGGCGGGCGCCCCTCCCCCAGCCTCGCTGCTGTCATGCAGTTGGATCTCAGACTGCTGTGCTAGCAATGAGTGAGGCTACATGGACATGGGACCCTCCAAGCCAGGTGTGGGATATAATCTCCTGGTGTGCTGTTTGATAAGCCCATTGGAAAAGTGCAGTATTAAGGTAGGAGTGACCCAATTTTCCAGGTGCTGTCTGTCACGCCTTTCTTTGACTAGGAAAGGGAATTCCCTGGCCCCTTGTCCTTCCCGAGTGAGGCAATGCCTCACCCTGCTTCGGCTCATGCACAGTGCACTGCACCAACTGTCCCACACCCACTCTCCAGCACTGCCCAGTGAGATGAACCCAGTTCCTCAGTTGGAAATGCAGAAATCACCCGTCTTCTGCATCACTCACGTTGGGAGCTCTAGACTGGAGCTGTTCCTATTCCACTTTGTTCTTTGTTGCTCAGAATTGGTTTGGCTATTTGGGATCTTTCTTGGTTCCATACAGATTTAAATTGTTTTTTCTATTTCTGTGAAGAATGCCATTGGTATTTTGATAGGGGTTGTAATGAATCTAGAGATTGCCCTGGATAGTATGGGAATTTAAACAATATTAATTCTAATCCATGATCATGAGATGTCTTTCCATTTGTTTTGCTTCCTCTATAATTTCTATTCTTTTTAGTTTTACTTTAAGTTCTGGGATACATGTGCTGAATGTGCAGGTTTGTTACAGAAGAATACATGTGTCATGGTGGTTTGCTGCAACTATCAACCTGTTATCTAGGATTTAAACCCTGCACGCATTAGGTATTTGTCCTAATGCTCTCCCTCCTCTTTTCCCCCACCCCTCAACAGGCCCCAGTGTGTGATGTTTCCCTCCCTGTGTCCATGTGTTCTCTATCTTAATCTCCCACTTATGAGTGAGAACTTGCAGTGTTTGGTTGTCTGTTCCGGTGTTAGTTTGCTGAGGATGATAGTTAACAGCTTCATCCAAGTCCCTGCAAAGCCTTGAACTAATTCTTTTTTTATGGCTGCGTAGTATTCCATGGTGTATATGTGCCACATTTTCTTTATCCAGTTTATCACTGATGGACATTTGGGTTGGTTCCAAGTCTTTGCTGTTGTAAATAGTGTTGCAATAAGCATATGTGTGCATGAGTCTTTATAGTAGAATGATTTATAATCCTTTGGGTACATATGCAGTGATGGTATTGCTGGGTCAAATTGTATTTCTGGTTCTAGATCCTTGAGGAATCTCCACACTGTCTTCCACAATGGTTGAACTAATTTACACTTCCACCAACATTGTAAAAACGTTCCTATTTCTCCACATCCTCTCCAGCATCTGTTGTTTCCTGATTTGTTAATGATCACCGTTCTAACTGGCATGAGATGGTATCTCATTGTGGTGTTGATTTGCATTTCTCTAATGATCAGTGATGATGAGCTTTTTTTCATATGTTTGCTGGCCACATAAATGTCTTTTTTTGAAAAGTGTCTGTCCATATCCTTTGCCCACTTTTTAATAGGGTTGTTTGATTTTTCTGGTAAATTTGTTTAAGTTCCTTGTAGATTCTGGATATTAGATCTTTGACAATTGGATAGATTGCAAAATTTTTCACCCATTCTGTAGGTTGCATGTTCACTCTGATGTTCACTTTTGCTCTCCAGAAGCTCTTTAGTTTAATTAGATCCCATTTGTCAATTTTGGCTTTTGTTGCCATTGCTTTTGGTGTTTTAGTCATGAAGTCTTTGCCCATTCCTATGTCCTGAATGTTATTGCCTAGGTTTTCTTCTAGGGTTTTATAGTTTTAGGATTTACATTTAAGTCTTTAATCCATCTTGAATTAATTTTTGTATAAGGTGTAAGGAAGGGGCCCAGTTTCAGTTGTCTGTTTATGGCTAGTCTGTTTTTCCAGTACCATTTATTAAATAGGGAATCTTTTCTTCATGCTTTTTTCAGGTTTGTCAAAGGTGAGATGGTTGTAGATGTGTAGTGTTTTTTCTGAGGCCTCTGTTCTGTTCCATTGGTCTATATATCTGTTTTGGTACCAGTGCCATGCTGTTTTGGTTACTGTGGACTTGTAGTATAGTTTGAAGTTAGATAGTGTGATGCCTCCAGCTTTGTTCTTTTTGCTTAGGATTGTCTTGGCTATGTGGACTCTTCTTTTGGTTCCATATTACATTTAAAGTAGTTTTTAAAAAAAATTATGTGAAGAAAGTCAATAATACATTGATGGGAATAAGATTGAACCTATAAATTACTTTGGGCAATATGGCCATTTTCACAAAATTGATTCTTCCTATCCATGAGCTTGGAATGTTCTTCTATTGGTTTGTGTCCTCTCTTATTTCCTCGAGCAGTGACTTGTAGTTCACCTTGAAGAGGTCCTTCACAACCCTTGTAAGTTTTATTCCTAAGTAGTTTATTATCTTTGTGGCAATTGTGAATGGGAGTTCACTCATGATTTGGCTCTCTGCTTGTCTATTGTTGGTGTATAGGAATGCTTGTGATTTTTGCACATTGATTTTGTATCCTGAGACTTTGCTGAGGTTGTTTGTCAGCTGTAGGAGTCTTTGGGCTGAGATGATGGGGTTTTCTAAATATACAATTATGTCATCTGCAAGCAGACACGATTTTACTTCCTCTCTTCCTATCTGAATACCCTTTATTTTTTCTCTTGCCCGATTGCCCTGGCCGGAACTTCCAATACTATGTTGAATAGGAGTGGTGAGAGAGGGGATTTTTGTCTTGTGCTGGTTTTTCATAGGGAATGCTTCCAGCTTTTGTCCATTCAGTACGATATTGGCTATGGGTTTTTCATAAATAGCTCTTGGTGTTTTGAGATATGTTCTATCAATACGTAGTTTATTGAGAGTTTCTAGCATGAAGAGATGTTGAATTTTATCAAAGGTCTTTTCTGCATCTAGTGAGATAAACGTGGTTTTTTTTTTTTTTGTCATTGGTCCTGATGGATTACCTTTATTGTTTTGCCTATGTTGAACCAGCCTTGCATCCCAGGGATGGAGTGGCATTGGTTGTGGTGAATAAGCTTTTTGATGTGGTGCTGGATTCAGTTTGGCAGTATTTTATTGAGGATTTTCACACAGATACTCCTCTTTTTCTATTGTTTGGAATAGTTTCAGAAGGAATGGTACCAGCTCCTCTTTGTACCTCTGGTAGAATTTGGCTGTGAATTGGCCTGTTCCTGGGCTTTTTTGGTTGGCAGGCTATTAATTACTGCCTCAATTTCAGAACTTGTCATTGGTGTCTTCAGGGATTCGACTTTTTCCTGGTTTAGTCTTGGGAGGGTGTATATGTTCAGGAATTTATCCATTTCTTCTAGATTTTTTAGTTTATTTGCAGAGAGGTTTTTATGGCATTCTTTGATGGTAGTTTGTATTTCTGTGAGATTAGTAATGATATCCCCTTTATCATTTTTTATTGTGTCTATTTGATTCTTCTCTGTTTTCTTCTTTATTAGTCTGGTTAGCAGTCTATCTATTTTGTTGATTTTTTCAAAAAACCAGCTCCTGGATTCATTGATTTGTTTGAAGGATGTTTTGTGTCTCTATCTCCTTCAGTTCTGCTCTGATCTTAGTTATTTTTTTGTCTCCTGCTAGCTTTTGAATTTGTTTACTCTTGCTTCTCTAGTTCTTTTAATTGTGATATTAGGGTGTCAACTTTAGATCTTTCCTGCTTTCTGATATGGGCATTTAGTGCTATAAATTTCCCTCTAAACACTGCTTTAGCTGTGTCCCAGCAATTCTGGTGCTTTTTCTCTTTGTGCTCATTGGTTTCAGACCCTATTTGCCTGATATTACCAGCGGTGGCTGCAGAACAGCAAATATTGCTGTCTGCTCCTTCCTCTGGAAGTTTTATCCTAGAAGGGGCACTGGACTGATGCCTGCCAGAGCTCTCCTGTATGAGGCATCTGTCAACCCCTGTTGGGAATTCTTTCCTAGTCAATAGACACTGGGTCAGGAACCCACTTGAGGAGGCAGTCTGTCCCTTATCAGAGTTCGAGTGCTGTGCTGGGAGAACCTTGTCGGCAACCTCTGCTCTATTCAGAGCTGGCAGGCAGGAACATTTAAGTCCACTGAAGCAGAGCCCACAGCCACCCCTTCCCCCAAGTTCTCTGTCCCAGGGAGATGGGAGTTTTATCTATAAGCCCCTGACAGGGCTGATGCCTTTCTTTCAGAGATACACTGCTCAATGAAGAGGAACCTAGAGAGGCAGTGTGGCCACAGTCACTTTGCCGCACTGTGTTGGGTTCCGCCCAGTCAAAACTTCCAGGCCTCCTTCATGCTTTCAGAGGAATACCACCTACTCAAGCCTTGGTAATGGTGGATGACCCTCCCCCAACCAAGCTCTATAGTCCCAGGTCTACTTAAGACTGCTGTGCTAGCATTGAGAATTTCAAGCCAGTGGTTCCTAACTTGCTGGGCTCCGTGAGTGTGGGACCCTCTGAGTGAGACCATTTTGCTCCCTGGCTTCAGCCCCCTTTCCCGGGGAGTGACCGGTTCTGTCTCGCTGGGGTTCCAGGCTCCACTGGGGTATGAAAAAAATCTCTGGCAGCTAGCTCGGTGTCTGCCCGAACAGCTGCCCAGTTTTGTGCTTGAAACCCAGGGCCCTGGTGGTGTAGGCTCACGAGGGAATCTCCTGGTCTGCAGATTGCAAAAACTGAGAAAAGCGTAGTATCTGGGCTGGATAGCACAGTCCCTCATGGCTTCCCTTGGCTGGGAAAGGGAGGCTCCCTACTCCTTGCACTTCCTTGGTGAGGTGACACCCTGCTTCTGCTTTCCCTCCATGAGTTGCACCCACTGCCTAACCAGTCCCAGTGAGATGAAAAGGGTACCTCAGTTGGAGATACAGAAATCACTCACCTTCTGCGTTGGTCTTGCTGGGAGCTGCAGACTGGAGTGTTCCTATTTGGCCATCTTTCTATAATTTCTTTTATAAATGTTTTGTAGTTTTTATTGTAAAGGTCTTTCACTTCCTTGGTTGAATTTATTCCTAGGTGTCTTATCTTTTGTAACAATGGTAAATGGGATTGCTTTCTTGATTTCTTTTTCAGCAACTTTGTTATTAGTATATAAATGCTGTTGATTTTTATATATTTATTTTGTCTCTTGCAGTGTTACCAAATTGGTTTATTATTTCTAGTGGTTTTTTGGTGGAGTCTTTTGGTTTTTCTCTATATAAGGTCATGTCATCTGCAAGGAGGAACAATTTAAATGCTTTTCATTGTTTTCTCTTGCCTGATTCCTCTGGCTAGTACTTGTAGTACTGTATTGAATAAGAGCAGTGAGAGTGGCATCCTTATCTTATTTTAGTTCTCAGAAAAGGCTTTCAGCTTTTCCCCCGTTCATTATGATGTTATATGTGATGGTGGCTTTGTTATATATGGCCTTTGTTATGTGAGGTATATTCCTCCCATGCCTAATTTGTTGAGAGTTTTAATAATGAAGTGATGTTGAATTTTATCAAATAAATTTCTGTGTATATTGAGATTATCATTCCGTTTTTGTACTTGATTCTGTAAATGTGATGTATCATATTTATTGATTTGTATATGTTGAACCATTCCTGTATCTCTTAGATAAATCCCACTTCCTCATTGTCTATTATATTTTTGATGTGTTGTAAATTTCCTTTCCTAGTATTTTGTGGAGAATGTTTGCATTGATGTTCGTCAGGGATATTGGCCTGCAGTTTTCAGTTTTCCTTCTGTTGTTGTGTCCTTGTTTGTTTTGACATCATGATAATGATAACCCTATGGAATGAGTTAGGAAGAAATCTCTCTTTTTCAATTTTTTGGGATAGTTTGAGAAGAAATGATATTAATTCTCCTTCATAAGTTTGGTAAAATTTAGTAGTAAAGCCATCCAGGCCTAGCCTTTTGATTTTTGGAAGACTTTTTATTCCTGATTCAATCCCATCACTCATTATTGTTTTTTTCTGGTTTTCTATTTATTCCTGAATTAATCTTGGTAAGTTGTGTGTGTCTAAGAATTTATCCATTTTCTTTATGTTCTCCGACTTATTAGTGTATAGTTTATATTAGTCTAATGATTTTTTAATTCTATTTCTGTGGTATCAGCTGTAATATCTCCTTTTTCATTTCTGATTTTATTTATTTGGGTCTTTTTCTGCTTGGTTAATCTATCTAATTTTTAATCTGTTTTGTTTATCTCTTCAAAAAAGCAGCTTAGTTCATTGATCCTTTTATTGATTTATAGTCTCCATTTCTTGTAGTTCTTCCCTGATCTTCATTATTTTTTTCTACTAATTTTGGGTTTAGTTTGTTCTTGTTTTTCTAATTTTTTGATATACATCTTTGTTTTTTATTTGAAATTTGTCTACTTTTTTGATGCAGGCATTTGTTTATTTTTATTTTTTATTTTTTGAGATAGGATCCTGCTCTGTCTCCCAGGCTAGAGTGCAGTGGTGCTATCGTGGCTCACTGCAGTCTCAGTCACCCAGGCTCAAGCCATTCTGCCACCTCAGCTTCCCGAGTAGCTGGGACTACAGGCACATGTCACCACACCTGGCTTATTAACTTTTTTTTTTTTAGAGACAGGGTCTTGCTATGTTGCCCAGGCTGGCTTTTAACTTCTGAGTTCAAAAGATCCTCCTGCCTTGGCCTCCCAAATTGCTGGGATTATAAATGTGAGCCACTGTGCCCAGCCTGATGTAGGTGCTTATTGCAATAAACTTTCCTCTTAGCACTACTTTTGCTGTATTCTGTAGATTTTTGTGTGTTGCATTTTTATTTTCCTTGTTTCAAAAAATTTTTTAATTTATTTTCTTAAATTTTTCATTCAACCAATGGTCATTTAAGAACATGTTGTTTAATTTTCATGTATTTTTTAGTTTCCAAAGTTCCTCTTGTTTTACTTTCCTTTTTTTTTTTTTTTTGAGCTGGAGTTTCACTCCTGTTGCCCAGGCTGGAGTGCAATGGCATGATCTCAACTCACTGCAACCTCTGCCTCCTGGGTTCATGTGATTCTCCTGCCTCAGCCTCCCGAGTTGCTGGGATTACAGGCATGTGCCACCACGCCTGGCTAATTTTGTATTTTTAGTAGAGACAGTGTTTCTTCATGTTGGTCAGGCTGGTCTCGAACTCCTGACCTCAGGTGATCTGCTTATCTCGGCCTCCCAAAGTTCTGGGATTACAGACATGAGCCACCGCACCCAGCCTCCCTCTTATTTTTCTAATTTTATTCCATTGTTGTCTAAGAAGAAGTTGATGTAATTTCAAAATGTTCTGTACATATCTGTTAGGTCCATTTGTTCTATATTGCAGATGAAATATCATGTTTCTTTATTGATTTTCTGTGTAGATGATCTGTCCAATGCTGAAAGTGGGGTGTTTAAATCCCCAACTATTACTGTATTAGGGTCTATTTCTCTCTTTAGCTCTAATAATATTTACTTTTTATTCATGAGTGCTCTGTTATTGGGTGCATATATATTTACAGTTGTTGTATCCTCTTGCATAATTGGTCCCTTTATCATGATATAGTAATCTTCTTTGTCTCTTTTTATGTTTTTTAAAACTTAAAGTCTATTTTACCTGATATAGTTATAGCTACTTCTTCATGCTTTTGGTTTCTGTTGGCATGGAATTTTTTCCCCCATTGCTTCATTTTCAGTCTATGTGTGTCTTTACATGTAAAGTGAGTTCCTTGTAGGAGGCATAAAATTTGCTCTTTCTAAAAGAAATTCATTCAGCTAGTATATATCTTTAAATTGGAGAATTTAAATCATTTATATTCAAAGTGTTATTGATAGGTGAGGACTTACTCTTTTAATTTAGTTGATTATTTCATTTGTTCCTTTCTTCTCTTTTATTGGTTACCTTATAATTTGGTGTTTTCTTTGTAATGAAATTTGACTCCTTTCTCTTTCTTATGTTTGTATCTGCTTTGTCAATGAGTTTTATAGTTTAATGAATTTTAACGGTGGCAGATGGCATCCTTTCACTTCTAGGTGTAGGCCTCCCTTAAGCATTTTTTGTAGGATTAACCTAATGTTGATGAATTTCCTCAGTTTTTGCTTTTCTGGGAAAGACTTTATCTCTCCTACATTATTGAAGGGTAACATTGCTATGTATTCCTGGCTGGCAGTTTTTTTCTTTTAGCACTTTCAATATACCATACCATTATCCCCTGGCCTATAGGGTTTCTGCAAAGAAACCTAGTTAGTCTGATGAGGATTCTCTCTCTCCTTTTTTTTTTTTTGGATGGAGTTTCACTCTCTTGCGCAGCCTGGAGTGCACTGGCACAATGTTGGCTCACTGCAACCTCTGCCT